>NC_000015.10:41761722-42064752 GCF_000001405.40 Homo sapiens | reverse complement strand
GGATTTGGGGCTGAATGCAGTGGCTCAAACCAGTAATCTCGGCACTTTGGGAGGCTGAGGGGAGAGGATCGCGTGAAGCCAGGAGTTCAAGACCAGAGTAGGCAATAAAGTGAGACCCTGTCTCTATAACAATAATAATAATTATAAATAAATTAGTGGATTTTGAGTAAAGTAGATTATCTTCCACCATGTGGGTTGGCCTCAACCAATCAGTTGAAGACCTTAATAGAACAAAAACGGACCTCCCCGCAGCAAGAAGGAATTCTGTTGGCAGAGTGCCATTGGACCCCAACTACAACTCCTCCCTCAGTCTCCAGCATGTCAACCTGCCCCATCAGACTCTGGACTCACCAAGCCTCCACCACGTTGAGCTAATTCCTTACAATACATGTCTTGGCTGGGTGCAGTGGCTCACGCCTATAATCCCAGTGCTTTGAGAGGCCAAGGTGGGTGGGTCACCTGAGGTCAGGAGTACAAGACCAGCCTGGCCAACATGGTGAAACCCTGTCTTTACTAAAAATACAAAAATTAGCCGGGCATGGTGGTGTGTGCCTGTAATCCCAGCTTGGGAGGCTGAGGCAGAAGAATTGCTTGAACCCGGGAGGTGGAGGTTGCAGTGAGCCGAGATTGCGCCATTGCACTCTAGCCTGGGTGACAACAGCAAAACTCCATTTCAAAAAACAAAAACAAAAACAAAATGTCTCTCTCTCGCTTCACTCACACACACACACACACACACACACACACACACACACTCTCTCTCTCTCTCTCTCTCTCTTTCTCGGTTCTGTTTCTCTGCAGAGCATTGACAAATACAGTATATATTTGATGAAAAAACAAAACCTGTCATCCTGAATAGTGAAGTGAAATCCTAGATTCATTTCCTTACAGCTAAGGAACAAGATCAGGATGCCCACTATCTCTGTTTCTTGACAATGGTTTTCTGGAGCTCAATCAGTTTCTGTGAGTCAGGAATTGAGGCATGACTTAACTGGCCATCTGCAATCAAGGTGTTGGCCAGGACTGACCTCGCCCCGAGGCTCAGCTGCGGAGGCATCTGTCTCCAGGCTCATGCATGTGGCTGCTGGCAGGGGTCAGCTCCTCGTGGGCCATGTGTCCCTAGGCCACCCTCCGTTCCTTGCCACATGGGCCTATCCACGGGGTGGTCACAATATGGCAGCTGGCTTCATTGATGTGAGCAAGCAAGAAGAACTCTGAGAGGAGGAAACAAAGGCCAAAATTCCGTAAGAGAGCAGGTTCAGGGGCTTAAGGAAGATGGAGATCCACAGAAGACTCTGAAGGCTGTGGCCTGAAAGGCCGGTGGTGGCGAGCATGATGAGGCGCTCTGGAGAGGCTCCCAGTATTGGCAGAGGGTGCGGTTTGAGGAGCTGTTGTCCTGTGTGCTACCTCTGAGAAGCCATGTTGTCAGCAAGAGGAATGAGCTCACAGAGGTGATCCCAGAAGTATGCACTCGACATTATAGTGGAAAGATCTGGAGGACTGGACAAGCTATGATGTTAAAGGGCACAGGAGTGGCAAGGAAGAGGGTGACAGGGCAGCCAGAGCCCACACAATCAGAGGTCAAGGTCAGATGGAATCTCAGGGACCTTTAGCTCTGCCATACTCATCAATGATGAAGACTTGGGCATTTGGGATGTGAAGTCTCTTATCCAAGGTCACACAGCAAGCCCAGGGCGCGTTGGACACTCACTTTTTGTTTGTTTTTTGTTAGAGACAGACTCTTACTCTATTGTCCAGGCTGGAGTGCAGTGGCATGATCATAGCTCACTGCAGCCTTGATCTCCTAGGTGCAAGTGATGCTCCTGCCTCAGCCTCCAGAGTACCTGGGACTACAGGTGTGCATTACCCCACCTAGCTAATTTTATTTTTTGTAGAGACAGGATCTCACTATTTTGCTCAGGTTGGTCTCAAATTCCTGGCCTCAAGCAATCTGCTCACCTTGGCTTCCTTGTGCTGGGATTACAGGTGTGAGCCACCACGCCTGTATGACACTTACTGTTTTGGGCCCGCTGTGGTCATTACCCTTCTTTTAGGAACAGTACCCCTATTTCCCTGGGAAGAAATCCCCTTGACTTCACTCTCAGCCCGAAAGCTTAGGGCAGTGGCTGACTGCACCCTAACTCGAGGGATGGACTGCGTTCCTCCGGCCACAGAGATTAGCACAGGGATGAGCAGGTGACCAGTGACACACCAGGAGGCTTTTTAAGGCTGCAGAGATGGATGCTCCCTCCCACTGGACTCAGACCTGGGCACTGCAGGCAGAAGTGACTGCCACTATCTGTTTCCGATGAGGGAAGAGTCTGTCCAAGGATGGAAGGAAAACGGGGGTGGCCAAGCCCTGTGACCGAGAGATCCACAGGGCTGTGTGGACAGTGCTTAGTCTAAGATTCAACCAGTCCCCTCTAAACTGCTCCATCATTCATCCCAATACAGTTCTCTCTACCCCACCTTTTTTTTTTTTTTTTTTTGCCTGATATCACTTGAGTTGAGCTTTTTGTCACTCATAATCCTGAATCCTACTTTAAAATACAGAAAAAGATTTTAATGGAGCAGAGAGTGTTGGGTTCAGAATTCTGGTCACAATGAAAACCAAACCAGAGGGCAGGCCATTGCCACTGAGCCATCAGTGAAGACTTTTCGGGTTAGATGGATACTGTAGAGTAATTTGTGCACACGTGCACCTGGAAACCTATGAAAGTGTTTGTGGTGGCACTGTTTGCATAGGGGAGTAGATCAATGAATGACCACACATTCAAACAGTGGAATGCTGTACAGCAAGGAAAAATAATGAACTACAGCTTCATATATTAACATGGATGAATCTCAAAAACACAATGTTGAGTGAAAAAAGAAAATAAGTATGATTGCATTTGCATCAGGACCCAGATATCTCAAACATAACAATACGTTATCAGCAATACATACGTATGTAGTAAACATATAACAAAAAGTGAAGAAATGATACGTTCAAGTGAGGAAATGGCAAAATTCAGATTCATTATCATTACAGGGAAGGTTATGATTAGAGGGATATACAAAAGCATTGGTAATCTTCTTCTTCTTTTGTTTTTTTTTTTAGACAGGGTCTCACTGTCACCCAGGCTAGAGTGCAGTAACATGATCTCAGCTCACTGAAACCTCTGCCTCCCAGGCTCAAGCGATCCTCCCACCTCAACCTTCCAAGTAGCTGGGATCACAGGTGCACACCACCCCCCACCATCTGCTAATTTTTGTATTTTTTTGTAGAGGTGGGGTGTTGCCATGTTGCCCAGGCCGGTTTCAAACTTTTGGCCTCCAGCGATTCTCCTGCCTTGGCCTCCCAAACCTGCTAGATTACAGGTGTGAACCACTATGACTGGTCAGTAATATTCTATTTTAAGCTGAAGGAGAGGAGGTTTGAGTACATTGGTATATATTTTGTTACTCTTCACATTTTATATATGAATGTGTGATATATATTCCTTTGTATTTATGAAGCATTTCATACTAAAAATAAGTAAGTCTTAGGATCAGAACTTGGGAGGCAGTTTGGCAGCTGAAGAAGCAAAGGGAATGGCAAGGGCTGTCATTTGTGGCGCACGACCTGTGGGCTGAATGCTTCCAAGCATCTGCATTTTCACATTGAATTTTCACAACAGCCACAGTGAGGTATGTGCTGTGCTAAGCGTTGGGTTCTGAGGTCAGGTTGGTGAAATAACCTGCTCAAGGCCACAGAGCCAGCAGGAGGTGGAGCCAGGATCTGAATCCAGGCCACCTGCCTGCAGAAGTCACATGCTGGACTACCCTACATGCTGCCAAGGACTGTTTTCACAGGCAGGACAAGCACCTGTTAATCCTCAATCCCAACGCAGAGCTCTGGTTTGCTGGATTGGCCAGTGCATCATAAGCCAGGAGGCCTAACGAGTTTCTCATCCTCTCACAGGATCTAGGACAGCTGAATCTGTGGTGCAATTTGGGCCTGACTTTCCCAAGATCCAGGGGGAAAGGCAGCTTGTTTGGAGCCAAGGGGGTTCCTGAGATGGGAGATTTTCAGTGCAAAAATGGAGAAGGTCCTGGGCAAAGTGGGGCAAGTTGGTTATTCTACCTGCCACCTGGTCATGAGCAGTCAAGGAGGGGCGGAGGACAGGCCAACCTGACACTGCCTGGGCACAGAAAGATGGGGAAGACACCCACATGAATCCCAGGCGCTAGTACAATGTGCCCCGAACAATGCCTTGGGCTTCTACTAGCAGAAAAACGACTTGTCCACCTGGGCGGTATGGACGAGGGAAGAGGAACTAGAAGTACGTGCCTCCCAGCAGAGAGCCACAGGAGAAAAAGTGAGCTCTTCTCTGACTCCAGCCCTCCTCGGGGTGGGGGCTGGTCTGTGGGAATGAACCTTGAGTGAGCGTGGAACAGCCAGGTGCCTCCAATCGCAGGGGGCAGAGGAGATCATGATTGTGGGAGAAGCCATCCTGGCTCCATTTACCTTGAGATGATTCCTGAACATCTGCAAGCCTCTGCTTCCTTGTCTCTAAAAGGTGACAACAATGGCCACTCCGCAGCACTGCTGGAGGGATGACGCTGAATACTGTATGTGAAGGGTGTGGCACGGTACCAGACACAGGAAGTACTTGATAAATGGTAGTTCTTTAAAAAATTTTTATCATTATTTTAGAGATGGACTTGTATCCTGATTAGATACAATGCCATGGAGATGGAGCACTTTTATTCACATAAATGATTACTGGTCTAAGTATAAATTATGTCCTGGGTTGTGACACTTGCTATAATGCCCGGTTTGAAAAACAGCAATTAACTTTTTCTGAGGTAAGATTGCAGTTCAGGTGGCTGCCACCAGGGGGCTGTGTTGCCAAGTGACGGTGTTGCCAGGACAATTAATTGCCTGGAGTAGTGGTCCCCAAGAGCACAGAGCATACTCGTCACTCCGTAAAACTTTCCACAAAATACGCTCTTATTTATAGAAGTCCTGCTATGTTGCTTAGGCTGGTCTTGAACTCTTGGGCTCAAGCAATTCTTCTGCCTAGCTTCCCAAAGTGATGGGATTACAAGCATGAACCACTGCGCTTGGCTGAAATAATGCTTTTAAACTCATGTGACAACCTTATATATTAATTAGCAGCCAGCATTTACACATATATTCAAAGAAGAACATGATTCAAAGCAAAATTCAAAGACATAAATGCCTAGGTAAAGTCTCTCACAGTACTGTCACAACCCAATGGCACTTGGGACTTTCCTCTTCACGGCCAGGGTGTCTATCAACAGTAAAATGGGCAAATAATGTTTGGAGTATTCATGCAATGGAATATTATGCAGCCGTGAAAACAAACACTCTGTATTACACACAGTATGGATGGGTTTCATAAACATAATGTTGAATGTAAGAAGCAAGGCATGGAAGAATAAAATATTGAACAGTTGCATTGGTATAAAGTGCCAAAACTGATCAAACTAATTACAGTAGCAGAAATCAGGATAGCATTTACCTTTGGAAGACAGGTGTGCCATGATTGGAAGGAAGCCAAGGAAGGTTTCTAGGATGCTGGTGACGTTCTGTTTCTCCATCAGGATGCTTGTTACATGGGTGTATTCAAAAGGGAAACTTAATGAAGCTGCACATTTTTTTTCTTTATGCAGTATACTTTCTATTTTATTTTTTAAAAGTGAGGCTAAAAAATGAGATTCTTGGCCGAGTGTGCTGGCTCATGCCTGTAATTCCAGCGCTGTGGGAGGCCAAAGCAGGTGGATCACTTGAACTGAGGAGTTTGAGGCTGCAGTGAACTATGACTGCATCACTGCACTCCAACCTGGGCAACAGAGTGAGACCTTGTCTCTAAAAAATATATATATATAAATAAATAAATAGAAATGAGATCCTTAAAGAAAATAATAAATGCTGATAACATCATCAGTGTTATCTCTGAAAGGTGAACTTAAAGGTATCTTACATTCTGCTATTTCTATACATATTTATTTTCTTTTTTAAAACAAATTTTAGATTCTGGGGGTACATGTACAGGTTTGGGGTTACATGGGTATATCGCATGGTACTGAGGTTTGGGCCCTACCCAAGTAGCGAACATAGTACCCAATAGGCAGTTTGTCCACCCTTCTCCCACTCTCTCCCTCCCCGCTTTTGGAATTCCCGGTGTTTATTTTTCCCATCTTTGTGTCTGCCACTTACAAGTAAGAACACGTAGTATTTAGTTTTCTGTTTCTGTGTTAATTCAATTAAGGTAACAGCCTCCAGCCTTATCCATGGTACTGCAAAGGACACGATTTTGTTCTTTTTTATGGCTGTGTAGTATTCCATGGTGTATATGCACCACATTTTCTTTAATCTACTTTTGATGGGTGCCTGGGTTGATTCTATGTCCTTGCTCTTGTGAATAAACACTGCACACTCATAATTCATGCAGTTTTCTGTGTATATGTCTAGTTTTAAGAGTTTACTAAAGAGAAAAAATCTGAGGGTGTCATCATCTGCATAGTGGAGCACAGCAACCTGTGATTTGTGCCTGCCAAGTAAGTGTTCCTGTCACTCTTCTCTGTTGACAACTCCTGTCCAGCAGCCCTAGGAGAGAGGGTGTGACCAGGACTGGCCTATCTCAGTGTGTCATCTCCTTGCCACTGGGGATTGCCTCGGGGGGCAGACACCTAACTTGAGCAAGCCCATCTGAGCCCTTCCCTATTAGAAAGATTCCTGTTGAAAAAATTTCTCCCTTGATGTTGGGGTGGCTGAGCCTGGGCTGCCAGGGGCTGTATCCCCACCACTGGAGGAGGGCTGTCTACAGAAAGAGAGAGTGAGGCCAGTGGGTGAAGGGGGACAGAGGAGACAAGGGCAGGACAAACAGCCCTGGCCGCTGCCAATCCCAGGTTCTGTTCTTCTCCAACTTCCCAGAATCTTCCTTGTGTCAAACCTGTGAGTTAGTTCGGCCTCTTGCCCAGCTAGGTGAGGCAGTAAATTGCTTTTTATGCCTCAGCTTGTTCAGTTTGGCTCCTACCTATGACTAAGAGAGTCTTGACTAATCCATTACGCAACTGGGTGGATGGCAGGGCCACTTACTGAAGCAGGTACGGCCAGCGGAGGTGGAGAAAGTGTAAGCTGTGCGAGCCACATCATCCGGGAAGGGGCGGTCGCTCCTCGACGTCAGGAGGATGTCACAACCCTGACGCGGGTGTTTTACATCATCTTTGTCTAGGCTGGGGTGATGACTAGCCCCCAAGGTCACGATACACACTCACTCCCTACTCTGGAGTTCACCTTGAGATTACATTCTTTCTCATTAGTGATCGAATTGACTTCTAAGTCTTGAAGCCTTCAGCCTTTGAGCTCAGACACATTCCTTTCCCTCCTGGACTTCTGCCATCAGCGATAACCAGGAAAGTCCCAGGGATGCTGATTAACATCCCGAGGAAAGGAAATGGGACAACCTCCCGTCTCCAAGACTTTCTGCGGACCCCTCACTGCTTTTTCTCAGGGCCACACGGTGTCAGTGCTGAGACACCGACAAGCCTATGGCGTCGGTGGTGCCCGGCTCCTGTCACGCAGCACTGGTGAGGACACACAGACTCCATGTCGCGCTGGACGATCCGGGTAGCCTGGCCACGCGCCCCCCAGCGTCTGCTGCCTGGCTTGCCCTTTCTCGCCCGGTCTCTGGGAATGAAACCGGGAGGGCTTTGCAGAGCACAACCCGCAGGCTCTGTGCCGGGGCAGGTGGCTTTGCTCACCCACCATCCTCAGGCACATCCCCCAAGGCCGGCCCTGCCAGGGTGGCAGCTCAAAGAGTTTCTGCACCGCATTAGCAGCTGCGCCAGGCCCCCCGCTACTTTTCTCTTCTTTCTGCATTCTGCCCCTGGAGTGGTGGAAATTCTAACTTGGGCCAAGCTCTATCCCCATTTCCGACTCTGTGACGAGGAACTCTTAAGACGGGTAGGGGAGGACAGAAAGGTGCTGAGTCCATCACCCTAATAGCGGATTCTGGAAGGAAAGTTAGGAAAATCCCTCCCCTCACCTTCATGGGATACAAAACAGTCAATATATCTTATTTTTGTAAAAACGATCATTGTTATAACGAGATCATTTTAGACGTTGCGAATATATCTATGATATTCCTATGAATCAGTCCTGGCATTCGCCTAGGTTACTGAAGCAACACTTTCTGTACTGGGCAATTGGGCAGAAAAGACACTAACATTAATTGTGCCCTACTATTTGGCAGGCGTTAGTTCTCGCACTTCTATAAAGTCGGTATCATTATTATCCCTGTTTTACCAAGGAAGAAACTAAGGCTCAGAAAGACTGGATAACTTGCCAATAATACTCTTAAGAGCTGTGGGAGCCCCACCCTCCCACAGCACCCCAGCACCTCCTGGGTGGGTGGGCACCATCCGTTTTTGAATCAGGAACCACTGGAGAGGCACTGAGCCTAGCCTCTCATGTCTTCCTGATGTCACCCAGTATGTCTTCCATGGACCTGGAAGGAGATACACCTGGATCCAGGGCTGAAGGTAATCAGCTCCTTTTGATAAAGCCCCATCTCCCTTTTGTAGAGCAAAATTAAATAGACTTTTGCTCCCTGAAACATAAGTGCAAGTGCCTTGGGCAGATCCTGCTTGTACCTAAGGGTGGTAGCAGCAGCTGCTGTCCCTGGGGTCTTGCCAGGCACGGTCTCTAC
This sequence comes from Homo sapiens, assembly GCF_000001405.40. Classification (NCBI taxonomy): domain Eukaryota; kingdom Metazoa; phylum Chordata; class Mammalia; order Primates; family Hominidae; genus Homo; species Homo sapiens. The sequence continues at coordinate 42,056,050 of NC_000015.10, read as the reverse complement.
TCCATGTCCTTTACAACCTGAACCAGTTCATTGAAGAGCCTCAGCTCACTCCGGGGGCAAACATGAAACAATTTTATTTTTTCTACTAACTGTCCCCAGCTATACTCTGTTAAATCCTCCTTTCTTGAATAGAGTCCTCCTAATGATATGAGACCATAACCATTATGATGGTCTCATACATTATCATGTGTAAACAACCTACATTAATTGCTATGTGTATTTTTTTGTATTTGTTAATTTTTTTTTCTTATTCAATTCCTAAAATGGAAGATCTACAGGTGGGTAGAACGCTCACTAAGTAAGTCCTCAGCTTCCAAAACCTAGAGGCACACTATTACCCTACACATTTAGTTAAATGTGCCCAGAGCCAATCTGGACATTTTAATTTAGGCCCCAGTGGGATGGTTCTTCCCATGTGGCTTCAGATCTCTGGTGTGTCCAACAGCCCCTTTCCCTATGTGATCTCCCCACTCTTCTTCCCGTGAAGGGCCTCTCTTATTGGAGAAAATCTTTCCTTATTAAAGATCCTGCCCCTGGAAACTAAGGATGTTTTTTGTTTGTTTTTTTTCTATCTGTAGGCTTTCCCACATTTTAAACAACTATTTTAATGTAACAAAGCTTCCTGACATTTTAACCATACCATGGAAAATGCCTTTTCTTTATGTTTTCTTTTTGCAATAAAAAATAAAAACAAATAATCAGTCCTTTATCCAATGCAATGAACATTACTTTTGTGAATAACCAATGCAAAATGAAACCAACCAAAATTTCACATGATAAACTTTTAGAGAACCACATCTTAAGAATAAAAAAATTGTCCTGGCAAAAATTAGACTTGTAAAGAGATAGCGGCCACAAAGAAAAGGTAAAACCCATCATAAAGGGTATGATTTCATGGTGTGTGGAAAAGACTTGGTCCCAACGAAGATAAGCAGCAAAACTGGAAATTGCTAAGTATTATTCTATTAAAAATAATCAAGAAGATCAAGAAATTAAATTGGCTTAATTGAATTTGCTCCAGAAAATACATTTTTCTCTTTTTCTTTTCTTTAAACTTATGTATACAGCCCACTTTTACCCACCAGATTCTATTCTACTCCCTATTCTACATCTTAGGTATTTTTCATAAAACGTTTTCTAGATAAGACTTTATTAAATTAGGATACTTCTCATAAAAGCATTTAAGCTTAACAGAATGAAGTTAAAATTTCCCCAGGGATGTAAAAAAGGGAGAAGCTCAAACATATACACATCAAAGCCACACATCAGAGCCCAACATTCCAGTCCTCACTGTAGCCTTCTCAGCTTGTTCTGTTTTTCACCATTAAAAGCTGTCGTTACTGGTCAGGTGCGGTGGCTCACGCCTGTGATCCCAACACTTTGGGAGGTGCAGGCAGGCGGATCACTTGAGGTCAGGAGTTCGAGACCAGCTTGGCCAACATGGCAAAACCCCATCTCTACTAAAAATATAAAAATGTGCCTGTAATCCCAGCTACTCGGGATCCTGAGGTAGGAGAATCTCTGGCACCTGGAGGTTGCAGTGAGTTGAGATCATGCCACTGTACTCCAGCCTGGGTGACACAGTGAGACTATGTCTCCAAAAAAAAAAGAAAAAAGCTGTCATTACTTCTGCAAATCTTTCCAGGCCTTGCCTTGCTTTTCTTTCTTTCCTCTGTCTCCTCCTTCCCTCCCTCCTTTTCTCCTTTCCATTTTCCCTTAACTAAATGTGTAGGGTAATAGTGTGCCTCTAGGTTTTGGAAGCTGAGGACTTACTTAGTGAGCGTTCTATCCACCTGTAGATCTTCCATTTTAGGAATTGAATAAGAAAAAAAAACTAACAAATACAAAAAATACACATAGTCCTGTGGAGCCTATTCTAGGAGTGGCCAACTGTGGGGCCACCCAGGGCCTGGCTGGGCAGGGAAGTGGGGAATTTGGCAGGACCAGTGGCCAGGTGCCCTTGAGGGATTCCGGGCACATGGTGCTCAGTGCAAGAATGTTTGTTGGAGCTGTTATTTCAGCTGAGGTTAAAATTCTTTGTTTGGCTTTTATTTTTAATTTGTAGGAGGTGAATTTTACAGGAGACTAAGCTCAACAAGGCCTGGAGACATCCCCTAGAAACATTTTAAAAGGATAAACATTCAGATACTCCCTGACACCAATCTGGAAATGACATGAGGGCTCGTCTCTGCTCCTGCCCCTGTGCCCAAGTCTAATTTTTTTTTTGCCAGATTGCTTTTTTTATCCCCAAGATATGATTCTTTCAAAGTTTACCATGTGAAATGTGAGCTGGTGTTGGTTTTATTTTGCATTGATTATTCACAAAAGTAATTCTCACTGGAAACTGGATAAAGAACTGATAATTTGTGTTTTTTTCAATTGCACAATAAACCATCACCTATCAATATTTAGTCTAATCCAGGTCTCCCTCTCAAATTCTAAAAGTTTACCTCGAATCAGAAGTTATTCTGGGTCTTACACATAACTTTCTCTTTGACTTCAAGGAAGCTTGACTTCAGAGCCCCCTCCCCTGGCACTAAGTTCCTGAGGGTCTGCAGAGAGGGTCCCCTTTCTCACCCTGTCTGCCTGTCTATCTGTCACCATAGTTCCTGGCTTGGAGAAGTCCTGGAGTCAGACCACGGGAGAGAAAAATAACCCAAGCAACAGGAGGGTCTTCAAGGGCAGGAAGAAAGAACAGGAGAGAGGATGTCCCAAGAACAGGGAAAGGAAGCCTGGCTCCTCCCTGCCTGGGCCCCACACACAGTCTACCAGCGAAGCTGCCCTCTCTGCTCACTCTCCAGCGTGCTACCACCTCCACACTCATCCTGGCTCTCAGCCCTGGCCACCACCAGCTGCTCCAGGTCAGATCCCACTGGTCAGCTGCCTCAAAGCAGCGTCCATTCTGGGTCTCACCTGCACAGTGGGGTGGGCAGAGCTATGAGGAAGAGACCTCTTCCAGGTGCCCCCCAGATGCCCCGGACAGGGCAGAGACCTCTGAGTGGCAGTGCCTGGGCATCCTTTCACCTTGACTAAGCACAAAACACATCTACCAAAAGAAATCTTGAACGACCCCATTCTGATCTCTGTATTTATTTTTTAAATTACAATCAAGGTAAGATGTAGAAAAATGAGAATACCGAGGTACACTTGGTTATTCCACTCACTAATCCTCACTAGTTTTCCATTATAGCTTGACCTTCGTATATTTTCTTTTGTGGCTACTATTGCTTAGCAAGTCTAATTTTGTTTTTTTGTTTGTTTGTTTGTTTTTGGGTTTTTTTTTTTTTTTTGCCAGGTTGGTTTTTTATCCCCAAGATACGATTCTTTCAAAGTTTACCACGTGAAATATTAGCTGGTGTTGGTTTTATTTTGCACCGATTATTCACGAACGTAATTCTCACTGGAAACTGGATAAAGAACTGATAATTTGTGTTTTTTTTAATTGCACAATAAACCATCACCTATCAATATTTAGTCTAATCCAGGTCTCCCTCTCACATTCTAAAACTTCACCTTGAATCAGAAATTATTCTGGGTCTTAACACATAACTTTCTCTTTGACTTCAAGGAAGCTTGATTTCAAACACCTTTGTATCTACATATCTCCATCCACATAACTTTTTTTCTTCCAATGTCAAGCTTCCTTTCTCCCTTGTGGCAAAATAAAAAGTAAAATATTATAGCCATGTCTGGCATCTGCACACTCCCTCCATGAAGAGTTGCCTTTTCCCCAGTCACTTGCCGGCACTGGCTTCTAGTAAAGACCTCCAGAACAAGGCCCCTAAGAAATGGAAAACGTAAACCAACAAGCTTTGTAAACTGTGAAATGTGGTGCAGGGAAGAGATCTGGCAACTCTTCAAGTCAATTCCAAACTGATATTTTTACAATGCATTTTCCATTTATTTTATTTCAAAGTTTACTTTTTATTGTTTTATTCCAAACTGCCTTTGCTTTGTAAGGGAACCAAGTGTGTGCTTGACGAATGTCAACTCCTTTTATCCTTATTAGCACTGCCATTCAAGCTATTTTTTCCTATATAGCACAAACGGAAAAATGACACTTTATAACCGTCTCCTACCCAAACACATGACTGGTCAGTCTAAGTGTGGGTCTGGCTGTTGCTTGGTTTATTGATTGATTGAGACAGGGTCTTGTTCTGTAGCCCAGGCTGGAGTGCAGAGGCACAATCTCAGCTCACTGCAACTTCAACCTCTTGGGCTCAAGCGATCCTCTCACCTCAGCCTCCCAAGTAGCTGGGACTACAGGCACGCATCGCCATGCCCAGCTAATTTTTGTGTTTTTAGTAGAGTCAGGATTTCGCTAAGTTGCCCAGACTGGTCTCAAAGTCCTGGGTTCAAGCGATCCACTCGCCGTGGCCTCCCAAAGTGCTGGGATTATAGGCATGAGCCACTGCACCCAGCCTGTTGCTTCATTTCTGATAGGGCTATTTGGGCCAGAGACACCCACTGGAAAACCACAGCCTCAGAAAGAGAGGGGGACAGCGGGATACTCCCAACTAGAGAGGATGCTGGGTGCCTCAGAGCCAGCACACAGAAAGACAGGAAGATGAACATTTCAAATGTATGTTAAAAACAGTTGTAAACAGAACATAAAGAAGCGTTCTTAATTTTTTTTTAATTTTTGTTTTTAACATGGAACTAGGACACATCCCCGTTAAGCTGCCAGATATGGCATCTATTAAACCAAAGAGAGCCAGAGTAAATGATTAAATTCTATTCTGGCCTGTGGCCCCACCATCAGCTCTGAACACAAGGCTAGGTATTTATTTTCAGGGGTTAAAATAGAGATCTGGGGGTGTCAGGCAAGACCCAAATGAGTGGCTTCACCCACCCAGGAAAGTGAGGCTCCTTCAGGGGCCTGGATGGCCTCAGCCATTTCACCCCCAGCCCTCTCTCCCTCCCTCTCCCACTGACATATTGAGTTTCGCACTTTAAAAATAGCTCTGCAGCACTAAGAAGCTTTCTCTGAGCGTGGATCCCAGCCCTGAAACGCAGGCCTCCCTTGACGGAGAACTGTCCTATGTGAGCATAATGCTAGCTCCCTGCTTGTCTTTCAGGCAGCGCAAGAAATTTCTCTCCACAAAATAGGTCCAGATGGTTTGAAATATTCACAGAGATAGACGTGGGGCTCCTTTAGTTAAGCCCTGGCTTCCTTCAGCTCCTTAATAATTCATCCTGGCTTAGCTTCAGGAGGAGTCTGGTGGCACTGCTTCCCTTTCACACAAAACTCCCTTGAAATTACCCCAGGAGGCTCCAACAACACCTTACTTTGAGGACCAGCCTCAGCTCCACACAGCCCGTCCTGAGTCCCAGAGAGGAGGCTGGGATGAGTCTCCAGGCCTCGGAAGGCTGTCCTGGCCTGGGAACTAATGTGTTTGTCCCACAGAGCCCACAAACGGATGAAGAAGGCAGCAGGTCAGGAAGAAGTTTCAGTGAGTTCGAGGATACACAGGACCTGGACACTCCTGGTCTCCCACCTTTCTGTCCTATGGCTCCTTGGGGCTCTGAGGTATGTCTGTGTTCCTGGGAGGGGGGTCTGGTCCCTTAAATTTTAACCTCACTTTCCTGACTCGGAATAAGATCACCTGCATTGCTGCAGAGTTAAGAGGTTGTGGTTTTTGTTCATTTCTTTCTCTCCGGAGGAGTCCCTTTACCCTGCTGCCATCACCTATCTGTCCTTACCTCCCTCTGTGCTCAAAAGAACTGTTAACAACAGTGGTGACCTTTTATCAAGTGCATTCTATGCACTGATATTGCTAGGCAGGAATCAGTATCTGCATTTGATGAAGAAACTGAAGCACAGACAGGTCAAGGAACCTGCCCAAGGCCACATAGCTAGTTTCATGGGCACCTGAGATGGAAGATATTTGTCAACACGATGCTGAGAAGAGTGAACAAGACCATGCATGTGAAGCCCCTGGCAGAGTGCCTGTCACATAGGCTCTCGAACCATGCAGTCTAGCATAGTGGCCTGGCAGGGTCGTAAGTGTAATTCCATGCGAGTCAGAGAGAGTTGGAGGGAACACATAGATCTGGCTTACCTCGCAAACCCCACCTATGAGCAAATACGCAATTCCCATCTGGTAAATTGAGTGGGCTACAGAAATCAAACAGCATCTGAAGGTAATTATCAGGTGATCCAGGTCTGCCTCGTGCAGTTTCTCCTCTGGGCGGGCGTGTGAGCTTCTGGGAGGCTCTCAGTGATTTGGGGAGGTGACAGCATTCCTCTGCCCCTCTGGCTGCTATGGTCTTAGCGGTGGCACCAGACTGAGCTCTGCAGGGAGTGAGCCTCGCTTCCTCCTGCCAGCCGAGGCCTGGCTTACAGGGAGAACTGGCCAAGATCCCCTCACCTCCTATGGACCCCTCTGGTCTCTGCCTCCTTCTATCTGGCCCCTGGCTTGGAGGGTCCATCCTGAGCCCCAACCACGGAGTCACCTTGTCTGGATCCAGAAGGTCCCACTTCATACCTACCACAGCATCCATCACACAGGTAACTGAGGGCTGCTTGGGGATGACCCGGTCCTCCATATTGGGGGACCATCCTCCATACTGGGGGAGTATGTCCCCCAGCATTCATGTGTTGGAAACTTAATCCCCAATGCAACAGTGTTGAGACGTGGGACCCTTAGGAGGGGATTTGGTCATGAGGCCGCTGCCCGCATGGATGAATTCATGTCATGATCATGGGAGTGAGTAACTGAGAGAGTGAGATTGTTATAAAAGTGAGTTCAGCCTCCATCCCTTAACCCAGGTGGACTGGAGGCTCGGGCCTCTGCTGGTGGCACTTCCCAGAGTCACATGTGAAGAGGGGTCAAGAGCCCCGCCCCAGGGTTTCCCTTGATGTCTCTGCCCCACACTATCCCACCATTCCCACAAGAGCTCATCTTCTGCAGTCTCCCTGTCTCCGGTGAGCAGGTGCTTCTCCCCTTCCTCTTCCTGACTCTGCCTCCGTTCTAGAAGTCTCTGTGTCTCATCGGCTAGGCCTGCTGTTGATACGCTGGAGGGGGATGGGAACTGGGGCGAGCTGTCTCCCCTGCTGTCTTGCTAACGAGGTTAATGGCCTGCCCTTGCCTGCCCTGGCATCTTCAGCCTCCTGACTCACACCTAGAAGTGGCAGCTGAAAGGTTTTGGGAGCAACGAAAACATAATGGCTTAATATTTGTGAAATTATTGGCCTCATTCAAGTGGTGAAGAGCACGGGCTCTGGAGTTATACCAGCTTCAATCCCTTGCTCTGTCATTTGCCAGCCCTGTAACCTCAGACAAGCTCCTTAGCCTCTTTGAACTTCAGTTTCTCCCTCTATGGGGAAAATGATGTGCGGAGTAAACAACATGTTTAGCACAGTGCCTGCGGCATATGAAGTTGGAGCAATGCGGCTCGCTGTCATTGTTATCACTATGACTTTACCGTGATTTCTCCCCTCCGCCCCGTCATCCCCATGCCTGTCACAGTGCACATATGAGGCTGTACCCATGGCCCCCTGGTCTTTCTCCAGCTGCTTGAGGGGGAGCAGAAAGGCCCACATGACTGGGACACAGACGACCACAAAAAGACATTGTATTTAATTTTAATATTTTAATTTTGATATGTGTAAAGTAATTTCTAAAAATGTTTGGAAAACATAAAGGGCCAATCCACTATAATCCCATTAACCCAATACGATAACTACAGTCATGTGTTGCTTAACAACAGGGACATGTTCTGAGAAATGCATCATTAGGCAATTTCATCATTTTGCAAACATCACAGAGTGTGTGCACACAAACCTAGGTAGCATAGCTCACTACACACCTAGGTTATATGGTGTAGCCTTTTGCTCCTAGGCTGCAAACCTGTACAGCCTGTTACTGTACTGAACACTGTAGGCAATTGTAACACAGTAAGTATTTGCATACCTAAATGTATCTAAATATAGAGAGGCTACAGTAAAAAAAGTATATTCTGATCTTACAGGACCACCATCATATATGTGGTCCATTGTTAACCAAACCGTCATTATGCAGAGCATAACAATATGGCATAATATTTATACCATATCTATGCCCGGGAGGGGGGTTAGCCTAAAATTATAGTCATTAATATTTTCTATCTTGCTACCTAAACTTCGTATCATTTTAGTGGCTAAATAATATTCTATTGTGCATATGTATGCAACAAAATTTATTAGGATTTTTGTGATGAAATGTCAGTTTTTATAGGTGTTTTATTTTTGCAAATTTCCATGGAATTTCTCAGAGACTGGCCAATTGGTCATTCCCTGAGACCTTTGTGAAATATCTGAACATGATAAAAAGAGTCACCACCAGCTCTGCAAGAGGGTGTGTATATATGTATGAATGGGGGACATGTAGGCTTGGGGAATGTGTGCACACTGGGTAACAGTGGAATCTTCGATTACTTACGTGGCAGATTTGGGGGAACTGCAAGGACCCACCGCTATGGTCTGAATATGCCCCCCAAAGGTCATGTGTTGGAAACTTAATCCCTAACGCAACACTGTTGAGAGGTGGGACATTTGGGAGGGGATTCGGTCATGAGGCTGCTGCCCTCATGGATGAATTCATGTCGTTTTCATGGGAGTCACTGAGAGTGGGATTGTTATAAAAGTGAGTTCTGCACCCTGTTGCTCTCTCTTGTGCTCTCTTGCCCTTCTGCCCTCCACCATGGAATGACACAGCAAGAAGGCCCTTGCCAGATGTGGACCCCTTGACCTTAGACTTCCCAGCCTCTGGAGCTATAAGAAATAATCTCTGTTCTTGGTCAGGTGCTGTGGGTCACACCCATTATCCCAGCATTTTGAGAGGCCAAGACAGGATCATCACTTGAGGTCAGGAGTTCAGCCTGGTCAACATAGTGACACCCCACCTCTACCTGCCAAAAACATATTTTAAAGAAATAGATTTCTGTTCTTTATAAATTACCCAGTCTCAGATATTCTGTTATAGTAGCATAAAATGGACTGAGACACTCACCAGTCTTCAAATAGCTCCTCATCTGCCCTCCATTTTGGTCCTTGAAGGATTCCCTCCAGGACCACCCCTATGGATCAGGCCTTCCTCTTTTCTGGGGCCAGTTGGAGGCTCCCATTACTGAGTAGCATATTGTCATCCAGTAACCCTAAAGCAAATATCAGCTTATCAGATTACCTTTGAATCACCGCATCTCCTGCCCTGTGGAGGAGTTACCATCTCCTGCCCTGTGTTCTTAGATAACTTCTCATGTGGCTTGTCACACTCCCTCAAGAAGACCTGGGACCACATCCAAAGCATTTTTTCATTCATTGAACAAATATTTACTGAGCTCCCACTATGCACCTAGTATTGTTCTAGGAGTGGGAGAGAGAGCACTGAGCAGGTCAGACAAGATCCAGCTCTCACGAAACTTACATTTCAATGTGGGAGACAGTAAATAAATATCTGACTATTTCTGATATTGGTGCTATTAGGACAAAATGTGACAGCGAGTGACAGGCAGCAGGGAGGGGACATCAGAAGAGGGTGACATTTGAACTAAGATCCGAATGATGAGAAGATTGATGGCAAGTATTCCAGAAAGAGCACATTCTAAGTGCAAAGGCCCTGAGGTGGACACAAGGTTGACCTTTTGTAGAAACAGGGAGAAAACCAGGGTGACTGGAGAGCAGAGAGCAGGGAAAGCAAGGAAGAAAGCATTGGGAGGTGAAGTCCGGGCCTTATGGACCGGATGCTGCGGAAAGCAGCTTTGATTTTGTTCCAAAAGACAGGGGGAGCCCATGGAGGGCTTTAACCTGAGGACTGACTTGATCTGTTTTATGTTTTACCTGCATCACTTTGTCTGTTTTGTGGAGCATGGATTTCCTGGGGGCCAGAGGGGAAGTGCGGGCCAAGTGAGAAGGCATTTGCTGTGGTCCAGAGAGAAATGGAGGTGGCTTGGTTAGGGGTGGTAGCATTGGACAGTAGGAGTGGATGGATTCTGGGTTTCCTGGAGGTCGAATTTACAGGACTTGGGACACACTGGATATGGAAGGAGGAATCACAGATGCCTAGTGAGTTTTTGCCTTAGTAACTGAGAGATGCCCCTTACTCAGCTAGGATAGAATTGGTTGGGGTGGAGCGGTCTGGGTGCCTCTGTCTTTGGCATTTTAAACTTGAGATTCACATCTAAGCAGAGATGTCAGGTGGGCCGTTGAAAATACAAGTCTGGAACTCAGGAGACAAGTTGAGGAGGAAATCTGTTTGAAATCATAAAGCAGAATGTAGAAGGTTTTTAAGCCATGGAGCTGGATGACATCTCTAAAGGATAAAGAGACAGAAGCGAAGGGGAAGAAGTCTGTGCTCTCCCGTTTTCCACCTTTCAGATGCCCGGCAAGGATGAAGAGCCATCAGAGTAGATGCAAAGCAGCAGGCAGTGAGGCTGGAAGCAACCCATGAGAAAGTGGTGTCCTGGGAGCCAAGAGACTTTTTCCATAAACATCCCGTTATCTTTCTGAGCACAGAGCAGGTGGTCAGTAAATACTCTCAGAAAGCACAAGCTCTGCAGCTGCTTGTTCATGCCTTTTCATCCCCCGGCACTGCCGTGGAGTGCCGGTGCTGCCTGGGTGGCTGGCTGCTGGCCTGGGAACCTAACAGCTCCCTACTATCTCTTGCATCTCATGAGAGGCAGAGGCCTCCGCCCACTCCAGGGGCCCCACCCCACCCCATCCTCCCGGTTTCACACTCTTGGCCCCCAGCTCATGCCCTTCCCTCTCAGCAGGGCTTGCCCTACTCTGTGCCACCCACGTGGAGTGAGGCAAGCTCATTCCTACTTCTTTCCCCAGTTCTGCTACCTCCCATCGTAGAGGGTCTCCCTTCCCCAGCTGCCACCTTTCCAAACCTTGCCCCTAACTCAAGGCTCAGCCCCCTGAGACTCCCCACCGGCCTCCACGTGGGATCTTGACAGCCTCCCCTTCAAGACCAGCCCTGTGTACCTTCACCTGCTGGGTCACTGGAGCCCACTGGATGCCCTCATATCTAATCTATCCTGCCGGGTCACTGAAGCCCACTGGATGCCCTCATATCTAATCTATCACCATGCCGTGTAGGTTCTGCTCAGAAATACCTCTCGAGTCCACCACTGCTTCCATCTCTGCCCCCTACCCGGGCCCAAGTGACCATTTGCTTCCCATCTGAGCCACTACAACACATCTTCCTGTCCCTGTCCTGCCCAATTCTGTCCCCACCCAGCAGCCAGATGATCTCATTCACATCACTTCCTTTCTTTTTTTTTTATTATACTTTAAGTTTTAGGGTACATGTGCACAACATGCAGGTTTGTTACATATGTATACACGTGCCACGTTGGTGTGCTGCACTCATTAACTCATCATTTAGCATTAGGTATATCTCCTAATGCTATCCCTCCCCCCTCCCCCCATCCCACAACAGGCCCCAGTGTGTGATGTTCCCCACCCTGTGTCCAAGTGTTCTCATTGTTCAGTTCTCACCTGTGAGTGAGAACATGCGGTGTTTGGTTTTTTGTCCTTGCTTAATACCCTTCGGTGGCATCCAGTTTCTTAAGATAAAATCCCAAATCTTGACCATGGCTTCCAAGGCCTCTCTGACCTCATCACTCCTTCCTCACCGTGCCCCAGACACAGGTGCTCAGTTTCTGAACACGCCAGCCTTTTCCACTCCTCAACGCCTTGCACTGCTGTACCTTCAGCCTGGGGGACTCTCCCCACAGCCCGCATGTAGCTAACCCCGATTTTCCTACAGGTTTCAGCTTCAAGGCTGCTTCCTCTGGGAGGTCATCCCTGACGTCTCCCCAAATCAGAATCCGTTCCCGTCTTTCGTAGCACCCTGTTACTTTCCTTCCTGATTCTTATCGCAGTTGATGGTTAGAAATTATTTTCTTTCAAAGCTACTTCACTAGAAGCTTCCCAAGAGCAGGCACCATGTTGATTTTGATACTCGGAACCTGTAGCACAGTGCCTAGCATTTAGGAGGTGCTCAAATGTCTCTGTCATCAGTGAACAAAGCTTTCACTGACTTCTCCAGCCCATGCCAACCTTGAGGTTCTTTGCGGTCCAAGTACACTTACGGTTAGTTCTTTCCAATTTATTTGTCCTGTAGCAAAAAGAATAACAGTAACCATGACAATTTATTAAGGTTTATGACATGCCAGATTCTGTGTGCCAGATGTATATGTACGGTGTTTATGTATATATAATATATAATCTTTACAACAATCCTGTGAAATCAGTACTATTAACTCCATTTTACAGATGAGGAAAGTGAACAGTGAGTTTCAGAGAGATAAAGTAATTGCTGACTGCTGCCCCAGTAAGTGCCAGAGCCAAGATACGCACTCGGGTCTCTCTAACTCTAGATCTCCTGCTCTTTCCTCTACATTTGTCTTATGGGTCTTGCCTGTGAACTTCTGTTGTTGTTGTAAGCTTTTTGTCACTGGCCTCTTTGGTTTGTGGTTGTTTTTTTTTTTTTTTTTTTTGTATCCTCCATCACCATGCTCCCTAAATACCTACCATTTGTGAGGATGTGTCTATTAGCAGGTGAGAGCCACCCAGGACAAGAGACTCCATGTTCGCATCAGACTTGCCCCACGAGATGAGTTTCAGGGCTGGTTCTGAGAAAGGCCGAGTGGATGGCCACCCACAGGTCCTGACCTACGGGTGCCCACAGGCCCACCTTCCTCACATATTTCCCTCACTAGGCCAGGCTGGCCCTTCCCTGTTCCCTCCTCCCTGCCTAGTAAAGTTCCCACCGTCAGAGCCACCTACCTCTTAGGCAACAAAGGTGGGCCTGGCCTCCGGAAGGCCTCTCCCACATGCTTCCAGCAGCTGACAGGGTGAGCAAGCTGTCTTCTGAATCTGGGGCATGGTGGGATGGAGAGTAACAGACTCTCAAAACTGGAACAGATCATTAGGTTTCCAGAGCCACCCCCGCTTGCCCAGTGTAGGAGTCTCCTCTGCACCTTCCAGGCAGGAACCCCTTGCATAATTCTAAGAATGGAAGCTTATTACCTTCCAAGTGACTAAGTTCTTTCTTACACCAAGGTCAAATCTACCCACTCAGAAAGGCCCTATTTCCACCATCAGGTCAGGCACAATATCAGTCTAACCCTTTCTGGTGCTTGACTGCCCTTTTCATACCTGAAGTTGCCTTCCTTGCTCTATAGTTTCAAGCCCCTGCTGGCCTGGGCTCCAGTATCTGCTTCAGTCACATTTTCAGTGAGCCACGGCTCTGCCCCCTTCCTTGCCCAATGAGTGGATGTTTCACCCAAGGCAAAGAGAAGGATCTGGTTGGTGGGCAGATGGCCAGCTGCTTAGTAGAAGGAAGAAAGGGCTTCCCAGCTCTTGAGAAAAAATTCCTTCCCTGGGTGGGTTTGCCTGACCCCACCTCAAGCTACACCTCCTGCTACTCCCAGAGGATGGCCATGGGAGAAGATACTTTTAACAGAGCTGACATATATAAATATCTGGTATGGTGGCCTGGGACATGGTAGGCATGAAATAAATGTTAGCTTTCTTTCCCTGTCTCTAAATGCATTTTTTGCTTTATTTAAAGAGCAACTTTATTTATAATAATGTTCTTTTTACAAAATTGTTCTTCTGATTATAAATAATATATGTATTCAGTATAGACATTACAAAATTTGAAAAATGTAATAGAGAAAATAAACATTGCCAATAACATCATCCAGAAATAACTTCCTGAACCCTTAATATACTTCCTTCCAGTCTTTTTTATAGGCACATATATTTAGAAATAAATTTTCTTTATATATACGTATATTGATATATGTAAAATTAAGCTCGTATTGTAAAACTTGTCATTTCTACATATCAGTGAATAGTGATTAATTTTTCTCTGCTATTAAAAACCAGATTTTTGAAAATGGCTACATAACATAACATCATATCATCTAGGTTGTTTCCAATTTCTGATGCTATGACCATTTGGAGTGTGCTATGAACACCCAAAAGCCTAGAAAATGTCATTGATATGCAAATTACAATGATTCCTCTCCACTCCTTGTCAAGTTGGCAGAGAAGTCAAGATTTCCCTCCAAATAGCCCAGAGAATTCGCATGGCCATTGTCCCCGTCCATGAGACAGACCCCCATCATTTGTCTGCTGACTTGAAACTTTACAAAAGCCTCTCTGCTGATTTGCCCAGGCTAAAGAATGCATCTGCCCTGTCAGGAGCAATGAGGAGGGTCCCTCAGCAAAGGGACCTGGTGACCAAGTGTCTGTTGATAATGATGCAGCTCTGTCCCTCCACACACACACACAGAGCCAGTTCCCCTCAAAGAGACCCACGGTAGCAAAGTGAATAAGCATGAAAGAGTGGTTCTGATAAGGTAAACCCCAATACTCAGTACAGGACACTGGTCTAAACTTCCCTCTTCTTTAGGGCATATTTCCTCTCTGGAACTCCCAGTGTCCTTCCTTGTCATCTGACTTCAATGGGTCTCCTGGGGAGGTCTCTTTAGTTCATCATATACACTGCAATAACTTGAATCCTCAATGAGGAGTCCGAGTCCCAACCTCTTTCCCCAACCCCAGGAGGCTCGTCTGCTCCTATGTAAATTTATGGATGCAACTGGATTCGTAAGGGAGGATGCTGCCCAGCTCCACTCACCAGTATCCAACGCCTAGATGCCATGGATACATCGGTGGGTGCGAGTGGAATGGGGGCACTGCTATTTCCATTCATCAACAACTTTTTTTTTCCTTTTACCCATCAACCACTTCTAAGCCCTATCCCTCATTAAACCAAACAGGCAAATAACAACAACAAAAATTAAAATATTATGGGAATAATACCAAATCAAATATCTTTGAGGATTTGAGCAAGTGTTTGTGTAAAATAAATTCCTAGAAATACAGTTGCTGAGTCAAAGGCAGTGCAAGGTTTGCATATTCATAAGATTACCAAATTGCCCTCCAAAAACTTTGCTCTAATCTACATCCTATCACCAACATTTTACTGACTCTTCCTCACACCCTCACCAACACTACGTCTTATCAATTTTTTATCCTTGCCAATCTGATAAATGAAACGTGGCATCTCTTTTTTGTTTTAATTTACAGTCTTTAAATTATTAGCAATAATCTTTTATATAGACTTATTGCATAGTCCATTGATTCCCAACCTTTCTTGAACTTTAGAATCATCAGAGAAGCTTCTAAAAATTCCAGTGCCCAAGTTATACACCATACCAATTACATCAGAGTATCTGAGAGCCAGGCAACAATACTATTTTTAAAGATCTCCATATGATTCCAATGTTCAGCGAAGTTCTGGAACTGCGGACATACACATTACTACCATTAATTGCCTGTTTATATCTTTTGTCAGTTTTTATGTTGTTTGCATTTCAGTATTTATGTGAAAGAGATTTTAGTTTATTGGGAAAATTAACCCTTCATCATAAGTTTAGTAAACATTTTTACAAATTAGTCTTGTATTATTGTGTACGTGTTTTGACATAGAGAAACCTAATATCTGAAAACTGTACAGTCAGAATTATCCATTCATTTTCCTTTATTGCATCTCAATTTCATATCTTGCTTTCTCACTAATAATGATAAAACAATACCAGTACATCTGGAATTTATTTTAATACAAGGAGATATGGAACCAGCTTATTTTTCCCCAAATGACAAAATGATTATTTTTTTCAGAAAACTTATTTTTTCAACATAATTTATCAAATAACCTGTCCTTCCCCTGTTAATTTGCAATGTTGTCATTTGTACATGTAATTATCCTGTATGCACTTGGATTTGTCTCTGGATGCTCTAGGCCTTAAATACTGTAGTGTGTGTGTAGGTGTGTGTGTGTGCGTGTGTGTGTGTGTTTTAAAGTTTTGTAGAATGATGGAGGGGGTCTCACTATGTTACCCAAACTGGTCTTGAACTCCTGGCCTCAAGCAATCCTCCACCTCGGCCTCCCAAAGTGCTGGGATTACAGACAGAAGCCACCACAACTGGCCAAATACTGTGGCTTTAAAGTACATTTATTGATAGAATTAGTTTTCTCTCCTTAATTTTATCTGTTTTACAAATTCACTGAACATTTTTTCATTTTCATTTTTCTGCATACATTTTACAACTTTTGGTTAAGTTCCCCCAAAACTTCTGGTTGGAAATTTAATTGGTTATTGTACTAAATAAATAGATCAATTTAGGAAGAATTGATCATTTTATTTTCCCATTTAAGAACAAGGTATGTATGTTAATTTTTCAAGCTGTTTTATGTCTCTTAGGAGAGTTTTATAGCTTTCTACATAGTGTCTGTGAATTTCTTATTTATTTCTCCTTAGGTTTATATATTTTATTTTTCATTGCTATTTTGCATGTGATCTTGTTTTCTTCTGTGGCTATGATTTTTATAGAAAAATTAATATTTTTTACTTATTTATCTTTATAATCCAGTCTTCTTATATCCTAAATCCAAGTATATGTGTATATACATACATATGCAAATTCAAGTATTCATATATATATATACGTACACATACATATGTATGTATATATGTATACTTGGTTCTATTTGGAGATATTCATTCTATTCTGTTGATCAGTCTGCTAATCAGTATACCAGTATCACACCATTAACAAAAGTATTTTTCCATATTGGTACATTCTCTCTATAGTTCTCTTTCCAAGACTGCATAGAATTCAGTCATAGAAATATGCAATTATTTACTAATATTTCTACCAATATTGAGCATATTATGTGATTTTCAATTCTTCACCATCAAAAATTTTAAATGAAATTTTTGAGCAGATAGCATTTGTATTCCTCGGTGTGAGTTTCCAAGAGTGTAATTACTTGGGCATAAATAGTCTTGTAGCTTTGGATAACTACTGCTGTATATTCATAAGTGTTGATGGTGCTTAGATTTGACTAGGGTAAGAGGCTTGAAGGCAGTGGGTGGGGGAAGTGGGTGGAGTCAATGAAAAGTCAGTCCCAAGAACATGGATTAGTGAAAGTAAAAGATCTTGAAAAGATGCCCACGATCCCTAATAATAAGGAAAATGCCTATGAAAACCACAATGAGATACCATTTTATATCCACTGGATTAGCAAAACTCAAAAAGTCAGATGATACCCCATCGTATAGCCCAATGGGAATTCTCATACATAGTATTGGAAGTGTGAATCAGTAACAATTACTTTGGAGAACACTTTGGTAATATCTAGTAAAATTGGTGATAATATCCCTCATAACCCAGCAATTTATACTCCTAGGAATATAGACACTAAAGAAACATGACATGTACAAGAAAGTGCACAGTAGCATTGTACTCCCTGCCCGCACACTGCTTTCAAGCCTCTTATTCTCCCTTACCATAGTCAATTCTAAGAAAGCTCACGGTACGTACTGGTCTGTGGCCTGCTAGGAACTGGGCCACACAGCAGGAGGTGAGCAGCAGGCTGGTGAACATTAGCGCCTGAGCTCTGCCTCCTGTCAGATCAGCAATGCCGTTAGATCCTCATAGGAGTGCAAACACTATTCTGAACTGCCTATGCAAGGGATCTAGGTTGCACGCTCCTTGTGAGAATCTAATGCCTGATGATCTGTCACTGTCTCCCATCACCCCCAAATGGGACCATTTAGTTGCAGGAAAACAAGTTCAGGGCTCCCACTGATTCTACATTATGGTGAGTTGTATAATTATTTTATTATATATTACAGTGTAATAATAATAGAAATAAAGTGCACAATAAATGTAAAGCACTTGAATCATCCCTGCCCCCACCATCCATGGAAAAATTGTCTTCTACAAAACCAGTCCCTGGTGCCAAAACGTTGGGGACCACTGATCTAAGATATACCAATACCTTAGATATTACACATCAGAATATTACACATTATAAGTTTTTAAAAAGTATCTCTTATTTCACAGATTTTAAAATGGGAAAAAATGTGTACCTTGGAACTGATGAAATACAGTAACAGCAAAACTTAATGTTATGGGATCTTTGGGGTGTCACTTTTCTGGCCAGAAACCTGTGGCTATTGGCACCTTTGCCCAAGTTTTGCTTGGGTCCGCTGGGTTCGTTCTGCCCACTCAGCCTGGCAGGCTGCACTCAGCTCACACTACCAGCCTGGATCCCTGCCAAGGGAGACTGCATAGAGCAGCAATGGGTGTGTGAGCAAACGTGGGGTCTGGCTACATGCCAGCTGCCGCAGTGAGGTGGGCAGCTCCAGGTGCACCGCAAGCAGCTTCCACAGCTGGCTCCAGGGAATGTGGTGGTGCCCAGAAGCTTGGAGATGCCGGGAACCACAGGGCCCCGAAGAGGGAGTCACAGATGTGGCTCCATGAGCTCCCAGGTTTGGGTTCCCTGAAGGGCCGCAGCTCTTCTCTCCTTCTCTTCACCCACAACGAAGTGAGCAAGGGGCATGTTTCAGCCCTGTTTGTGTTATAGATCTTTTAGACCCGCCATTAGACAGGTACCAAGTTCTTGTCCTGTGACCAGGAAGAACAAGGTACACAGACAAGTGGGAGGTGAGCAAGAAGATGAGGAGATTTATCCAGCAATAGAACAGCTCAGAGGAGACCCGCAGTAGGTAGCTCTTTTCCCAGCCAGGGCGTCCCTACTAGTGTTCAACTCCTAGCAGAGAGGAGGCCCTGGAGTGGGAAGCTCCTCTCAGCAGCTGGTCATCCTGACGACCGCTCTGCTCTGGCTGAGCCCAGGGCTTCGAGGGGAGGAAGTGCGCGCACATTGGTCCGTGGGCAGCCATGGGTGAGCCTGGAAAAGGTACCACAAGTTCCCATTCTGATCTACAGGACTGGCAGCCTGGCCTGAAGGTGGGGCCTCACCAGGGACCCACCCCCTTCTACCCAGGAGCTTGTCTGCCTTCTGCTGCCACCTATGGTGCCCAGGCTGCTGGTGCCAAGGGGCACCTACAGGCCAGCACGGAGCTGCCCTCAGTCCCCCACCTTGGCCTCACCCCCCACCCCATGCTCGTTGGCACCCAAAGTCTGGAGGGGGCTGAAGCGGCAGGGGGCTGGCATACCAGCACTGCCCCAAATATGTGCACCCTCGGCCAGGCTGCAACAGCACCTGGACTCGGCCCCACGGTGCTCTGAGATCGGAGTGGGCGCCGGCAGCGGGGAGAAGCCAGGCAACGGGAGCAGGCACTTCCAAGCCTGCAAGGCCGGGGGGTCGGGGGGACTCCCAGGGCCCCCAAGAGCACACAGAGGCCCAGGCCCACAGCCCCAACCTGGGCTGTTGCCTGCTCCCCGGCTCCCGGCTCCCGCCAGCTCCGCGGAGCATGCAGCTCCATCCGCCCCTCCTTCGCAGCCTGGGGCAGGGGCTCCAGGTCCTGGCTGGGCCCCGGCCAGTGTCCAGGGCAGGGGCGACACGGCTATGAGCTCCCTTCTGTTGCCCTGGCAACCAGGGGCGGTCCAGGGTGGTGTGGATGGCAGGCCCTGGCCCAGCCTTTGGGAGTGTCAGGCTAGGCGGTCACCCAGATGCAGGGTGGACCTGGGGACGCGGCCCTGAGCAGCGCCGAGCAGAGCCTCCACCCGAGGCACAGGAACCCGGCATCCTCGGCGATGGCAGCAATGGCTGCCCCGCTGGCTGGTCCCCAAAGCGGCACCGCTCCCACTTTCAGACCCGGGCCCCAGAAGCGCATCCCCAGTTCCCCCTCCTGGGGCTCCTGCTCCCAGTGCAAGAGCAGCACCGCTCTGGGCCCAGTTCCACTTCAGGGCCCTGCTCTCCCCAGTCGCGCTGCTCCCCAGCTGCGCTGCTCCTCTGCCAGCGGGCGACCTGGCCCAGCCCCATCGCCGCGGCCCCCAGGGCGGTGGGCTGCAGAGGAGGCTGTCGGCCTCCTCCCCGCACCCTCCCTGCTGCGGCCGGTGATGGCAGCGGCCGCTCCAGATGGTCCGCCGCTGCCATCATTAGGAACAGCTTAAATGTCTAACCCACAAAATCATAAGTTGTGGAATAGGTCACAACTGTGAAAATGAATGAACCATATCTATTGTTAACCAATATAGGTGAATCTTACAAGCCTAATGTAAAGTAGAGAAAAAAAACATGTTTATAGCAGAATGGATATTTGTATGTTACCTAGCTTATATAAAGTTTAAAAACGTGAAATAATTCCAAGTATAGCTCAGGAACACACACATAGGTAGAGAAAGAGTAAAGAAATGCCTGGGAGTGATAGACATGAATTCAGGTTGCTTTAAAAAAGTATAAAGCAATATATACGATATACAAAATGTATAGAGAATAATAAAATGGATACCTATGACTCCACTGCCCAGCCTTAAAAAATCACACTGGTGACAGAGTCAAAGGCCCCAGGGTGCTCCTTACCCAATCACTTCCCCTCTCTCTCTTCCTAGGGATAGTGTTTAACCTTTGGTTAAAAAATTAACCTGAAGCCCAAGTGCCGAGCCCATCTGCAAATTCTTATCCTGATTTGCATATGACATGATTTCCATTTCCTGTGGCTGTTTTGCAACATCCCCTGGGCCTGCCCCATCCTGCCTGCCTTTCCCTTCCTTCAACTGAGCCTTACTCGCTGGGAAAGCATGGTTGCCTCTCCCATTCCCAGCAGGAGAACGAGGGTGAGTCCCCACTCTCTAGCCCCTAGGCATGGACAATAACCAACGCTTTTCATCTGTCCCAGTTTACAGGTGTTGAAATGTAATGTTTCAGGTGCTGGTTGCTCCTCCCAGGATGGGGAGAGGCTTTCCCTATGCAGGGGATGTCACCAAGGCAGTAAGGTATGTGAGTGGTGGGTAGACATATGACAGTGTTGACTTCCAGTCAAGGACAAATGAGAGATCAGAGCAAATCCTGGAAATGAGGCGAGAAGAACAGGAAGATGAGAGAAGGAACTTGGAAGATCTCTTCCCCCACGATTCGGAGAAGAGGGCTCCTGAAGGCAAATGTTCAGACATGTGCCTCCCACCGTAGATGTGCCCTGGAGGAGCATATGCCCTAATTTAAAGGCATAAGGGACTCAGTTCAGGGGACAGTGAAAGGCATCACCCCTGTGATCCCCTGCACAGAGCCCAGAGTACAGCCCTCCTGCAGATGTGGCAGCCAGGCACATCAGGAGTCTGTGTGGAGTTCTGTTCAGGCGCAAGTGGCAGAGTAACTAAAGCTGATTTCAAATACGCTTAAGCAAATAAAAAGCCTTTATTGTCTCATGTAACTGGGAAGTCCAAGGGGCATATAGGCTTCAGGCATAGCTGGATCTAGCAGTCCAGATCATGTCCTCAGGATTTTGTCTTTTTTTCTCCTTCTCTCAACTTTTTAAGGCTGAGTCCTTCCACATGGTGACAAAGATGGCCACCAATAACTCAAAGCTGACCTCTTCTTCTCTCTCTTTCTCAATATTCATATAATCCTTAAAAAGAGGACGTAGAAGAGGAGGGGGCAGAGGAGGAGATTTAATTGTTCCTGAACCAATCACTGAGTCTAAGAGGATGAGAATGAGACTGGCCAGACTGGTTGGGGCCCACCTTTGAGAAAGGAGGATGATTCCCTGATGACAGCTCCATAAGATCCTAAAGGAAAACGGTGCTTTCTTATCAGAGGAAGGGGAAAGGGACTCTAGGTTCATGTGTCCACTATACCAGCATCCCACATACAGACACAGTCAACCGTTAACCTCAGGACTGGCTTATGTACTCAGAATCAGCACATACAGATTTTCTTCATATTCTCCAAAATAAAATCAGAAAGTAATCAAATTATTTTGCCTCAAATAATTACAAAGCCTAGGAGTACTCCGGGTCTGGCATACCAGGTATGTCTCTACTTCCAAAAATACTTTCAAGGGAAATTAGAAATAAGTGATCTGATCATCCCAGTTTGCCTGGAACTTTCCAGTTTTAGCACTAAAAGTCTTGAGTCCCAGGAAACCCTTTAGTCTTGGACAAACCAGGATGTTTGGTTACTTTCAAATGAGTCTTTGGTTACTGTTTGCAGCAGACAGTTGCTGAGGGCTACGAGGCAGATACTACAGGGGGTCAGGTCTGTGCTCTTGGAGCCCAGAGTCCTTCCCTCTGAATTTCTACATCACCGGAAAAAGGACTTGAACTCCTCTCTCCCACTCCACCCAATCCCTACACATCCATGTGCACAGAGGGAAATAGCAGTTGAGAGAGGTGAAGTGTCATTTGCACCTTGGCAAGGGGTCTCTGCCATGCTGCCAGCTCCCCTACACAGGACAGGAGGCTTGAGCCCATCCCCACCAGGGCCCACTCCACCCAGGGCCAGGGGCTGCTTTCACAGGCTGCGGGGCGGCAGCAGGGAGAGGGTGCCAGGTGGTGGCTCTTGTCCCTCTCCTGCTCCTCACAGACCAGAGGACCCTCTTCTGCCTTTGGTGCTTGATCATCCATGTGTTCAGCCTCACCCAGGTGCTGCCCAGATGACAGAAACCAGGACTGCAGAGTCACCCCAAAGGACCTGCCCCTCCCACCCCACCCACCCAGGATGTCCTTTGCCCCAATGCCTCCTCCAGGTGCCTGGCATCTCACCATGCTGGCCCTGGAGCCCACTAGTCACCAACCAGACAGAGTGCAGAGGCTGGGCAGGGCCCCTCCCAGAAGCCCTCCCAGTGTCATAAGGGCCAGCTCAGCCACTCCTCTGTTTCCTCAGTGAAAATTCTTTAACTCAAACCTTAAAACCAACAGTGTGGCACTGAAAAAATCCCCAGGGTATTTTGCCTTTACTGGCTACAAGACTTGCATTCATTCTTGTCTGGCAGGGCAAGCAGGGCCAAGGCTCATCGGGACAGCCAGAAACCAGGCTCCAGGACCACAGGCCCAGCACCACAGGGCTGCTGACTTTAATCCATCTCGGTGCAACTGGACTTTATTCTCCAGCAAGAGCTCAGGAGCCTTCTTCCTCCTAAAGGTCAAGGCAAGAACACATAAGCGTCCGCTCCCAAGTACTCTCACACAACACACACACTCACACAATATATTCACACAGCACACTCATACAACACACACTCGCACACTTACACAACATACCACTCATACATGCTCACAGCATACTCACATACATACCTGTTCTCACACTCACACACTTCTCACACACTCACACACACATGCAGTGGGGAGGGGTGGGGGAGTCCCCTGCCCTGGATCCTGCCAAGAACAGGCCACAAATTCTGTTTTCACGTAACCCAAATCTCGGTCCCCTCACTAAATATCAGCCTATTTTTAGTTACTTAAAGCTCTTTCCTGGCTGTGTTCCTCCTTTCTGACATCAAACACAATTTTTAGTCTGTGTCTTACCCCACAAATCTCTCACCTTATTCTCTTCTCTGTGCCCAAGCATGGCATAGCCTCACCAGGCAGCAAGGAACAAGCCAGGCCCCAGAAATCAGCAGTGAGAAAGGCCTCTAAGGCCACTTGGTTGGATGGTCCACACCACGGCTGCCTCTCAGACTCACCTGAGATGGTGAAAATATACAGAAGTCTCCCCACCCGGTGTTCTGTCCACCCCCACACTGCCTTCCTAAATGCAAATGGACATTGACCTAAAGTCAGTAGGGAGCCAAGGCCTTCCTCAGCTGTGCTGTCCTTGTCAAACCCAGGACGTGATCTGAAGGCATCTCCTGCTCATGCCCCTCCCAGGCCTGACACTGCCCCTTCTGCCTCCCCTTCCCTGTGGGGTGGTGGGCAGGGACCCTTGACTCCGGGGTTTGAACTGAATGGTGCCCATGGGGAATTATTTTTCTCTGTTAGAACTTGGCTGGAACTCAATTCAGTCAAAACATAGAGCACCAGTGAATGGAGTAGTATATTAGTCCATTTTGCATTGTATAAAGGAATATCTGAGACTAGGTAATTTACAAAGAAAAGAGGTTCTGCAGGCGATACAAGCATGACACCAGCATCTGCTTGGCTTCTGGTGAGCCCTCAGGAAGCTTTTACTCGTGGCAGAAGGCTGACAGGGAGCAAGCATGTTGGGTGGCAAGAGGGGAAGCAAGGAGGTGTTGGGAGGTCAACTCTTTTTTAACAACTAGATCTTGCATGAACTCAGAGCGAGAACTCACTCATTACCACCAGAAGGACCAAGCCATTCATGAGAAATCCATCCCCATGACCCAAATACTTCCCACTAGGCTCCACTTCCAACATTGGGGATCACATTTCAACATGAGATTTGGAGGAGACAAACATCCAAATGATATCAGGTAGACTAGAACCATCTGACACAGTTCTTAAGACAGTGGAACTAGGAGAAACCCAGCCTTGCTCAATTACTGCAGGGCTGAACTTGCTAGAAGACCTCCCCTTCCCTCTCCCTGTGAAGTCTGGGAGTCTCCGAGAGGTGCCCTGGCTCAGGAGCTGATGTCAAGAAGCTTGGCAGAGTCTAGTTGTGGGTGCTTGGTCAGCTGGCCTTGGACCAAGAAAACGTGAGGGCTGCCTGTTACAATACCCCCTCTGTGGGAGAACCCAGGAGCTTGGCAGGAGAGGACTGTGGGATGGAGGAGGGAAAAGGGAAGCCTATGGGAGAAAGAGGAGGATGAAGGGAGAGGAAGAGAGGAAAATGAGAGGAGGAAAAATGGGAAAGTGCCAAAGAGAGGAGGCTCTGTGCAGGAGGCTGGGATTTTTAGACGAGCCCAGACATGCCATCACTCTGTAAAAACATCAATCAGACCCAGCCATTTCACGTCTGGGGATTTAGCCAAGAGAAATGAAAATGTATATTTATGCAGAAACCTGTGTGCAAATGTTTACAGCAGCTTTATTTATGATTGCTAAGCATGAAGGGAAGGAACTTTGTGACTGTGTGCGGTGGCTCATACCTGTAATCCCAGCACTTTGGGAAGAAGAGGCGGGTGGATTTCTTGAGCCCAGAAGTTCAAGACCAGCGTGGGCAACATAGTGAGACCCCGACTCTACCAAATTTTTTTTTAATTAGCTGGGCATGGTGGCAAATGCCTGTGGTCCCAGCTACTCAGGAGGCTGAAGTGAGAGGATCACTGGAGCCAGGGAGGTCAAGGCTGCAGTGAGCCCTGATTGTGCCACTGTACTCCAGCCTGGGTAACAGAACAACACTCTGTCTCAAAAAGAAGAAAGAAAAGAAAAAATTTTGCCCTTCAACTGATGAATGGATAAACAAATTGTAATAATTTTACAATGGAATGCTACACAGCAATGAAAAAGTAAACTCTTGTTACACACAAAAACCTGGACCAATCTCAAAAGCCTTATGCTAAATGAAAGGGGCCACACACAAAAGAGCAAACACTGCATGATTCCATTTATGTGAAATTCCAGAAAAGACACACCTAGTCTACAGCAACAGGAGGCAAATGAGTGGTTACTTGGGCTGAGGGGGAAGCAGAAGGCTGTGAGACCACCTCAACACAGATGGAGCAGGACTCTGTTCTAGCTTAATGGGGGATGGCCAGAGGCAAAGTGAAGAAATGAATGAAGGCTGCCACCTGGCCTCCCACCATCTCCCTCTCACACAGGCCCTGCTCCAAATTTCTCCTCCTCCTCCACAAACGTGCAGATTTCTCTTTCCTGAGCTCCATCCCCTCGGGGCCCAGAGTGATAGTTGGAGAGCCTGATGCAAAGTGTGCCCTGCTCTGGGAGCCTATCGTGTATTTGGAGAAAACTAAACCTGGTGGCTGTTCCTCGCAGATAAAGAGGGATAGGCATTGATCTGGGGCGTTTTGCAGGCTACCACTTGCTCCAGGAGCCCCATGATGGCTGATGAAGGCCTTCCAGCTCACCCTAACCACACACAGTGCTGAGAGTCACTTGTTCTACTGTAGGAGCAGGGTTTCCTCTCTTTCTTCAACTCTCTCTGCTCAAAAACCTGCCATGAGTTCCACTGCTGACTGAAGAAAGATTGTGATTCTTTCACTCCATATCCATGAACCTCCTTAATTCCCTTCTCCAACCTTCATTCCTTTACTCATGCCACCTCACCTGAGAAAAATGTCCTCTCCCCTCCTCTTCATTTGTCAGGCCCATATCCTTCCTTCTTCAAGGGCAAGTTCAAATTCTTCCTCCTCCAGGCCCTCTTCTGATCTCCCCAGCCCTGAGTGGCCAAGCTCTCTGAGCAGCTTATTTTTACCTCTCTTCTCATATATGACGTGATTGTCCTGAAACTATCTGTGTAACCTTCCTGCCTCATCCAACTTAAATTGGGAGGTCCTTGGGGCAGCGATGATGTCTTTGTATCCCTGATGTTACTGTACTGTGGATCACTTATAGTGAATCAGCCACGTGCCCGTCATGTGCTAAGTCCTTTACCTCATTTATTCTGGACAACCATCCCATGAGGTAGAAACTGTTATGCTTCCCACTTTACAGATGGAGAAGCTCAGGCTTAGAGGGATAAACTTACCCAAGTCCATGTAGTTTATATGTAACAGAATGAAGGTACAAACCCAGGTCTATTAAAGTCTAGACCGCTATACCATACTCAGTCTTGAGACAATGACGATGTCATCCTTACCAAAGTGATGGGTGATAAGGAGTAAACTCAGTGTGCAGAAGGCTTTTGGCACCTCACTGTATGAGCAAGAGAGTACAGAGCAGGGAAATAAAGCCTGGCATCTAGCTGAAACCAGAGGCCACAAGTTTTAATGGCAGGAAGAGAAATATTGAGCTGTGGATACAAGTGCTTTGAGAATGAAAAGGGCCAGGCACAGTAGCTCATGCTTGTAATCCCAGTACTTTGGGACGCTGAGGTGGGCAGATTGCTTGAGCCCAGGTGTTTGAGACTGGCCTGGGCAACATGGCAAAACCCTGTCTCTACAAAAAAAATACAAAAATTAGCTAGGCGTGGTGATGTGTGCCTGTAATCCCAGTTACTCGGGAGGCTAACATGGGAGAATCACGCTTGAGCTTGGGAAGCAGAGGTTGCAATGAGCTGAGATCGCGCCACTGCACTCCAGTCTGGGCAACAGAGCGAGACTGTCTCAAAAAGAAAAGAAAAGAAAAGAAAAGCACTAAGCTGGCCCTTAATATTTTGTAAAGATAAGGCAGGGCAGAAAATATTCATGAGCCAGATACATTGATGACACTAAGAATACAAACATTACCTACATTGGAGTGAAGGTCCTTTCTTGTAATGTTTATACTTTGTTATCTTGTCATCATGAAATAGAGTCACATCTAGTTTGCTGGCCAGAAGTTCTGGGACATCTCAACATATTAACTTCCATGGTTGATTTTTTAATCTCATCTTACCCAGAGAAGCTGTAAGGCTTGTTTTACTTTATGTCATGAAAATTATATTCTTCATTGTACATTTGTTTTAGGAAATTGGATTTTATTTATCAAGAAACATAGGCACATAGAAGAAGCCTTTTAAAAAGAGAGTACAGGCTGGGCACGGTGGCTCATGCCTATAATCCCAGCACTTTGGGAGGCCGAGGTGGGCAGATCACCTGAGGTCAGGAGTTTGACACCAGCCTGGCCCACATGGTGAAACTCCTTCTCTACAAAAAATACAAAAATTAGCCCAGTGTGGTGGCTCACTCCTGTAATCCCAGCTACTCAGAAGGCTGAGGCAGGAAAATTGCTTGAAGCCAGGAGGTGGAGGTTGCAGTGAGCCGAGATTACACCACTGCACTCCAGCCTGGGCAACAGAGTGAGACTCCGTCTCAAAAAATAATAAATAAATAAATAAATAAATAAATAAATAAGTAAATAAATAAATAAAATAAAAACGCAGTACAGAATCTCAGTTTTCCAGGTCAGCAGCTTTCTACCTGGGATCATAGTGGTTAAATCCAAACTAGCTAGTGTCACAGCTCTGTCACTTACCATCGTGACCTTGAGCAAGGTTCTTATCCTCTCTGTGTTTCAATTCTGCTTCTTTAAAATGAGATAATAATAGTATCTGCTTGGCAGGCAATATAAAATACTTAGACCAGTCCCTGCTACTTTGTAAACATTCAATAAATGAGAGCCACTTTGCTCCTGTTGACATCTGTGTAACGTGTGTGAATGTGTCGTAACTAATTTAGCCATTCCTTTACTGATGGGCATTAGGTATTTCCAGCTGATGAACAAGACAGGCAATGTCCATGTCCTGAAAAGGGTTACAGTCTGGTGGAAAAAGGCAAAAAGAATAAGAAAACAAGATTAGTGAGCATATGATGAATTATGTTAATAGAGCAACACAGAAGCAAGTAGGTAGATGAGAGGTGGAGGGTGGCCCAGGAGGGCTGCCACAGAAAATGGCATTTGAGCAGGGCTGTGATGGATGAGATAGAGCAGCTATAAACAGAGTGCGGTCAAGGACTTCAGGCCAAATTCCCAACATGGGAAGGAGCCTGGGCATGAAGGACCAGTGTAGCTGGAGCTTGGGTGTGAAGGGAAAAGTAGGACAAACGTGAGCAGCCCGACCACACAGACCTTCAGAGAAGGTCTGAAGTCAGCCGCCAGAAGTGAGGGGCAGGCTTGAATCCGGCCAGTCACGTAATCTCGCTTATGTTTTCAGGAGATCACTTTTGCTCTTCTGTAGAGAGTGGCTTATAGGAAGGCAAAAGTAGAAGCAGGGAGATCCGTTAGGCAATATAGGAGTTAAGTGGAGATAATGGCTTAGACAAGAGCAGTGGCAGCAACATCTGGGAAAAAGCTGGAGGGAAAAAAATATCTCACCTGAGGTGCAGAGGACTCCAAGACATGGCCCAATATCCTCACTGGTCCCTGGGGGGCCCCTTCCAGCTTTCTTGATTGATTGCTGTTTCCCTATACCCACAAAACTTTCCCCATCCCCTCCCAGCAGAAAGGCAATCATTTTACTGTGTTCAATGCATATTTTATTTGAATATATTCCCTAGCCATATTGAAGTTGTTGTAGATGTCCTTGATAGATTTACCAGTGTTTCCTGCCTCTTCCTGTCAACACTGATTGTCCCAGACCCATCATGTTGTTCTGCGTGCGTCTCGTGTGTTGCTTTGAATGACTGCAGCAGGTTGCACATCCTTCACTCCCCATTCATGCTTCCAGCCATGCTCTCACATGGGCTGGTTCCACATTTCTCATACTGTAAGTGATGTGGAGTGAATGCCCTCATACACATCTTTCTTTCTTTCTTTTTTTTTTTTTGAGATAGAGTCTTGCTCTGTCGCCCAGGTTGGAGGGCAGTGGTGTGATCTCAGCTCACTGCAATCTCTGTCTCCTGGGTTCAAGCGGTTCTTTTACCTCAGCCTCCTGAGTAGCTGGGATTCTAGGCACCCACCACCACGCCCAGCTAATTTTTGTATTTTTAGTAGAGATGGAGTTTCACCATGTTGGCCAGGCTGGTCTCGAACTCCTGACCTCAAATGATCCTCCCACCTCGGCCTCTCACAGTACTGGAATTACAGGCATGAGCTACCACACCCGACCCTCATACATATCTTTCTATATCCAAATCAGAATTGCTGTCTGATATTCTTACTTTGACTAAGTGACGACAGAGTGTCCTCACTGACCTGATAGCCTCCTCTTCCACAGCAGAGCACGATGGTGACTCTATTCCCATATTCCCACCAACACTTGCCATTATCCAACTTTCTCAATTTTTTCCAATTTAGTAGCTGTAGTAAAATCTCATTTTCATTTTTATTTGCATTTCTGATGAATTTGCATTTCCTGGCTTTTCCCTGTGTTAATTTTTTACAGCCTGCCTTTTTATATGGTATGAAATGGGAATGCTGTTTTCTTTTACTCTATATAGTAAGTCACTTTTGCCATGTCACCCATTAAACAGTTTATTCTTTTCCCATTGACTTGTGGTGCCAATTTTATCATATATTAAGTTCCCTTGAAAAGCAGGGGTCTGTCTCTGTTCCCTCCATTTTGTTCCCATAATATACTGTTTGTATTAGTATGGCTTTGTAATTTATCTTAGTACCTGGTAGGGCAAGACTCTCCTCTATATCTTTTTTTTTAAAGTGATTTTGTTATGCATGAATATTTATTAAGAGGGGAAACGTGAGATCTATTGTAGAGGTGGAACTCTGCTTATGGCATCTTTTGCTTTACCGAAGTTTAAAATTTCTGTGTATTCAAAACTGACAATATTTCCCTATTTGCTTCTAGGTTTTATACCTTGTTTAGGAAGATCCTCCTCCACCTAACATTATATAAATGTACTCTCACATTTCATTTTAAATTATATATAGTTTTATTTTAATGGTTAGATATTTAAGCTATCTGGAATTTATTTTGTGAAGTTAATTTCATTTTATTCCAAATGGTAAGCTAGCTTTTCCAATAATGAATGGTCCATCCTTTCTGACAGAGCAGGAGCACCGTCATCTCAGACAAACACCACCACTCTAAGTTCCAGCTCCCTTTCTAGCCTCATGCATTTCAAGGAAATCACTTCTCTTCTAACTACAAGCAGCCAGAAAGAGCAGGCAGTAAAACACAGATAAGATAGCTTGGGTACAGAGGGAGGTAGGGGGAACGTCTCTTGGAACTGCCAAACTTCGCCTGCATACAATGGGTCCCAGTAAAACATTGGGCCTTAATAAGCACATTCCTTTCCCTTCAGGTGCACTAAGATAGGGAAGCTAAAAGCAGACTCCAGTGGGGGGTGGGGGGAGGTATGCCTGCAGCTACAGGAAGATGTATGGGAACAGACACACAACTCTCCCTCCCAGATAAGCACAACAAAGAGACACAGAAGCAGTCCAAGCCTCTGATAAACTCTCCCACTCTGAATCCTTAAAAACTCTTAGTCTGTAAGAGAGTATGCCTCTGACCTAACTTGGCCAGAAGCCCCTCTCAGGTTTGTTTTCCCTTAAGTAAACCTGTCTTACTGGCGAGTCACCTTTCATGTTTCTTTCCTCTTTCTTTCTTTTCTTTTCTTTTCCTTTTTTTTTTTTTCTTTTTTGAGACAGAGTTTCACTCTGTCTCCCAGGCTGGAGTGCAGTGGTGCAATCTTGGCTCACTGCAAGCTCCGCCTCCCGGATTCATGCCATTCTCCTGCCTCAGCCTCCTGAGTAGCTGGGACTACAGGTGCCCGCGACCATGCCCGGCTAATTTTTTGTGTAGTGGAGATGGGGTTTCACTGTGTTAGCCAGGATGGTCTCGATCTCCTGACCTCGTGATCCACCCACCTCAGCCTCCCAAAGTGCTGGGATTACAGGCGTGAGCCACCGCGCCTGGCTCCTCTTTAATTCTTACAGTTTCACGACTGATTTCACATACTTCCTTTATTGTATGCTAAAATTCCGTATATACGTAGAGCTGCTCCTGGGTCCTACCTGGTTTATGGAAGGTATTGGAATCCAGAGTTTGTTGGCAAAGACTGGAAAAGCGTTAGGTGCTTTTCAGCAGAAGAACGAGAGGTTGAAGGGAGTGTTTCTAAAGCTCACAAGCTGTAGGAGGCAGAGAGGAGGCTGGAGACAGGTGCTGCTGGCAGGAGGTGGGAAGGAAGGGACAGGGCCCTGAACCACCTGGAAAGCGGACAGTGAGGAGTCATCCTTGCTGGGCCCACAGGGGAGTGGCATCCACTGGGCTTCTGGGAGGAATGTGCTTTTCAATATTGGGTTACCTGAGGCCAAGAGTCTGCTGGCAGAGGCAGTGCCTGGTCACCCCATCTGAAGTGTCAGGTAACAAGCCTGGCGACAGGCCTGGAGTCGGAGGCCTCAGCGCACACAGCAGCAAGGCTGGGCCCAAGTAGCCCAGGGGATCTGAGGATCCTGGGGCTCCCTGGTCATCAGTGCTGGGTGGAAAGGAACTGTTCCCTCCCCTTGCTGCAGAGACAAGTTCAGAATTTCCACACAGAAGGAACTCTACCAAAAGAGCACTTGACTTGGAGCAGCAGTTGTGTACCAAGATTGCTGCTTTGGCACCCGCACCCTGGCGTGGGGATGTCACTGTTTGCCTGACACTCCTTACTCACTGTCCCAGTCCACTTCCAACTCCCCGAGTCCTCTGCTCTGCTCCCCTCCCATCCCACTTAGAGCCCACACTGGCCAATTTACCATTTAATTTTACCCCCTTTCCTCCCCTTTCTAGATTTTACATTCTTGGTTGTTTTATTCCAGACCCCACCTGAGTGGTCAGCACAGAGATGGGCACCCAGCAGGCAGTCGGTAAATACTTTCCAGTAGATCAGTCCACTTAGTTCAAGGTCACACTGGCTCCCACCTGGGACAGAGGCACCACAGAGGATGTGGGGGAAGAAACTTCCACCAAGCTCCCATCAGCCCCCTATTCAATTTGATTTAATTCAACTAAAATGAGTTGAGACCCTGCTCTGAGGAGTTGATAGACAGTGAGGAAACATACGAGTTGGAGTGGGGGTTTGTGGCTGGGCTTCTTCAGTGAGAAGAGGCCAAATAGGAGGCCTTGAGGAATGCCCTGGTGTTTGGGGCTCAACCTGGCCTATCTGATTGGGAAGGGTGGGGGAGTGGGAGGGATGGGGAGACAGATGGGACCCCATGACTTTCAGGACAGTATAGTGCTGTGGGTTGAGTTGCCACAGAAACTCCTGGACTTAGCTTGTATGGCCTGTTCTGGCCTTATCTCTCCCTTAACTTTCCACCCTACTTCCCCTATCCCAGATGGTTCACATCTCACCTCCTAATTGATCCCTTGTTTCAACATCAATCATCCTTGCCTTCTTAAAGTTCAGCTCTCCTGCTCAAAAACCATCAATAGCCCCCTACTGCTTAGAGACTACGTCCAAATATAAAGTATGGCCTTTTAGGGTCATGATTATTTGGACCCTAATCTAGTATGGAATGAAGGGTGACCTCTGAACACAGGGCAGACTGGGTCCAAATGCAGGGCCAGAACCAAGTTGGTGGTATCTGTGGGACCTCTTCATGTGCCTGGCCCTCCAGAGAGCAGAGGGGCCTTACCTGGGTGTTTTCCAGATTTGTTCTTTCACAAAGCCTCCTTCTTTCTGCCCAATTTCTACCACCCCTGTGTTCCACTCTCTACCCCCAGTATCTCTTCCCACACAACTCACTGCACAGACACCAGACCACCTGCATACATAAGCGTGCCCTGCTTTCTGGCCTCCCTGCCTGTGTTCATGCTGTTTCTTCCTCCTAGGATGCCTCTCTCTTCCTCCTAGTGGTGCCTAGGCTCACTAGCTGTTGAAATCCCATTCCTCGTCTAAAGCCCAATTCAGATGCCACCTCCTCTGTAAGGCCTTTTCAGATCCATTCTTTCCCTCTCCAGCTGGAATCCATTTTCCATCTTCTGTGTTCCCTAGCCAGTTCTTAGTTGTGTGGCAGAGCTCTGTAAACCAGGGGCCCCCAACCCCCTGGCCACAGACCAGTACCAGTCCGTGGCCTGTTTGGAACCAGGCCACACAGCAGGTGGTGAACAGTGGGCGAGTGAGTGAAGCTTCATCTGTATTTAGAGCCACTCCCCATCACTTGTATTACCACCTGAAACCCACCTCCTGTCAGATCAGCAGTGGCATTAGATTCTCATAGGAGCACAAACCCTATTGTTAACTGTATACTCGAGGGATCTAGGTTGCACATTCCTTATGAAAATCTAATGCCTGATGATCTGTCACTCTCTCCCATAACCCCCAGATGGAACCATCTAGTTGCAGGAAAACAAGCTCAGGGTTCCCACTGATTCTACATTATGGTGAATTGTATAATTATTTCATTATATATGACAATATGATAATAATAGAAATAAAGTGCACAATAAATGTAAGGCACTTGTATCATCCCAAAACCATCTCCCGCCCACCCGCGGAAAAATTAACCTCGGTGAAACCAGTCCCTGGCACTAAAAAAGGATGGGGACTACTGCTGTAAACCATGGATCTTCACAAATGTGAAGGAAGGATTGTTATCGATCCTTCTAAGATGCCCCCTCTCACCACAGGGAAACTTGGATCCCTGAGCCTCTGAGGGGTTGGATGCATCTGGCTCTCCAGCCAGACTGTCAGCAACTTCAAGCTTAGGATTTCCTCTCTCAGTAGGATGTATACAGCAGATGCTTACTAGGTACATGAACTAAATTGAATTTGTGGAGTTTACTGAGGGATGTGGTGCTGAGTCCCCATCCTTGGCAGAGGAGGGGAGGGCAGGGCAAGGAAGGAAGCCAGGAGAGCAGCAGGCTAAGGCCCCTCCACTTTCTGGAAGGCCAGGCACGTGAAGAGTTCCCACAGGTACCTCCAACCAGGTTCCATCCCTGCATTCAGGCCCAGTCTGTCCCATGTTCAGATCTCATCCTCAATTTCAAAAAAGCACTTCTATCTATGGTCCAGAAAAGCCGGTTGTGGGGCCCCAGGCAATAGCTCAGGCAGGAAACTCCCAGTGTACAGAGTCAGGCAGCAGAACAGGCAAAGCTGCCCTTGTCAGGCCCCTCAGTGAGCCACCAGGCTAGAGATAGGAATCATCTGGGCGGGGCGGGTGCATCCTCCAAGCTGTCCTGAGACCAGGCAGGGGCTGGACACGCCCTCTCTCCACCTGGCCTCCCAGGAGGGAGGACAGGGGATGGTTGCCCCAGACCCTTTCTCACGAAGTATTGGGCAATTATTTTCTTTCTTCACCCTCTAGCTTTGGGAGCACTGACCCTGGTCTCTTTGGGAGTTGTGGCCAGGGACCCCATGAAGGTCCCTGGCCACAGCTCCTGGGGTACCAAGCCATGAAACTGAAGTGGAGTTGGGAGCGACGGTCGCATCCTCCTAGAGGGGCATCTATGAGCCATGACCTCTATAAGCTGAAGAGATAGAGCTTTCCCAAATTATGGCGGGCTAGTCCTACAGTCATGTGGGTCCAGTGTCCTCTTCTTGCCACCCACTGTGCCCTTGAAGGCCTGGTCATTCTGAGTGGCTGGGGGCTACAGACTGCTGACCCCAAAGACCAGAGCCCTGCGGGTCCCTGTATTTCTATGACCTGAAGACCTGTGATTTCTTTGATATGAAGAGATCTAGGCCCATGCACCCTATCTGTCTACCCACTCAAACCACTCCCAGAGCAATCCCAGCTACTGCCAAGCTGTGGCCAGGAAGGTGGAGCTCTGAGTCAGAGTATAAGTTCCTGATCTTGCCACCCAGCTGGAGAGCTGCCGTGATGCTCCTGAGGCAGATGCACGCCAGGGTCTCCCACTCCCTGCCAGACCCATGCCAAGCAGAAGACAGCAGGCCCTCGGCCACCTGTGCCTTGAAGGTGAGGGAGGGGTGCTCAGTGGCTGGGGCCAGAGGCTGAGGGCCAGGGAGGCATGGCCAGGAAGTGAGGGGCAGGGGCAGGGAGCTGAGAGCAGGAGACGGGCCTCAGGGAGGGCTGGTAGGCATTGGACATCCCAAGGACCTGGGCTCAGGCAGCCTCATCTTAAAACCTGGGGGAGGTGGTTTATCCCAGTTGGGGCCAGGGCTCCTGCTTGGGTGGCCCTGCTGAGAGTACCCTCAAGATTTTCAAGGCATCATGAAGTGGCGTGGGGCCATCCTGGGGCCAGGCTAGCACCCAAGATAGAGAGTATGCCAGGGGGATCCACATTTGGCCTGCCCTAATGGCAAGCAGGATTTAACCCTGCAAACATCCTAAGCTTCTATGCTGTGCAAGAGTATGGTGTAGTGTATGGTGAGAATTGGTGGCATTGTCAATCTGTTGCCATCAGCCACAAAGCTGCCCACCTGGGTTTACAGTCAAGGCTCATGGGTCCATCCAACTCCTCACAGCCTCACAGGGAGACCTCTGGGTTCATGGATCAGGTTGCCAGGGCTCTAGACCAACTCTGCCTCAGTTTCCCCATCTAGGCAATAGGGAGATGACCTCAATGCTTCAATCTGCTGTAGGCTCACCTTGGGAAGAATCATTAGTTGGTTCCTCGAAGGCAGCACTTCTTCCTCATTACCTTTCCCAGGGCCACCTCCCCGGCTCAAGTTAAATCATTGAATGACATGGGTGATGCCCTGAAAGTACTTTGCCCCTTGGTGGGGGAGATGAAGACCCTGTTCAGTCTCCTAGGAGCCCAAGTCAGGGAGCTCCGTGGTGGGTGGTGGCCAATGCCCCTGCTGCCCAGCCAGGTAGACACTGCCTCCTGGGGTGTGCCCTGGTTTCCCCACAGCACTTGGGTGGCTGGAAGGGCGTCTGGCCACCTATTGTTCCTGCCAATCTTTTTGAGCCTCCAAGAGCTTGGGCCAGGAGAGGTCTTCCACAGAGGTGACAGAGTTTACCTCAAAGGGGGCAGTGAAGCAGTTAAGAGCCCGGGACCCCAAATGTGGCTTCAGGAGCCTCTCCATGAGCTGCATCTGCCCCTGTCAGGCCTGGAGGGTCCATGTTGGTGCCGGGATTTCTTGCCCTGACCACTCAACTAGCCTGGTGATAAAAAGGAAAACAGCCATGGTAGCTCCTCCCAGGTGACTCTTAGTCTGGGATGTTGCTCAGAGTGGCTGGGACATGTATTAGGGTCCCATCATGTCCCCTCCCAATGGTCTCCTTAAAGGAGGGCCCACATGTTCTGGAAGACAGCACCTGGCTAGTCCAAGCTCTGACACAGGTGTTGCATGGAACTGAAGGGTACACCCAGCTCTCTAGGGAGGAGGAGGTGGCATCACCTGCCTGGCCTGACCTGAGAAGCCCTGGGGAGGGAGTTCCTGCAGGCTCCCCAGGTGCCATCTTCCCCTCTCTCCAGGCTCCCCAGACTTCATGGGATGGTTTGCTGAGGGTATGTCTGGCCCAGCGATGGGCATCGGATCCACCACCTCTGAAATGTGGTTGTCAGACCCTTCCCCAGACCCCACTCCCACCCA
Source organism: Homo sapiens (assembly GCF_000001405.40). Taxonomy (NCBI): domain Eukaryota; kingdom Metazoa; phylum Chordata; class Mammalia; order Primates; family Hominidae; genus Homo; species Homo sapiens. Next base: position 42,019,351 of record NC_000015.10, on the reverse strand, counting down.
GGAGCCTGACCCTGGGAGCCCTTTGGTAATTAAGTATTCTTTTGACTGATTTGTGGTAACGGCTAGATTCTTGGGGTATAGGGAGAGCTCCAATGAGGAGGCTGAGGCTTTTCCTCCTGTCTCTGCTACTGACTAGTCCAGCACATGGCCTGGAGCAAGCTGCTAGCTGGTGCTGTACATTCATAGTGAGAGCCAGGTGGATGGAGTGCATGCGCCCTGAAGACCTGCACCCAAGTCCTGGCTCTGCCACTCCTGGGCAGTGTAAGCCTGTTTGAGATGTAATCTCTCTAAACGCGGCCTTCCCCTCTGTAAAGCAGGGATAATGATGCCTTCCTTGGCGGTGGTTGGAAGGTTAGATAAGAGCATATGCACAGCAGCTAGAGCACAGCCCAGCTGGGCCTGCCAGAGCAGAGTCATACATTTTGTTCCCCACCCTCACCCCTGCCAAAAGTCATATCTATAAAAGTAGGAGTGGGAAGGGGCAGCATTGGATTGCATCATAGCCAATCCTGAGATTCAAGGGGCTGCCTCTTTTCCACATGAGCTGGCAAGGTCCCCCAGTCCCCAGTAGGTCCCCAGGGGGCAGTGGAGTCCTGCCAAGATCAACCCCAGAATCCAGGCTGGGGAGGGGGCTGGGACGGTGTGTCGGCAGCCTGAGCAGTGGGGCCCTCTCTCTCCCCTGGCTTCCCAGAAAACTGCTGTCCAGCCTGTCCTCCCTGGCCCAGCTGTACTGATTGGCAAAGTGGCTAAATATACCTCTGTACTGTTTGCCAAACAGTTCCTGCCTTGAGCTCCAAGTCTTCAAGTGCTCCCTGGTCCTTACCCCAGGGCCCTCCCAATGCCCTCATGAAGGATGAATGCCTGTCCCTACTCCAGGGCTGCAGCCCAGCTGGCATGGTGCCTGATCATGTCTGTTCTTAAATAGTTTGACTCTTCACCCTGATACCCAATCCCAGCCAGGGCATCCTGTTCTAGGGATGAGCTTATCTGAGTCCTTAAAGCTTTGGCCCTCACCACACCATAAGCAACCCTGTAAACTTGGGTTCCACAGCCTCCCTGGTTTCTGGTTCCCACACGCACATCAGAGACACGGTGCTTTGCTCGATTGCATCTTTCCACTGTAGATTAATTACCTCCAGGCCATGAATTTTTGCTCATCTCTAGCAACACTGATCAAACAGATTATATCAGAAGCAAAATAGGTACATTCATTGCAACCCAAGAAGGCCATTTCTCATAGACCTGGTTCCTGGAATGCATCTGGTCCCCAGAGCTAAGTCCCATATTCCTGCCACCTTCCTCCCAGCATGATCCGGCTGGGATGTCTCTCAAACCCCCTTCCCAGTCCCAATTCTGTGCTGGCAAAATGTGGTTGTCTCCTGAAAACTGGGTCTCTCCTGAAAATTCGAGAGCTGGAGGGTGTGATCTAAGGCTCAAGTGGAGCAATCTGTGGCTACTGGAAAATGGGAACTTCTCCAAAGACCCTTATGGCTCTGATGTGCTCTAGATGTTTAAAAAGAGAGGGATATCCTAGAATGTGTTGGTAGAAACAGCCAGTAAGAGTGCAGGCCATAGAAGAATTGTCAGAGTTTGGTGGTTATTTTTTGGCTTTGGGGGAGCGCTGAGTGAAAAGAAGAATCTGTCAGAAAAACTGTTTTAAAGAGAAGAAAAGCAAGGAAGAGGAGATGAAGGCAAGCAACATTTGTCTTCCTGTTTGCCAAGTAAACTGAGATTCTCAGTGGGAGAAACACAGGCTTGGGAAGTAGCATTGGATGTCTCTGATTCTAGCTGTGAGCCCTGTGTCAAAGGACTTAGCCTCTGACTCTCCATCTATAAAGACGAAGCTAATAATAACTGCTTCGTGGGGCGGTTGTAAGGATTAAGCAAGATAATATACAGAGAACCTGTACATGGCACCTGCGCATGGCTGGCACGCAGCAGATGCTAGCTGTTATTGTTGCTGAGTTAGAGCGGGAAGAAATGGTCACCTGCATTGGAAGGCACTGAGGTTAGATGATGGGAGTGAACTTGTCCTGGAAGGCAGGACACCTGGAGTGAGGTCCCAAGGGAGAGTGTGGCTGCGCCTTCCCTGCCAGAGTAGATATTGAAGGAGGCAGGCTGGGCCACAGGCACCCCCTCCTGGAGGCAGGAGAAGGATTGTGAGGCCGAGAGGACCACCGGACCTGGGTTCAGAGCCCTGAAACACTGTGGAATATCCCTCAGGACGGACTCCTGCCTGGGCTGAAGCCTCCACAGCTTGGACTCTAGTTGCCCTCTGAGAAAGTGGGCCGGTGGGTACAGGTTTTGCCAAAACTGCTTGCCTGGTGAAAGTTGACCCTGCCTCCTCACCAGGCCAGCCCAGGGTGCATGCTGCACTCGGGCAGAGTGAGAAAGGAGGAGTGCACCTTGGAGGTCTGGCCAGAGGCCACAGCTGTGTCTCCAGCATCAGAAGAGAAGCAGTGTGCATGGCTTTTGGCCCAAGTCTCCGGCTCCCAACAGAATGCTGTTAGAGCAAGTTATTGACCATGAGATGTTCAATATTTCAGGGTTGATCTCACAAAATAAATCTCCAGACCTATAATTGGCTGTGAGTTTGACTTTTGTCCTGGTTTTAAGGCAGCTGTTCAGGAGAGGAGAAGAGACCTTAAAAGGGGCTAAATAACGTGACCTTCCCAGAATCAGCATTCTGTTGCTGATCAGAATTAAGCCCCAGGGGCCAGGCACAGTGGCTCAAACCTATAAACCCAGCACTTTGGGAGGCTGAGGTAGGCAGAATCACCTGAGACCAGGAGTTTGAGACCAGCCTGGCCAACACGGTGAAACTGCGTCTCTACTAAAAATACAAAAATTAGCCGGGCGTGGTCGTGAGCACCTGTAGTCCAGCTACTCAGGAGACTGAGGAGGGAGAATTGCTTGAACCTGGGAGGCAGAGGTTGCAGTGAGCCAAGATATCCCGCCACTGCATTCCAGCCTATATGACAGAGTGAGGCTCCGTCTCCAAAGAAAAAAGAATTAAGCCCCAGGAAAGTCTGAAAGGACCAGCATCAAAAGATTCCCTAGCCAAGGCAACAGAGTGAGACCCTGTCTCAAAAAAAAAAAAAAAAAAAAAAGTAAAGATAAAAAGATGGTCTCTGAGTGGTGGGATTATAGAAACTTTTTTTTTCTTCGTATCTTGTTTCTCCTGCCCCCAATCCCAATAGTATTTAAAGAGAGAAGAATTGAATCCTCTTAAAAAGGTATAAAGTGATTCTGGCAACACGGAGTAGAACATTCAGGGTCGCATGTCGAGGGTGCCGGTTCAGACGCTTCTATAAATACAGACATTCGGTTGGTAGGCATTTACCGTGAGCTCAGGCTGGGAATGGACGACAACAAAAACTCTTCTAAGCGTGGGTAAAACTCTCAGCGAAGGGGCTTCAAGTCATGAGTTCCAACAGGAAAGGCATGAACCAAGAACAGAACCAGGACACCTGAAGAGAACCCGTGCGAGGCTGCCCCTTCCCGGGTGTGCCGGCTCAGAGTAGAAACGCGCCTCACCTCTGCAGCCTTGGGCCCCTAGGGACCAGAAGAGGTTTCCAGAGTCCAGGAGCATGACTGATGGCGGGGAAGCTTCTGGAGCCAGCCAGAGGCCCCAAGCCTGGAAAGCAACAGCCTGTAGCCAGCTTGACCTGCTCTCCCCATCAAAGCCACTGGCCGCTGTTGCCTTTAACCTCTGTCTCTGCCTAGTATTCACCCCTGGCCCCCCAGCATCTAGCATAGGGCCTGGCACACAGTAGGTGCTCAAAAATAATACTCTAGAAGATGGTTCATTCATTCAGAGGAACAATCAGAGGGCTGGCACTCTCAGAGCAACAGAGGCAGGGAGCCCTACCAGCGAGCACACAGACCCTGAGCTCTGAAAACAGCCCATGGAAGAGACGCTGGCCAGGAGAGGGGTGAAACGGGAGCGGCTCCCACAGGCTTAACGCCTGGGGCCAAGGGCAACAGGCAGAGGGGCACTGGGAGAGCGCTGCGGTCCCTCGGTAGGCAGGAAGGATGATCCGGCGACACTCTGTTGCTGTAGGGTCCAGAGAAGCTGGTGCGGCTGGAAGAGGGGGTTTCAGGGCCTCTGGGAGGCAGAAAGTAATGAAGTAATGGGTCCAAAAGGGATAAAGTAGAGTAGTGGCTGCTGCGAGACTCAGAGTGCAGGGGCAGCTCGGGAGGGACGTGGGGCCTTAAGGAACCACAGCCACTGCCCCAGACACTGCAGCCCAGGGAGGGCTCTGGGTGTTCCTTGAGGACCTGGGCTTGAGATGATGGCAGAGCCCCCAGGAGGTGATCAGAACTAGAAGAGGGGCAGGACGGAAGGAGGAGCCATCAGCACCGCGTGAGCAGGGCTGGGAGTGTTCCCACACCCCAGTTGTTAGGACAAGGTGCTAGGGAAGGGGGACACCTCAGGGCTCTGGTCCCCTGGGGTTATCATGACCCGCAGAGGCATCTGACAGGAGCCAGTCATCAAACCAAGGACTACTTGAGCTTTTGCCATCAGGAAAGAGAGGTCATCGCAGACCAGCCAAGACTCCACAAGGACCTCTTGCGAGAAACAGTGGAGTGGAGAGAGGCAGACTGTTTCCTGGGAAGGGAAAATAGAGTGACCAGAAGGACCTGGGGGAGATACCCTGGGGAAGAGGCCCAAAGGGCAAGGGAGATGCAAAGGCCTGGGCTGGAGCTAAGTAAGTACCAGTGGGGGTGAGCCCCTGGCACATGGTCTCCCAGTGAGTAGATGTCACCGTGCGTGATCAGTGTCTGTCACCCCCCTTCCCGCAGCCACACTGTGCCTGCCTCCCAAGCAGGCTGCCATCTTGCCTGGGCAAGAGCAAATATCTGCATGTGGGACAGTAGGAGGAGAGTGCCAATAAGCAGCTATTCAGTGAAGAAAGGAGAGGGAGAACACCTCAGGACTCCCTTGCCATGGGCGTTCATTCTGTGCATGGGGCTGGAACATTCATTCACTCACTTAATGAACATGTATTAGCACCTTCTAGATATGAGCATGCTATAGGTACTGGAGGTACAAAGATGAAAAACCAGTCAGGGTCCCAGGCTCTCTGGAGCTTCCAGGACCTTCCAGGCTGAAGAGCAGACAGAAACCCCAGCAAACAATGACAAAACAGCATGGGGAGCCAGGCGTGGTGGCTCATGCCTGTAATCCCAGCACTTTGGGAGGCCGAGGTGGGTGGATCACCTGACATAAGGAGTTCAAGACCAGCCTGGACAACGTGGTGAAACCCTGTCTCAACTAAAACTACAAAAATTTAGCTGGGTATGTGGCAGACACCTGTAACCCCAGCTACATGGGAGGCTGAGGCAGGAGAATCACTAGAACCTGGGAGGCAGAGGTTGCAGTGAGCCGAGATCGCGCCATGGCACTCTAGCCTGGGCAACAAGAGTGAAACTCTGTAAAAAAAAAAAAAAAAAAAAAAAAAAAAACCAGCCTAGGGGTTGTTGTAATGCAACTGGGCCGGCCTGAGGAGGCATAGCGGGAAAGTCTCCCCCGGGGCAATGGCCTTGGAGTAATGCTTGAAGACTGAGTCCTCTGTCCTCTCCTTCCACAGGAGGGGCTGTCTCCATGCCACCTGTTGACAGTGAGGGTCATCCGGATGAAAAATGTCCGGCAGGCTGATATGCGTGAGTATCCACCTCACTTCTCTCCTTCTCTGCTTACCGGATCTGGATGGAAGAGGCCCTGGCTGGAGAAATGGTCAGGTGGATCCGTGTGTGTGTGTGCGCGCGCACGTGTGCACGTGCATGGTGTATACGTGTATGTGTGTGCATGTATGTGCACGAATGTGTGTTCTATACTCAAGTTGTAGTTCAGACTTTGGGGTTTCTGTCACTCTTCCAGGCCCCTTGTTCATGCTGTTCCCTCGGCGCTACCTGCCCCGCAGTCTGTGCCTGCACCCAAGAGCTCTGTTCGCCCTCTGTCTCCTCCCCACTCTCTCTTCCTGGAATCGATTTCCAAGAGCACCCGCTTTGCCCACACGGAGCACTCCTTGCTCCTCCTTTCGGTTAGGGCCTGTTGGGGTGAAGTGGAAGGAGAGGCACTTAGGCATCGTGGAGCCAGCTGCCAGGTGACTCCCAGAGCCCCTTCTCAAGACAAAGATCTGAAACTGGGCTCTGGGGACCATGCCAGAGTCCACAGCACCCAGTTCTACAGTTCAGCCCATGGATGTGGCTTGACTTAGCAGCACTGTTTGTGCAGTGCTGTTTCCTGGCAGCCCTAACCTCCCCCCTCATCCCAGAGCCTGCTGCATTTCCAGGCCACGGGGGCCAATGGAGGCATCTCAGTGGGCAGAATCCTCCCCACCCCTGTCTTTGGGTGGCATTTTAAGAGATCAGGAGAACTGAAAGCCCCTCCCACACTGCCCACCCCTGGCCCCATCCAGAGGGGAAGTTGGCCCCCAAGGGGGAAAAAGCTGTATATCCAGGCCCCACAGGTGGGGAGCATCCCTGCTCACCGGTAACCACACAGGAATGACTCAAGCGCCACAGGGATCCCGAAAGGCTAGGGAGGGCCTGAGAGGGGCAGAGAAGACACAGAGCCCTGAGATTGAGTGTACATTTTAACAAGAGGAGCTATCTATGTCCAAAGCAGTTATAGAATAACAACGTTCCCATCTTGTCACCAGGGAGTTTAGAGGCAGAGGAGAACAATGAGAGCTGGGAGTGGCCAAGAAAGGCTGCACAGAGAGCCTGGGGTCTGAGAGGGGCAGGACCTGAGTATCCAGAGGCCTTGGGAGCCCGATCTTGGGGAGAGGCTGTCCTGAGGGAGGGGAGCCACACCCCCTGAGCACCTGCCTGGCTGACCTGTAGCCAGACATCCACACACTACCCGATGCTCCCAGCAACTTGAGGAGAGGCCCTGGAGGCCCATTTTGCAACAAGAGGTTAATGATTGCCTAAGAGGGAAGTAGGGTCTGGTCCCAGGTGTGGAGAGTGTGGCAAGAGAGGAGACAAGCCAGGTATGGAGAACCAGGAAGTGAGGCAGAGGAGGGATTGGATGCCTTCAAAGTGTTGGGGTACCTGGGGTCTTGAGGAAGAGATTGCATGACTTCCTGAGGCCTTGTATGCAGCTTGTGCTAGAGTGCAGGTGCGGAGAGTCTGGGAACTTGTAGGAAGCTGTCACTCCAATGCAGGGCTGAGTGTGAATGGATAAGTGTGGGAGGGCCCTGAGCCCCAGAGACAGCAAAGGGACCAAGCAGGATTCCAGAGACAGAGCCTCTGGAGGGCAATGTGTCCAGAGCCTGCGCCAGCAGGAGTGGCTCCAGTAGCCTCCAGTTTGGGTCTGTGTCTGCCAAGTGGCCAACCAAAGGGCCAGGGACTTTTCCTCAAGCTTCTTGGGGTCTTTCCCAGCCTATCGGTGAATGATTTGAGGATCCAGGGAGTGTCCTCTGGATCCAGGACGTGGCCACCTCTCTTGCCTTTCTTGTCCATGCCACGGTGGTCACTCAGACACTTTCCCACTCTTGGGCAGAGTTCACCCTCATCCTTGGGACAACCCAGCTCCCACATATCCACAGCAGTGCTTACCTTCCTCCAACCCCTTCTGCTTTTTATTTTTATTTTTATTTTTATTTTATTTTGAGACAGAGTCTCACTCTGTTGCCCAGGCTGGAGTGCAGTGGCTCAATCTCATCTCACTGCAGCCTCGACCTCCTGGGCTCAGGTGATCCTCCCATCTCAGCCTGCCAAGTAGCTGGGACTACAGGCATGGGCCACCACACCTGGCTAACTTTAAAAAAAAAAAATTATTTGTGGAGACAGGGTTTCACCATGTTGCCCAAGCTGGTTTCGAACTTCTGGGCTCAAGTGATCCTCTGTCTCAGTCTCCCAAAATGCTGGGATTACAGGCGTGAACCACTATGCCCAGCCCTCCAACTCCTTTTGAGGTGTGTCTGTCCCAGCCTCTCCAGTCACCTGGCTGCATGCCCCCATGCATGCCTGCACCTGCATGCTCAGACTTCCCACTGTCCAGGGTCCTTTCTTCTGTCTTCTTCCTGCCACACCTGTCACTCAGCAGGTGACGGGGTGTGAGGAAGAGCAGGCAGCTAGAGAAACAGGCTGTAGTCTGGCTCTACAAGCCTCCTCCCTTCCCTACATGCCCCTTGGGCAGACAGGCTGCCTTTGGGCGATACCTGGCCCTCTTTGGAAACCCCCCTGTTGCTTACGTTTTCCTCATTTCCCCGAAGAACAAGGCGGAAGGCACATGTGGCATCTCGGGGTGCCAACCCCAGTCATGTCTGGTCTGGATTCCACAGTTGCTGCAGGCTGGGCTGTGTTGCTACCTTGCCTGGGTTAGATTAAGACTATCCCGATGTCTTTTAGGTCCTGGGTTACCCTTGTCCCAAATTTTTTCCTTCTAGTTTGAATCCAAAATAAACAGCACTTCCATTTAGTCTTGTAACTTGTGCCTGAGTCTCCTAAAGTTTCCAAGAGGCCAAATGGCAGTGAATACTCAAGATTCAGGGCTGACTCCTCGATAACTGAAAGAGCCTTGGGCCAGGACTGAGAGACAATCAGGCCTAGAAACCTCCCAGTTGTCAGGAGTTTTTGTTTCTCTTGAGAAATTAAAACTGAAACCAGCACCCCAAGGGATATCAGACAGGTGTCTCCAGAGGTATTAGAGAGACAAAGTTCTGAACATCTATAGAGATGATTGAGTCATCTCTGCCACCCACATTCCAGGAAAGGAGACATGTCATTCAGATGACCAAGCCCTCTGTCACTCCACTAGGAACAAGGATTAGAACTTATCTGTGCCTAGGAAATCCCCATAGTCCATGAAATTCTCAGAACCAGGTCACCGTTGCCTAACCATTCATTGCTGGGGGTGGACAGGGGAAGCAGCTCTCTGCAAAAGAACTGAAAAACTAATGCTTGGAATGTGGGTGTCTGATCAATCTTGTCTCTGCCAGGAATATTTCTTTATCTTAACTAGACATTTAAGCCTTAGGCCAAAAATACTGAGTTTTTATTTAATGGGCTTTATCGGAGAATTTTAGGCATGGACGAATGACAGGAAAACAATTTTAGAGGGAAGGGGCTCTTACAGGGTCCATCAAATCATGCGCGCCAAGTGCATTACAGAACCAGTAGGTATAGAGCTGGCACCCTGCCTGCAGGCTCCCAGCGTACCGGAGACAGACCTGAAGGGTGTGGTCCAGGCCCGGGGTGGGGGGGCCAGTGTTCTGGAAAAGCCAAGGGAAGGGTTCAAGAGGGCTGAGCAGGTTCCTGGTGAGTCTCCCTATCAGCAGAGCAATGAGACACACTGACCTCTGACCTGTATCTGCAGTGATGTATCTGTACCTGTATCCTGTGGCCACAGTGTGATGGAGACAGATGAGTCCACCTGTTGTTGCAGAGCAGCATAGGGGTGCTCCCCAGGAGAGGAACAGAGGACTCTGGGCTCTGGGGTACCTGGTCCAGACTTGGGTGCTCAGGGAAAGCTTCCAGAGGAGGTTCCTACTGAAGTCCCAAGGGGCTAGCAAGGAGAAGGGTGGGTGAAAGTGGAAGAGTGTTCTGGGCAGAGGGAGCTACATGTGCAAAGGCAGTTTTGAATACAAGTGACTGTGTTTGGCTGGAGTCTAAACGGTGAGTGCGTGTGTGTAAGTTTGAGTGAATGCGTATGTGTGTAAATGTGTGTGAATGTACATGTGTGCACACATACACATGCTCGCACACACAGGGCAGGGGTGGGGTATTAGGGAGGGTGGAGAGATGAGACTGAGGCTGGGGAAGTGAGCAGGGTCAGCCACTTTGAGTGGCTGGGACTCCTTCCTGAGGGCAGAAGGGAGCCCCTGGAGGATCTCGAACTGGGGAATGGCATGGTCATATCTAAAAAGCTCCTTGTGGCTTCTCTTTGGAGAAAAGATTAGAGTGGGGCAAGACAGGAGATGGGAAGCCTATCTGGGAAGTGGCCTCAGAGATTATGGTGGTCTACACCAGGGCAGTGGCAGGGCAGATGAGAAGTTGGGGGTCCTGAGAGAGACAAAGGGTTAAATCAACTGAATGTGAGAGTCAAGGATGACACTGATTTCTGGCCTGGACACCTGAGTGATGATAAGGAAGAGCAGGTTGAGCATAGAAGGGAAGAGTAGGTTGATGAGGTCATCATTTTCTTTTGATTCTGTTGGGTTTCAATCATTCTTTTTGTCTGGATTAAGTGATTATCATGACATCTAAAAGAGAGTGTCATCTCACCTTTCTTCAATAGGAGGAGGGCTGTGAATTCCAATTCACTGGATGATGAGGCCTCAAAGATTAACCAGACTTCAGGGATGAAATCAGAAGCTAGGAACACCTGTGATTTAGATCAGGGCTGTTGATTCTGATAAACCTTTCAGTGTGGTGACAACGCAGGGCGAAGAAAGCCCTGGCTCCACTCTCATCAGTGACTATTAATAATTAAAAACTAGTTTGAATCAGTCCTACCAGTGTAGAACTCCCATCCTCCTGCCAGCTTTACCATCGAGAGGACTCTCTGACACTGGAAACTGCTGGCTTTCACCATTTCCTATGTATCTGGTGTGTACCCTGGGCCTCACCCTCACCAACTGCCAGGAGAGTGACAGGGGCAGTCATGGCCCCTCTGCCTCCCTCCTCCCAGGTAGACTAGAGCAGGGAGCCAGTCTGGGCTACTATTTTCACCCTATCCCTTCTGTTGCTCCAGGTGGAAGACTTAGGAGACCTTCTGTCATTTTGGGAGGGCTTGTTGGGGTCAAAGCCTCTGTCCCTTCTCCAGAGCATATCCAGCAACATCACACTTGGGTTGTTCATTTAGAATGAAAAAGAAGTATGTGGCCACAGAGGGGAGGGTTTCTTGGGCCATAACCTGATGCTGCAGATCAGGATAGGTAAGAAGAGCCTGGCTGGATGCAGTGGAGGCATTAAGCCATATGGAGATGGGGGTTCCTGCTCCTAGATCTTGCTGAATAGCTAGTTTCACTCAAGTCCTTGCCCACTGGGGCCCTTCCTCTTGGCCGACTCACAGCAGAGTGTTCCTTCTCATCCTCACTTCTCCTCAGCCCAGAGGGAGTGCTTGGCCCTACTTTGGTTTTCCTGGTCCCCTGGGCTAAGACAAGAAGTAATCCGGACCCTTGGGGACTGGTCTTCCAGATCTTACCTTGGCAGAGGGAAAACTGTGTGACCATACCTTGTCCCAAACCAGCAGGTGTTTGCTCAGGGACAAGGGTGCTTCTAATAAGAGCCGGAGGCCATCTGTGTCTATGAGAATGGCCAGTGGGATTGGGTCGCCCTCTGCGAGACCCACAGCCTGCAATCTGTGACTTCTTGGGGATCTGAGTCTCTGGAAAGTTAGACCCATGAATGAGGAGAGGAACTGGAGCTGAGATGGGGCCTGGCTCTGGAAGAGGCTTGCCTGAAGTTCCCTTTTGACTCCACATGTTCTCTCTGAACCTGGATTGGTTCCACTTATCTTTCTTGGACAGTGAGCCAGACAGACTGTTTTGTGAGCCTCTGGCTGCCCACCGCCTCTCAGAAGAAGCTGAGGACAAGGACCATCTCCAACTGCCCAAATCCAGAGTGGAATGAAAGCTTCAACTTCCAGATCCAGAGCCGAGTGAAGGTGAGACATGGAGGACTGCACCTGTCTTCCCTGTCTGCATTTTACTCCCCTCTTGCCCACTTGTCCTTCTCTTTGCCTCTGTGTTCTTATGCCTCTTTGTTTTCCTTTCTGCCTACTTCTTGTCCTACAAACCTGTCTTCCCACTCACACCCACTACTTCCTTCTGCCTGTCTCATGTTTGCCCCTCTCTGAGTCTATTTCTCTTTCTAGCTTTTTCTCCTGGTCTCTCTTGTCCTAATTGTTGCTGAAACTAGGTGTCTCTTAATCCAAAACAGATTGTGTTTCCAGAGCCTTCTCCAAGCAGGGGAATACACAGAGTGAAAGAACCATTCTATTCACTAGGTCTGAGGCCAGTCTAATTCCAGCCAGAGGGTTCTCTCCCTCTTAAATTCTTTTCATATTGCTTTATTATTTCCATTTCTTTGGGTGTGTATTTTATTTGTTGAGTTGTTCCATGGGATTGGTCTTCTTCAGATATATGATGACTCTAAGTTGAGTTCACATCTCCCATGGGATAATTATCCTTTGAGCATCCTGAGTTGTGACAGCCTCAGCAGAGATCCCTTACAACAAATTTGGCCTCATCATAGTGGCATCAGCCCCAGTCTGGAGGTGCTTGAGGCTTGACAGCTCCACCTTACTGCCTCCATGTTTTAGGGATACTTATTTATTTTTGTTACGTGACGTATCTTTTCAAGAAGGGCTTTATACTTATTATTTTTAAAATACCTTTTCTATCATACATGTGAGTTTGGTAAGGGAGGAGAATTTTGATGTGGGTTCAGTCTGCCATCTTGAAATCAGAATTTGAGCTTCCTTTGGATTGTGGAGCTGCTGGGTTGGTTCTGGGACATACCTGTGTTTCTAGTAATTACAAGGTCAACAATCACATCCCGTTGGGAACCTCCAGAACCACCTTATGTCCACTAGATGTATTTAAGAGGCAGCCTCAACCCACATCCCCCAGGATCCTTGGAACAAGAGGCCTCAGAGATTAGTCCATGTCACCTGAGAACACTGACCTCAGAGTTCAGCCAGATGACAAGGTAGCTGCTTTGGGACCATCCATGAGAACTTACTAGGGGCTGATGAGTCAAAGGATAGAGTTCATATACCCCACCAATTATCAGAACCCCTACAAGCTTTGCCACATCACTCCCTGGAGTGTTAGATGTTCGATTCCCTAATCTGGATTTTCTAGCACCAAAGGGGCTGTCTTCAGTGCCCAGGGGCCCAGTGCTGACCACATTCTATATCCTGGCAGGGGTCTTGCTTGCTCTTTCCCATCCATCCTTCCCCTCAGGTGAAACTAAATCCTTCCATACTTCACAGGTCTCTACCAAGCTTGTAAAAGAGGCAAAATTCTCTAGCAGGAAAGTGAGAACAGAAGGCCAAGAAGGCTTCAGGGAGTTGGAAAGGAGGGAATAGACACTTGCCTTCCTTAATTCGTTTCCCTACAAATGTCTGTCACATCTGAGCAGGGACTTCTGGGCTGTCTCCCATCCCCCAGACCTACCTCCTTGCTAGGACAGAGGTCAAGCCCCTTGTTCTGGGAAGGGGTCAATGCAACCGTGGTAACCAGACTGGCATCCTTCCTTCTCCCCTAGAACGTGCTAGAGTTGAGTGTCTGTGATGAAGACACAGTGACACCAGATGACCATCTCCTGACAGTTCTCTATGACCTCACCAAGCTCTGTTTCCGAAAGAAAACCCACGTGAAGTTTCCACTCAACCCGCAGGTGGGTGCAGGGTACAGGCCCTCAGACTCCGGCTTCATGATAACCTCATAGCTGTTGCTGATTCCCACAAAGCCATTCCCCAGGGTCTTCTCTGTGTACACAGTCAAGTTGAGAAAAGATGGTGCTGCTGGTTTAAATCCCAGCACTGTCACTCACTATGTGATGTCGTAAAAATAACTCCCTAAGTTTCTGTTTCCTCATCTACAAAATGGTGATCATAATACCTACCACACAAGGTTGTTGTGGGACTTAAATGAGAAACCATAATTCAGGCAACTAGCAGTGTTCACAGAACACAATGGAGAGGTAGTAAGTCTTGGTTCCCTTCCCTCCTTTTCTTCCCTCAGAGTCCCATTGCTGGGATGGCCCCAGGAACAGAGGACAGATGAGGGTAAAGGTGGGCGAATCTGCAGATCAGAGACAGTCAGAGCTGGAGCCCCCAGGATGCTGTCAATTCAATCATTCTGCCAGCATTTGAGTGCCTGTGAGGGGCCGGCACCGTTCTAGGCACTGGGTCCCCTTGGGAACTAGCATCCCTGCCCTCACCTAGCTTACATTCTGGTGGGGAAAGTAAGGCCCAGTGAGGCCCTGGCTTGCCTCCAGTACACAGCAAGAGGTGTGAGGGACTCAGTGAAGGAAGGAATGGGCTTTCTGAAGGCGTATCTCAGCGCTCCCTTGCCACAGGCACTGAGTCCCTTGGGAAGGCAGGAGAGCGGTGGGAAGCCAGGGAAGTGACAGAAAGGAGATGCTCTCGGGCAGAGGAATGTACATGCTGGGGCTGGGGGTCAGCTCCACACCCTGACCTCCCCTGGGCTGTCAGTGATGCTCCTGATGTCAAAGACTTGGGGACAGAGATTGGCAGAGGAGACCACAAGCACACTCCATGGCAGCAGGCAGCTGTGGGGGAAGGACGGAGGCAGGTCCACAGCGGCTCCCAGGGTGGCAAAGGGTTCTGGTCAGCAGAGATGTGCAGACGCCACTCACAGCTGCCTTCCCTCCCTCCCCTACCAGGGCATGGAAGAGCTGGAGGTGGAGTTCCTGCTGGAGGAGAGGTGAGTAGGCCCAGGCCCCGGGGCCCACCAAGGTCCTGGCCATCAAGTAGCTTCTGGGAACGAGCATTTCAGAGGCAGGTCGGCCTTTTTGCTGCCTCACCCTCTTCCAGTCTCACTCCTGGCACTAACCCTGACTCTTCACTGTGCATCAGAATCACCCAGGAGCTTCTCCATAGTGTAGGAGCCTGGGCCCCACTGCACTTACCCAGTTCTCCTGCCCTCAGCATTGCTTTAAAGATCTAGTACTCTGGCCAAATAGCCTGCCTCAGGCCCCCTACATTCCCAAGGGTGGCTTCTGGGAAGAGTTCCTGCCACCATGGCGATGGGGGCCTTGTTGAGGCCCAGCTGAGAAAGAGGTCAGAGCCCAGGGGTCTCTTCCTTGACCAGAACTGTTAGAACAAACACCCCAACCCTGGCCGCAAGCAGCCAACTCTGCAGCCAACTCTGGAACCACGTCAATGGGAGGCTCAGGCCCACCTTGCAGGGTTCTTTCCAATCTTCTTTCTTGCCTGCCTGCCTTCCTTCCTTCTTTCCTCCCTCCCTCCCTCCCTTCCTCCCTTTTTCTCCCTTTCTCCCTCTCTCCCTCTCTCTTTCTTTCCCTTTCTTTCCTTTCTTTCCTTTTCTTTCCTTTCTTTCTTTCTTTCGTCTCACTCTGTCATCCAGGCTAGAGTACAGTGGTGCGATCTCAGCTCACTGCAACCTCCACCTCCTGGATTCAAGCGATTCTCCTCCCTCAGCCTCCCGAGTAACTGTGATTACAGGAACACACCACCATGCTAGGCTAATTCTTGTATTTTTAGTAGAGATGGGGTTTCATCATGTTGGTCTCAAACTCCTGACCTCAGGTGATCCACCTGCCTCGGCCTCCCAAAGTGCTGGGATTACAGGCATGAGCCACCGCGCCCAGCCCAAATCATTTTCAATTAGGAAAACGATCCAGGATCCTGGAGACATGACTGTGCTGAGGACTCAGAGAGCTGGAGGTCTGGAAGGAGGGAACAAAGAGGGAAGGTAGGAAGGAAAGGAAGGAAGGAAAGCAAGGAAAGGAAGGAAAGGAAGAAAGAAAGAAAGAAAGGCAACCCCCGCCTCAGGCCGGGCAGAGTGCCCTGTAACTGGGCAGCTTGTTCCTCACTCCTCCCTCTTCTTCACCTGGCAGGGCTGAGCCCCCTATGCTTGTGATGAGCCCGGGAACAGAAGGAGGATGACAGGTGGGAGACAGGACAAGAGGGCTCGTCAACTGCCACTTGGAGAATCCTCTGCCTAGGGGATCTTCAAACTATGTGAGGGAACTTACTTCCCATCAACAGCTGATTGGCAAATTAAAATCAACGTTATTTACTTAACATTGAAGAAAATCGAAGCTCTCCCCTCCAATTCTTGATTTGACAGAATTTTTAGAGGGCGGGGAAAACTCCTAGGCTGAATTAGAAAGTGGCTTGCAAAATGAAACATGTCATGCTTGGTAATAAGAGTTGATCTGGTGAAACCCCGTCTCTACTAAAATACAAAAAATTAGTTGGGCATGGCAGCATGCACCTGTCATCCCAGCTACTCAGGAGGCTGAGGCAGGAGAATCACTTGAACCCAGGAGGTGGAGGTTGCAGTGAGCCCAGACCGTGCCATTGCACTCCAGCCTGGGCGACAGAGCGAGACTCCTTCTCAACAACAACAATAAAGTTGATCTGGAGACACAGTCACCTTGGGCTTAATTTTGACAAGGGATGCTGTGGACTCTGCCAGGCTAATTGAAACCTTGGAGGCTTATGTTCTCAACTTTATAACACAAGGGCATTTAACATTCACCCTCTCAGCTGGGTCAGACTGTTAAATGCATAAGTTAGATAAAGCACAGAATGGAGAATGGATCATTTTCACTACCAAAACTGTTTATGTCTGCTCTAGCTGGCAGGTTGCAGCCATTTCTTACAACCTATTTATTCTTCTAACCCCATGCATTTGCATCTGGTTAGACATAAAAAACAGTTATCCTTTCAAAAAAATAGAACTCTCCTACTCTTCTAACCTATAAATCTATTTTTTTCCTGGACATTCTGTTTCAAATGTAGGCCAGTTTCCTCCCTGACAACCTATAAGGCTAAGGTTTCCGAAGCTAGTATTTTTTATGAGAACAAAGAAGGCTCTGATATTTTGTTATTGACCCTATTTATTCCCTTTGTCGCCATTAGAAGAAACCAGTCAAGAATGCTAGAATTGACCAGGAGTTCTCCTTTTGTTTTTCAGTCCCTCTCCACCTGAGACCCTCGTCACCAATGGCGTGCTGGTGGTAATTATCTTCCTGGGTTCCTGTAGCTCCAGAGGCCACGGCTGGCTGCTGCTCTCAGGGGAACAGGACCAAGGGAGAAAACAGTGGGCCCAGCTTGGTCTCTGTCCTATCCTGACCTCTGCAGGAGTTAGACTAAACGAGGCCAGCCAAATGGGGCACAGGCAGCACTGGGGCACGAGCTGGGGCTTCTGTACAGAGGGAGGAGGTAGCTGGGACATCACCCTGGCCGAGCACTTCATATCCCAAAAGTGACCCTTCCCCTTAAGAGCCTCCCCAATAAAACAACCCACTAAGTGCAGCCTCCTCTCAGACTCAGTCTTGGTCCTGTACCCCACAACCCCAGTAATTCTACAAGCACAGTTTACCTTTTTTTTTTTTTTTTTTTTTTTGAGACAAGGTCTCACTCTGTCGCCCAGGCTGGAGTGCAGTGCTGCGATCTCGGATCACTGCAACCTCTGCCTCCCGTGCTCAAGCACGCCACCACCCCCAGCTATTATTTTGTATTTTGTAGAGACGGGGTTTCAACATGTTGCCCAGGCTGGTTTCAAACTCCTGAGCTCAAGCGATCTGCCAGCCTCAGCCTCCCAAAGTACTGGGATTACAGGTGTGAGCTACTGTGCCTGGCCTACAAGCACAATTTCTGTATTAAAAATTGTTTCATAGCCAGTCATGGTGGCTCATGCCTATAATCCCAGCACTTTGGGAGGCCAAGGTTGGGGGATCACTTGAGCCCGGGAGTTCAAAACAAGTCTGGGCAACATAGTGAAACTCCATCCCTACAAAAAAATACAAAAATTAGCCAGGCATGGTAGCATGTGTCTGTAGTCCCAGCTACTCAGGAGGCTGAGGTGGGAGGATCGCTTGAGCCCAGGAGGTCAAGGCTGCAGTGAGCTGTGATTATGACACTGCACTCCAGCCTGGGTGACAGAGTGAGACCCTGTGCCAAAAACAAAAATTCATATTTCGGCTGTTGGTACAGCTATTTTAATTAAATGCATCCAGTGCCTCAGGGTTCAAGGAGACCTCTCCCTCAAAAAGAAGAGTCTTTGGGAATGTGTGGCAAAGGAGTATGATCTGCCTCAGCATCTTGACAAGGCTATTTTGTCGGAAGCCCTCACTTTGAAAGCCCAGAGCTGAACATTCCCTCAGGTCAGATTCCCGACCTGCAGCTGAGGACCTGACCCCTAGTAAACTGTGACCGTGGGTCCTAGACCTCCTGGGACAGCTTCGTGGTCAAGTATCCTATCTCTGAGTGAGATGGCATGCCTTGATTGGGTTCAGAAAATGTGGTCAACACATTCTGCATTCCCCAGCATCAGCCCAGTCAGACCAATGCTGAATGTATCCTCTGGTCCCTCATCTCCCTTCAGCCTGGAAGAGCAAGGAGGTGGCTGGTGCTCAGACACTCTGTGACCCTCCTTTGTTTTTTACAGTCTCGACAAGTCTCCTGCCTGGAGGTTCATGCACAATCCAGGAGGCGGAGGAAGAGGGAGAAAAGTGAGCTGTTTTGCCTTTTCTGCCTACTGGGGGACAAGGGGGAGCTGCTTCCAAATCCCATCAGCATCAGACTCCACCTAGTCCAGGGCTTCCCTGGGCTCAGGGGGACCAAAAGCTCGGCTGAAACCCCTCAGAATCATCTCACCCCCAGGGGTCCTGAGCCCCTGGCCTCCCATCCTGCTCTGTAAAGGGCGTGTTCGCCCAAGCACCCACATAACCTTGGAGTATCTCAGGTCTGGGGTCCCAGTGCTGCTCCCTCTATCCACGCTTGTCTGTGCTGTGCCATGCCAGGACCTCAGATTGCCTAGGTCAGTGAGGTGGTCAGCACCCGAAGCCCAGGACCCCTCTAACTATGCCCCTTCCTCTAGGCAGACCACAGCTCACAGAGGGTCCTAGCACTTTATAGCTGGCAGAGACCTAAGAGATCCATGAATACCATACCCCTACCCTACTCCCCACCCCACCCCATGTTGCCCATGCAAGGCTACCAGACATGAGGGAGGGAGGGAGGACAGAAGAGGCGTCTACATCAAAAGCGACAGTGTGCGGAGGGTCTGCCTCCTCTACAGTGGGCAGGTTACTTTGGGGCATCTTCTGGCAAAGCTGAGCCAAGGACTGGTCCTGAGGACCTTCTCAGCATCTCAAAGGGTTTTCTGGGGACTATGTTTGTCTGCATCCTCATAAACCTCATTAAAATGCAGGTTCCTGGGCCCTGCCCTACCCTATAGATTGAGAATCTCTGGGGAATTTGAACTGGTGCCCCAGGTGATTCTAAACTCCTCCTGGATACCTCCAAATAGGTTTTTTGCTGGACCAAGTTGCAGGTGGGTAGTGAGAGGCTCCCAGGGTCTCACCCTCTTGTCCTCTCTCCCAGTGAAGGACCTCCTGGTGATGGTGAACGAATCCTTTGAGAACACCCAGCGTGTCCGGCCCTGCTTGGAACCCTGCTGCCCAACCTCTGCCTGCTTCCAAACCGCTGCCTGCTTCCACTACCCCAAGTACTTCCAGTCCCAGGTGCACGTGGAAGTGCCCAAGAGTCACTGGAGCTGTGGGGTACAAGGCGGCTGACACTGGGGGAGGTGTGGGGGACTGGGACAGGTGGGGGGTGCCAGAGGAGCTCCCCAGCCCCTCTCACAGAACCCACCCATCCCTCCAGCTTTGCTGCCGCTCTCGCAAGAAGGGCCCCATCAGCCAGCCCCTCGACTGCCTTTCCGATGGTCAGGTGATGACCCTGCCTGTGGTGAGTGCCTGAGTCTGGGAAGGGCCCCTGACTTACTTCCCCTGGAGCTCCTGTGGTAGGGAGGTGGGGAGAGCCTGGGGAGGTACAAGAGAGAATGTGACTCGTGAGGGTCTCTCTCAGGCAGGATGGAGGAGTCTTGTGGGGCAGGAGACTGATGAGCTACAGTGTGGTCCAAAGAGTGTATGGAGGCTGAGTTGAAGATGGTGGGGAGATTGTGTCCAGAAGAGAGAGGCAGGGATGGAGCGCCTGTGTGTGCACGTGTGTGCTGAGTGGGGTCTGGGTGGACAGTGTGGATCTGGGATCACTTGGCTCTGAATTGTCACCTCTGACAAGCTTTTCATCTTTCCCTCCCCAGGGTGAGAGTTATGAATTACACATGAAGTCTACACCCTGGTATAGTACCCGCATTCTGTCCGTGCCTCTCACTTATTCATAGCAGTGGGTGTGCAGTGGTATCTCACTGTGGTTTTGATTTGCATTTCCCCTATGGCTAATGATGTTGAACATCTTTCCATGGGCTGGCTGGCATATCATCTTCTTTGGAGACATTTCTATTAGATCCTTTGCCCACTTTTTATGTGGGTTATTTGTGTTTTTTTATTGTTAAGTTGTAAGAGTGCTTTACATATGCCAGATACAAATCCCTTGTCAGATATATGATTTGCAAATATTTCCTCTTATTCTATGGCGTATCTTTTCACATTCTTGTTGGTGTCCTTTGAAGCACAAAGGACTTTACTTTTGAGGAAATTTGTTTTTTTATCTTGTCACTTGTGCTTTTGGTGTCATATCTAAGAAACCAGAAATCATTGCCTAATCCAATGTCCTGAAATTTTTATTTTATTTTATTTTATTTTATTTTATTTTGAAATGGAGTCTCACTGTCGCCCAGGCTGGAGTGCAGTGGTGTGATCTCAGCTCACTGCAACCTCTGTCTCCTGGGTTAAGCGATTCTCCTGCCTCAGCCTCCCCAGTAGCTGGGATTACAGATGCACACCTCTACACCTGGCTAATTTTTGTATTTTCAGTAGAGACGGGGTTTCACCGTATTGGCCAGCTGGTCTCGAACTCCTGACCTCAAGTGATCCACCCTCCTCGGCTTCCCAAAGTGCTGGGATTACAAGCGTGCGCCACCGCGCCCGACCAAAGTCCTGAAAATATATTCCCATGTTTTTTTCTAAGACTTGTTTAGTTTTAGCTCTCACATTTAGGTCTATGATCAATTTTTAGGTAATCAATCTACATGGTGTAAAAGAGGGGCTCAACCTCGTTCTTTGGCATGTGGATATCCAGATGTCTCAGCACCATCTGCTGAAAACAACATCGTTTTCAGAAATCTTGATTGTCAGAAATCAAGTGGCCATGATTTCTATTGACAGTTTGATTAGCTATTTGCCCTTGGAAAAGCTCTTTGCCCTTACTGAGTCTCTGTTTTCCTCATCTGTACATTGGGAGAATAACAAGGATCCTGTGCATCACTGGGTTGCTCTGAGGATCCAGCTAGACAGCACGTGCGAAGTACTCAGTAATCCATCTGGCAAGTGGGATGCTCAGCAAACGTCAGCTAATGTTATTGTTATTATTGTTGTTGTATTATTATTATTCATTCCCTGTTGAGGCCAAAGAAAGAATTATTTTCTAACAGCCATGTCTGCAGCCCTGTGCTGGACAAAGAGGAGACATGATGGAAATCTCCTAGGCCCAGCCTTCAAGGAGATGTGGCTTTGTCAGTGAGCCAAGGCTCAGTTGGAAATGGTCAAGGTACATTCATCTGGAGTCACTGGGGAGCTGGGCCTCAGAGGATGCACAGGCTGGAGGTGGGCAAAGGGAAGACACTTCTGGTGAAGGCAGGGGCCTGTGCCAAGACCCGGAAACAGGACTGCTTCTGGGAGCTCTGGGACCTGACCCAGAAGTTTCGCGGGTAGTTTGAGGTGAGCTTGGAAAGATCAGGCAGGGTCTTGGATGCCAGGCCAGGAGCCTGGACTTGTTTGGGGCAGGGATGTGATTAAAAAAAAAAAAGAGGACAAGCATTGTGCATGTCACAGAGGTGCCTGCCCCACCTGCCTGCAGACTATGAGGTGACACAATGAGATCAGGAATGGGATGGTTTTTGTCAATTGCACACACACACAGAATAATTGTTATTCTAGGAGCAGGAAGAGCTCATTGAAGAACGTGAGCTCCATAGGAACAGGGAGTTTGTTTACCTAGCACAGAAGAGTCCATACCGTGGGGCCTTGTTCAGAGGGATTTGGCAA
Organism: Homo sapiens; assembly: GCF_000001405.40. Taxonomy (NCBI): domain Eukaryota; kingdom Metazoa; phylum Chordata; class Mammalia; order Primates; family Hominidae; genus Homo; species Homo sapiens. The sequence continues at coordinate 41,997,658 of NC_000015.10, read as the reverse complement.
AATGATCTCAGCGCCTTTTGTCACCCATGCCTGGCCCTGGGCTAGAGAAGCCACCTGGGGGAAGACTTTCTGGACTTTCCAGATCTGGCCGAGGAGACAGAGGACTCAAAGCGTCCCTAACACAGTGCCAACAGTTATCTTTTGTTGAGTACCAGCTCGCATTGTGCCAGCTAAGGCTTTGGGGGCTTTGCATTTGTTATCTCTTTAAGTGCTGAAGACAGTGCTGAGAGTTCAGCACGATTCGCCCCACTTTACAGATGGGAAAGTGGAGACCCAAGGTCACAGAAGTGGTCGCTGGCAGAAGTAGGCTTTGAGCCTAGGTCCAATGGACCCTGAAGCTGTGTCTACTCCAGGGAGGTAGAGGCTGCAGGCCCAATACAGGGTCCTCTCTCCCTCCAGCCCTGAGACACTGGACGTGCGGCTGGGCTTCAGCCTGTGCCCAGCAGAGCTGGAGTTTCTGCAGAAGCGGAAGGTCGTGGTGGCCAAGGCCCTGAAGCAGGTGCTGCAGCTGGAGGAAGACCTGCAGGAGGACGAGGTGGGTAATCAGGGATGTGGCCAGCCTGGGCCCAGCTGGTCCTTCCAGCACCATGCCCTCCCAGCCAACCCAGGCCCTGCCCTACCCCAGGCGCCACCTCCATGGATGCTTTTACTGCTGAGGTACAGGCGCCCTGGTGAGAGCTGTGCTGGAAGTGATTCTGTTTTATATTCACAAGAGAAGGGGAGAGCAAAATGGAGACAGAAAGGACAGAGCCCCAGCGCCTCCTCCCAAGCACTAAGAGTTCCTGCTGTGGCTAAAGGGGCCTTACTCAGGGATAAAATGCCCTCCTCACCCCAGCCAGGAAAACATTTTAAGCTGTACCACCTTCTGCACCCCACACCTCCACCCAAAAGGCCTTAGGTCCTTCTTTCCTCAATTGTCTCTCCTCTCAAATCCGCACAGGTAAACACACTCCCAGAAATAACAGCGCTAGGAAGCTGGAGAGAAGCAACTTGCACTCCTAGGGCCAGACCGCCCCTTCTTCCCACGGGAGCAGACGGTGGGCCTCTGTCACAGCCCTCTGTTGCCTCCCTTGTGTGGACCAAGGCCCACACTCGCCTGGGCAGCAGGCAAGCCCTCCAAGCGCCTGCTTTCTGAGGCTGACCCTAGGTGAGGACAGAGACCTGGCGGGTGCCCGAGGAGGACTTGTAATAGCGCTTTAGCCAATGGAAGGTTCTTACAGCCCCCACTCAAAGGAAAACAGACAGAATGAGTCTTGACAAAGAGCCCCTTCCTCCCTCCTTTTTTTTTTTTTTTTTTTTTTTTTTTTTCTTGAGACAGGGTCTTGCTCTGTCACCCAGGCTGGAGTGCAGTGGCACCATCACAGCTCACTGCAGCCTCCACCTCCCAGGCTCAAGCAATCCTCTTACTTCAGCCTCCCAAGTAGCTGGGACTCCAGGAATGAGCCACAATGCCTGGCTAATTTTTGTATTTTTTTGTAGAGATGGGGTTTCTACATGTTGCCCAGGCTGGTCTTGAACTCCTGGGCTTAAGCAATCTGCCCACCTCGGCCCCCCAAAGTGCTGGGATTACAAGTGTGAGCCATTGTACCTGGCCCTATCTTTAGGGAAACATTCCAGGGGCCTCTTAAACCTCTGCTGACCCAGAGCTGGCAACCCTGCTCCTTCCCACATCACCAGTCCATTGACTCTTGGCCTTGCCAGTACAGTACCTGCTGAGCAGGCACCATGTGCCAGGCCTGGTGCCTTCCCTCAGATCCAGCTACAGAAGATGTTGGTTTGTCCCATTGAGGGATCGCACATTAGTAGGGTTCTTGAACAAGCTGCCCACCACCCTCGGACCCCAGTTTTATCACCTGTTAACCGAGGGCTAGACTAACAGTGCTAAGAACTCTGCTAGCCACAGCTTTCTGTGATTTACCAAGCCTGTGTTAGGCTTCAGAGTCCTTCACTGACACCAACTTCTGGGTGTGGAGCTGAGGTCTATTTCTAGACCCACTGCTCTGTGGAAAGGCAGGTGTCAGGTGGCTCAACGCCGCACTCCCTGCCCTCTGTAGCCAGCTCTGCCTCCTCCATTGTTCTTTCAAAGTTGCCGTCATTCTAAGTCTTCTCCCAAGCTTTGCTTCTGGAGCCTTCCCCAACCGCCTGCCTCTGTGTAACCCCAGGTGCCGCTGATAGCCATCATGGCCACTGGGGGTGGAACAAGATCCATGACCTCCATGTATGGCCACCTGCTGGGGCTGCAGAAGCTGAACCTCCTGGACTGTGCCAGCTACATCACCGGTCTATCAGGGGCCACCTGGTAAGGAGACATGAGCCACTGTCTGTGGAGCCCAGGGCAAGCCACGAACAGGCTGGCCTGGGGTCTCAGGTGAAGCTCCTCCCCGCCACCCAAAGACAAAGTGACTCCTGAAGCCTGGGAAGTGCCCCACATGCAGTGGTGTGGCCTTGGGCATGCAGCTTGACTCCTTGGAGGCTCGGCTTGTGTATCTGCACAGTGCGGATAACAGTAGCTCTGACCTCATGCGGTGGGTGTAAGACGCTCTCCCGCTACTAAGTATGCCAGAGACACTGTATGCCCTGGCCTTTCCTGGTGTTACTGTTTCCCTGGGGCTGTGGTATGGACCCAGGAACATGACCCCATACTGCTGGGGACATGCAACGGGCAGGGCCCTGCAGCTGAGCTCCCTCCTTCTCACCCTCTGCTGGTGAGCAGGGCCAGGGGCTGAGCACTGGGTTCCCCCACAGGGAGGCCAGGGTGAGGTCAGCTTACCCACAGAAGGCACAGTGCCTGCGGCTCACTGTACTTTTAGGGGCCCACAAAAATAGGTTAATTTCTTTTAAAATCAGGATCATTTCATTAACAAACTTATAGGTTGAAGAAAATGTTTTAATAAATAATATGAATACATTTGTCTTTATACAACAGTCATGAAATATAAATTTTAATATTTTTTATGTGGCCAGCATGAAATATAAATTTTAATATTTTTTATGTGGCCAGGTATGGTGGCTCACATCTGTAATCCCAGCACTTTGGGAGGCAGAGGCAGAAGGCTTGCTTGAGGCCAGGAGCTCAAGACCAGGCTGGGCCACATAGGGAGGACTTGTCTTTAAAAAAAACAAAAATAAAAAACATATAAACATTTTTTGTGGGGCCCATCAAAACCCTGCGTGGCCCTGGTTCAGGGTGGCCTATCAAGCAGGGCCGTGTCCTGTCTGTGACTGGTGGGCCTGTGAGCCCTGAGGTCCCTTGCTGTGCCTTGTATACTGGAGGAGCTCTGGGTAGCCCCCGTGTGAGCAAATGGATGTGAATGGGCCTTGGAAAGCCAAGGGCTCCTGTGCCACACACCCCCCCGGGGGGCAGAGGCGCCAGCCCAGGTGAGACAGAAGGAGACATTTGCCTCTTGCTAAGCACTGGAGTCACTGCTTCCTATGGCTCATCTTGTTTCTTCCTCACAAAAAACTATGAGAGAGGCATTGTCATTATTTTTCAGCTGGAGAAACAGAGTAATTTGCCAGGGACACTCAGTTAATGAGCAGTGGAGTAGAATTTGAACCTAGTCCCGGGCCCACATCCTTAACCTCCATGCTAAATGGCTGCCCCCGGTAGTAGGTTAAGAAGGTAACTTGCTTCCAGCAGGTTGAGGGGCACCTGCGTCCTCCCGGACTACTATGCGATAGACAGATAGCAGGAGGAACTCAGGCCCAGCCGGGGTGGGATGGGTGGGGTCCCCTGGCCTGGGGAAAGCACAAGTCGTATTCTTTTAAAAACTCATTTGCAATGGCTTCTGGAAGCTTTTTTAAAGTATAAAATGAATGGGTGAAGCTTATGGAGAGCAGGGTGCTTTTTGTTGAAAAGTCTCCTGACCACCTCCCACCTTCCCAAAAGCAAGTCCTGTGAGGGAGGAGGCCCCTGTTTCCTTAAATGTGCAGCCGCAGACTAGCTGCACTGCCAGGGAGGTCATTCTCAGGCGCAGAATGAAAAGGGCCCTTTCCTGTCCTGACGCAGAAAAGCTGGATCCAGGCCAAGAAGAGGCAGACTGAGGCCAGACCCAGGGCTAGTGGGATCACCTCTTTGTTTTGCTCCCCCCGACAACCAACATGTAAGTTAAGAAGAGAAAGGGAAATAAATCCTCAGTCAACATCAGAATTATAGGAATTAACATGGCAGAGTAGAAACAGCCAGGACCTGTAATCAGTCGAGCCTGGGTTTAAATGTGGGCTCCAGCATTTGTTCTGTGCCATGCACTGTTCTAGCTACCCCACATCACCTTAACTCATGTAATCTTCACCAGAACTCTGTGAAGCAGGTACAATTATTGTAATTCTCCCCATTCCACAGACAGGAAAACTGAAGGGAACGGTGATTAAGTAGCTTGCCCAAGATCACACAGCTAGTGAGCGACAGAGCCTGGCTTGATCCAGAAAGTTCTGGATCCAGAATCTTCATCTTAACCACTGTTATGCCTGGCACACAGTGGGCATTTGAGAACTGGTAGCACTTGTGATTATGAGTAATAATGTTCACCTCCCCTGCTCCTCACTGTCTGCCAGGTCTCTGCCTCACCCCTACTCTCCAGGTTCCCCTCCTGGCAGGTTAGGGTTCTCAATGGCCTGCCCACCTTCCCTCCTGCCCGGGTCCAGGACTCATCAGACAGGGGCCGGGTCAGCCCTATCAGCTGTGCCTGTCTCTTTCCAGGACCATGGCTACCTTGTACCGTGACCCTGACTGGTCCTCCAAAAACTTGGAGCCTGCTATCTTTGAGGCTCGGAGACATGTGGTAAAGGACAAGCTACCCTCCCTGTTCCCAGACCAGCTCCGCAAATTCCAGGAGGAGCTCCGGCAGCGCAGCCAGGAAGGCTACAGGGTCACCTTTACAGACTTCTGGGGCCTGCTGATAGAGACCTGCCTGGGGGACGAGGTAGGTGCTCGGCTTCTCCTGGGCCCCACCCTGCCCTGGCTGATGCCTGGCTCTCTTTCTTCCTCAGGGGAGTCAGGACTTCCATTGCACACAGGGGATTAGGTTAGACCTGCGGGAGTATCCTTGGGCTGGAAGACCGATAAGGTGTCGGACTCTATGACGGAGGAAGGTGGTGGGATTGTCTCCCGTGTACCCTTTAGAGGATGGCTGAGACCCTCGTGTTGGAGGCAAACCTGCCTAGGGCAGCACGTCCTCTGAGAGCCACGCCAAGACACCTGTGAGGGAAAAACGGGGAGGAAGCCGGGGAAGACTGGAGAGCAGTGACGCCATGAAGCGAGTCTGACCCTAGGGGTGGGGAGAGGAAGAAAGGTCAGGCGGCAGCATCCCAGACCACCATGTGGTCTGCAAGGCCCTTGGAGGGTCCTCCAGCCAAAGCTGGCTGTCACAGGAGTCCCGCGTCTCCCAGAACGGGCCAGCCTCAGTATCCCTGCCCCACTCAGTCACAGGAAGTGCAGCCTCAGCACAGACTCAGCTGTGGATTTCAGAGCACAGCAGCTGGGGTCCTCAGTCAATAACACTCTCTACAGTTGGAGGTCTGCAGGGCCCGTTCTCATGGCCACCAGTGGGCCCAATGAGGTTCCTTCCTATTCTGAGATCCAGTGATCTGACTAATACGTGCCCAAGAAGAGGACCAGCCTGTGTTGGGTGGCTGCTGCTGTGAGAGCTGCTACCCAGCACAGGGTGGTCCTTTTCCTGGACACATGGCACAGCACAGGGATCTCCAAGGGGTGTTGCGATCCTGGACATCAGGGTGGGCTCAGCTGACATCTGTGCCCTTTAGGTTGCACAAGCCGAGATTAACAACTTTTGTTGTTGCCTGGCCCCAGAGGAGAGCTTCCCACCTCTGTCCAGGCCCACGGTTCCCTGCTCCACTCCAAAGGTGTCCGGGGAGTTCTGAATTCAAATCAGAACTTGCCAGAAAGTCATTGCAGCAATTATTTTTTATAATAGTAGGTTCCATCTTCCAGAAAGCCAGACAGTTTGAGCACCTGAGAATGACCGGACCCTCATCTTCAATCTTCCCTCATTCCTTCAATTAAATTACTTGAGTACCTCCTGCATGCCAGGAACTGCGCTGGCAAATGGGGATTCAGAAAGGAATGGGACATGGCTTCCAACCCCAGGCCCTCGCCACTTCTGATGGATCCCACCCACCCTGCCCCTGTGATAACCCACCACTTAACCTGTCCTCCCTATGAAGCAGAGCAGGCAGAGGCCAAGGGCATCGGCCTTGGGATTCAGTCAGGATGGGTTTGAAATTCAGGCCCTGCTCTTTACTATTCCTTAAGTGGGAATTACATCAATAAGTGCTAGTTAACATTTTCAACAATATTGTAACAATCATGAGTGCCGCATATGATGAGGAGGAAGCACCGAGTCTTCCGACATCAGGAGTCTCAGCATTCTGGGGGTTTGGTGGGAAGGAGCTGGGTTCCCAGGAAAGCAAGGGCAGGGTTGTTGTTGAGAGGCCTCTGCTCTTGCGCTCTGGCCAGGACAGGAGCCCCTTTCCCTTGGGCCACCTTGACAATGAATGTGGACCGGCTCTTCCCTGAGCCTGCAGCTTTACTTCCAGGACAGTGGGCTCTGTGATGCCCAGATCTCTGGGCCCAGTTATGACCCTGTTTTCTTTCAAAGGAGACCCACATGTCATTGGGCATATACATGTGTTTGCCATTCCACACAGGTTCTGTAGCCTTTGCACACTGGGGTGACCAGGGTTGGTCACCCAGGAGTCAGCTGCTTGGCCTGGGGTCAGAGCCTGGGCCTCTAAGACCTTGATTCTGCCTCGTTTGCAGTGGCTGATTCACTTTGGGAGGTGGACTGTGGCCCGGGCTGATCTGAAAGGCTCCCCACTCTGGGGATTAGAGTGACCTCAGCAACCATCTAGTGTTCAAGTCCTAAGTCTTTTGTTAAAAAAAAAAAAAAAAAAAAGAAGGGAAGAGGAGGGGAGGGAGGGAGGGGAGGGCAGGGGAGCGGAGGAAGGGAAACTTCTTTTCCCCCAACTTTTTACCCCTCAGTTGAGGGAGCTCAACATGCCAAGCTGATTTTTTTTAAAAAATGGAGATGCTAAACATGGAGCTGCTCCAGTTCTAGCAGAGGGAAGACGATGGGGCAGAAGAGGGGCAGTGCTAGCCTCTCCCACCCCTTCCTCTTTATCTGCTGACCCCTAAGACCAAGACCCTGGGACTCTGAGAGACTGTCCTAAACTGCGGATCCAGTCCCGGCCCCTGTCTGGTGGTGGGCAGCCCGAGGGGGTGGTGCCTATGCCATTGGTGCCCTTTCAGAGTGATTTGGCTGGTGTCAGCTGGGGCCGATACAGCAGCCCGGTGAGCTCAGGAGCCAGGAAGTGGCTGCGGGGGTCCAGATTGTCTTCTCATTCTGCACTGCCTCCCTCACCCTCTGGGCTGCTGCTTCTCTTTAACCATTTTGTTTCCCCACAGAGAAATGAATGCAAACTGTCAGATCAGCGTGCTGCTTTGAGCTGCGGCCAGAACCCCCTGCCCATCTACCTCACCATCAATGTCAAGGATGATGTAAGCAACCAGGACTTCAGAGGTAACACCAGTGGCTGGTGATTTACAAGTGGGGTGGAGGGGGGGACTTCTTGGTGGGCAAAAGCACCCAGCACCTCCAGGTCCCCCAATCCCACTCATCTTTGTCAACCTCTACATCCAGACTGTGCACACAGCTGGAGAAATCACCTTTGCTACCCCAATCTGCCCTGCTGCATGGGTGAGGCCGGCAGGCACTGTCTGCAGCTTCCCTGGGCATGTGTTTAATGACACTGGGGAAGACAAAGGTTGTGAAAGGAAGATATTTCTACGCTGCCCAGAGAGAGAGAGACTCGAGAGAGCTGCCCTGCTTCAGGGTCAGTTTTTGTCCCATTCAACAGGCTCTGAGGTGCAAATGAGCCATCCTCCTTGCAAAGCATGGCAAAGCTGACCCTTGCTACACCAGCAGAAGCTGGCCAAGGGTGCCCCCATGTGTCCTTTGGGGGAACTGCGGCCTCCCTGTCCCAGGCTTTCCAAGGCCTGAGCCAGTGGCTGCAGGCAGGAGGGGGGCCCGGCTGTGTGGACGGCTCCCTGGCCTGAGACTGACCCCCGTCCTGCTGCTTCATGTGCAGAGTGGTTCGAGTTCTCCCCCTACGAGGTGGGCCTGCAGAAGTATGGGGCCTTCATCCCCTCCGAGCTCTTCGGCTCCGAGTTCTTCATGGGGCGGCTGGTGAAGAGGATCCCGGAGTCTCGAATCTGCTACATGCTAGGTGACTGCCTTGCAACTGGCGGAATGACAGGGGGCTGCTGCCCAGTGCTGGGCCACCCTGGGTTGGCCCCTGATTATGTGACACTCGGGGCACTTGCCAGCATTGTCTCATCCTAGGAGTGGTCCCAAGTCACTGGGGACCAGAGTTGGTCTGGGGGCTCTCCCAATTTCCTGGTCTCCAGCAGTCTCCCTGCAGCCTGCTCAGCACCACACTGGGAACAGCAGACTCAGACGGAAGCTTCTGTAACTCCCACCCACTCCCGTCTAGCTTCGGCCAGCAGTGTGCCTGCTTCCAGGGGCCAACCCAGACCTGGGACCCGAGGGTCCAGGGAGACCACAGGGTAAGGGGCAGGGTCACCAGAGAAGCCTAGCCCAGCCTCCCACCCTAAGCGCCTCGGTTCTTCATGAGCTGGGCCCACCGAATGCAGGACCCACTCGAGTTCTTCCCTTCAGAGTCTTAGCTGCGCCCGTCAAAGGGCTTCTTCAGAAACAGACCCACATTCACAGCCCCAACACGCCCTTATTTAAATTAGTTGTCTGTGCCTTCCCCTTCTGTCTATCCCAAACCAACCCATCCTGCAAGATCCAACTCAGTCCCATCACTTCTTCCCCCAGAAGCCCCCAGCCCACGGTGGCCTCTCCTTCCCCTGAACACCTATGCTGATGAGCATGTGGTTTAGAAAACTGTGGGCAAAACACGTGGGCTTGAACTCTGAACTCTGGCTTCTCACTCACTAGCTGTGTAAAGTTGGCCAGATTGCCTCACCTGTCGAAGCCTCCATCTTCTCCTTAGTTAATTAGGCTTAAGAGTAAAACCCACCTTATAGAGATTCCAAATGGGTCAATGTCTAATGCCTACATTTAAAAATCATAATAACAAATAGCATTTGCATTTATTGAGTGCTCGCCATGTGCCAGGTGCTGCCCTAAATGCTTTAGATGTATTCACTGACAGCAGCTGGACTTAAACTCAAAGCCTGCACTTGCCAGCATTAAATCCCTGCCGGGGCTGTGCCTTATACACCTTTACGTCTCCCGGCACTGAGGGGAGGGAAGAGAAGAGCTGAGAGCTGAGCCCCTCAGTCACTGTGTTGAGCTGCAGTGGGAAGGGGAGAAGGACATGGAAGTCTGAAGTCTGTCCCGCCTGTGGAGCAGCCTGGCTTGCGTGGGGTGGGGGGGTGGGGGGAGTGGGGAATCAAATGTCAGTGTGGGGCCTGGGGCTGCAGGGTGGAGCTGCTCACGCTGGCCCTGGCTCCCAGGCCTGTGGAGCAGCATCTTCTCCCTGAACCTGCTGGATGCCTGGAACCTGTCACACACCTCGGAGGAGTTTTTCCACAGGTGGACAAGGGAGAAAGTGCAGGACATCGGTGGGTGACCCCGGCTTTCCCTCATGGCTGGGTGATGGGTGACACCGGCTTTCCCTCATGGCTGGGTGATGGGGGGCGGCCCCCGGCTTTCCCTCATGGCTGGGTGATGGGGGGCGGCCCCCGGCTTTCCCTCATGGCTGGGTGATGGGGGGCGGCCCCCGGCTTTCCCTCATGGCTGGGTGATGGGGGGCGGGGTGTGGACCACAAACCGAGGATGAGGCCCCCTGCCACATGTTTCCGCATCGTCACCTATGGCCTAAGACGTGGGAGGGCAGCTGGGGCTACAGTGTCTTCCCTGCCTGGAGGGGAGGGTGACTGTAGGTGAGTGACACCAGCGCCAAGGCCTGGAGGCAAGGCTGCCAGCACCCAGGAGAAGTGAGGAGAGTAGGGTCTATAGCAGTCACAGGTCACTCTTTGAAACTCCCTGTCCTCTCCAGGACGCTTCTTAGCTGTCTCGCTCCCCCTCCCTCTCTACTACCTCTCTGCTTACTCCATGTCTCTCACCTGAATCCTCCTAACCCCAGTGCCAGGACCTTGAGAGCCCAGCAAGGAAGGTATGAGCTGCTTTTACAGTGCTCACCCCTGGGTGCCAGGCAACCATGTGGGGCTTCGCATAGGCAATCTGGGGACTCCACCTCTCATGACCTGCCCTTCATCCCTCCCTCCCCTGCAGAAGACGAGCCGATCCTGCCTGAAATCCCCAAATGTGATGCTAACATCCTGGAGACCACGGTAGTGATCCCAGGGTCATGGCTGTCCAATTCTTTCCGAGAAATCCTTACCCATCGGTCCTTCGTGTCTGAGTTTCACAACTTCCTGTCTGGGCTGCAGCTGCACACCAACTACCTCCAGAATGGCCAGTTCTCTAGGTGGAAAGGTAACCCTACCTGGCTACTCCTTGAGGCCTGCCTCCATATGGAGGAGGAAGATGTGGATGTCAAGGCTGCCATGGATAAAGAATAAGAAAACTTCTCTGGCTATGTTCACTGGGCCAGGCACCTCTCTCCCCATGGTGTTTTCCACATTTGGTGGTGTCGTCTTGAACACTGTATGTGTCTGGCAGCAGGGAGTGGTGTGGGTACTTAACTCACTGCATCTGTACAGTCATTCTATACAGAATCTGTACAACAGTCCTAGCAGGTAGAAGTTGGCCCCATGTTACAGATGGGGAAACAGGGGGTCTTACTTTCTGCAGTTGTGTTCTGGGGATGCCCTTTAATGTGAGTGGTGCCAGGCACAGTGGCTCATACCTGTAACACCAGCACTTTGGGAGGCCGAGGCTGGAGAATCTCTTGAGTCCAGGAGTTTGAGACCAGCCTGGGCAATATGGTGAGACCCCATCTCTTAAAAAAAAATTGTTTTTAATTAGCTGGGCATGGTGATGAGCACCTGTAGTCCCAGCTACTTGGGGGCTGAGATAGAAGGATCATTTGAGCCCAGGAGGTCAAGGCTGCAATGAGCCATGATCACGCCACTGCACTCCAGCCTGGGCAATAGAGCAAGACCCTGTCTCAAAAAAAAAAAAAATGTGAGTGGTGCCCGCTTGGAACTGGGCAGGGATGGCCCAGCTCAGGAACCCCCAAGTGGTAAGCAGCAGAGCCAGGCCTTAAACTGTGGTCCTGCAGCGTCAGCTCAGTGCCGCCTCCTCTGCTGCTGAGGCCCTAAGGCATTGACTTTCGCCTTCTTAATATTTTAATTGGCCGTGGCCTGCAAATGGCTGCTTCAGCCTGGCCTGTTAAGCCTCATCCTCACCATCTGGGGCCAATGGGACAGCTGACTCAGGGCCCAGGGTTTACACTATTTATGGGGTGGTCTTAAGCCCCTTATACCCCACAAGTATCAATATCCCATAAAAGACTAGCTAAAAGCCCAAGATAACGCTGTTCTTCCTCAGCCACCCAGAGGGCACTGGAACTCAGTGGGCGTCCTGGTCAGGCTGAGGCGAAGGATGCTCCAGACAGGGCGCTCCGTCCCCCCAAGTGCCTCTGTCCATTGGCTGTCAGGGCACCAGGTGTGTTGGTAACGGGAAGGCTTGGCTTTCAGACACAGTGCTAGATGGTTTCCCAAACCAGCTGACCGAGTCCGCGAACCACCTGTGCCTGCTGGACACTGCGTTCTTTGTCAACTCCAGCTACCCGCCCCTCCTCAGGCCAGAGCGAAAAGCCGACCTCATCATCCACCTCAACTACTGTGCTGGGTCCCAGACAAAGGCAAGTGCGCAGCCTCCCTCCTGAGCATGGGCTGCAGCCTCTCCTAAGATGGGCCCCGCAGTCAGTGGCCTCACTCGCTGTGAACTGGGAAGAGGCATGCTCTAGACAGCCCCCAGAGAGCATCAGAGGAAGCCAAGCAGCAGTCATGATGGGAAGTCAGACACCCAGAACTCACGGGCAGCCAGCTGGCTCTCACACCATGGTGCCCATGTTGACTTAGCAAATTCGAATTTTACTCTTGCCTTGGAGCATTTGCCATATTGGGCAATTCTTCAGCTACAAAAAATGAGTTTTTAAAAATAACCTTAGTAGAGCCCATTCCATTCAAGAGCTTGTAATATCCTATTTTCAAAATGATCACACTCTCCCTTCCCCCAGGGTATATGACCCTCCATGAATTACACTCAAGTGCTCTCAGGTGGGAGGGAAGCCTGGCGAGAGAGGAGGGCACTTGTCAGAACCAGAAGTTTTTATTTTTTTAATTTACTTTGGAAAGTTCTATGTGTATACAGTTCTACCCTGAAGCCAGGCGAAGTGAAGTGTACACAGACCAACAGGGCAACAATGAAAACAATCTAAGTTTGTAAATGGGTAACAATGCACTTTCCTACGTGTGATCTTGTTTGGCCCTTACACCAGCTCTTGGAGGGAGACGGCACAACTGCTATCATTTCTCATGTTATGGATGAGGAAACCAAGACACAGAGAGACTTGCTTAAGATCACACAGCTAGTGAGCAGAGGAACGAGGGGCAGAACTGAGGGGGTTCTGACACTCTAAGGCAGTGCTCTTCCTGCGACATCATGCTTTTAGAGATGCCCTTGCAGAGTCTTTTCTAGCCCTGTACTACTGTCAGCTCCAAAGCCCATGCACATCCCACAGGGGCCTGGGCAGCTCTGGCTGTGTATAGCCTGGTTCCAGTCGCCCTTCCAGGCTACCCACCACATCCACCCAAGTCTGTGTTTGGATGCGAACACCAACGAAAGGGCTTTTGTCCATTTTACTTGGGGAAGCAGCTTGCAACTGGAGGTGCATCCACCTACTGCCTCGGGCCTTTTGTCCTGACCTGGCTTTAGTCTCAAAATACCATACACTGGCAAAGCAGTTGGGGAGCTGAGTTGTTAGCTGGGGAAATCAGGAAGCTGGGGCTAAGAACTCTGTGCTTCTCCTCCACTCCCACTCCTCCTAATGCTCAAACACGCCCTCTGTGCTGTTCCAGCCCCTGAAACAAACCTGTGAGTACTGCACTGTGCAGAACATCCCCTTCCCCAAATACGAGCTGCCAGATGAGAATGAAAATCTCAAGGAATGCTACCTGATGGAGAACCCCCAGGAACCCGATGCCCCCATCGTGACTTTCTTCCCACTCATCAATGACACTTTCCGAAAATACAAGGCACCAGGTGAGCTGCCTCTGTGCTCAGTTCCCAGCACCTGCTGCCCTTGGCCCGGGAATGCCTTTAGATCTGTAGAGTCTCTAAGGGCACTAACGGGGAAGCCTGGCTCAGCTCCAGCCTGAGCCAACCTTGGCTTCCACAAAGAAGGGCGCCTCCCATTCCCTCACCCCCATGGGCTGGTAGTGTCATCCCCCATTCTTTCAGTCATTCTACATTTTCTGACATTCAGCCATGTGCCCAGTACTGTGCTTGGTGCTAGGGCAATCCTCCAATGGGCAAGCCTGCACCACGCCCTGAGGAGCTTGCAGGTGTGCAGGTGCGTGTGTGAGGGTGTGCGTGTGTACAGGTTTTCATGCAGGTGTGTGTGTCCGTGAGTGCAGGTTGGTGGGCCTTGGGGAGAGATGTGGAAACAAGTCATTCCAACCTAACATGACAGAGTCTATAACAAGTCATCCTGCTGCCCACAGGTGTAGAGCGAAGCCCTGAGGAGCTGGAGCAGGGCCAGGTGGACATTTATGGTCCCAAAACTCCCTATGCCACCAAGGAGCTGACATACACAGAGGCCACCTTTGACAAGCTGGTGAAACTCTCAGAGTATAACATCCTGAATAATAAGGACACTCTCCTCCAGGCTCTGCGGCTCGCAGTGGAGAAGAAGAAGCGCCTGAAGGGCCAGTGTCCCTCCTAGGCCCCAGGGAGCCTCCCCTGTTCTGTGTCAGCTTCTACCATCAGAGGTGCAGGACCCCTCAGGGCTGACCAGGTTACTACGCAGCCAGCTCTGCTCTCCGGCAATGGGTGTGAGCAGGTTGGCCTGGGCTTTCTAACGAAAAGTAAAAAATTTTAAAAAGTTGAGAAAGTCAGAAAGAGAGAGAGAGGAGCTCTGTTGGGGTTTTATACCCACTAGAGTTTCTTCAAGTGCTTCCCTATAGAGAAGGTGGTCTCATAGCCACAGGCTCCCACACATCTGTGGAGAGGAAAAGCCTGGGGAAGAGGCTGGGCCCCCAGAAACCTCGACTCAGAGGCAGAGCCCAGGGCTGGCAGCCCTCCTCTCTCTGTCCTCTACCTCGTGTGGCGGGCCTAGGGAAATGCACAGAAGGACCTGAGAGGCACTCGGCGTTTCACTGGAAAAACACTTCAAAATTTAAGGCAATTCTAGTCTTGTGATTTTTGGGTTTTTTTAGACGGAGTCTCACTCTGTTGCCCAGGCTGGAGTGCAATGGCGCGATCTCGGCTCACTGCAACCTCTGCCTCCCAGGTTCAAGCAATTCTCTTGCCTCAGCCTCCCAAGTGGCCGGGATTAGAGGCACCCGCCACCATGCCCAGCTAATTTTTTGTATTTTTAGTACAGGCTGGTCTGGAACTCCTGACCTCAGGTGATCCACCTGCCTCGGCCTCCCAAAGTGCTGGGATTACAGGCATGAGCCAACGCACCCGGCCCTAGTCTCATTATTTTTATAGGCAATTATATTTCATGATTTTTATTTTTATGAATCGGAGTATTAATAGGAAGCATGAAGCTAGAAGATCTAGATGGAGCCCTAGAAATAAGCCAGTCTCTGCCACAACAAAGCCAAATAGGTGGCCGGTTTCAGTGGCTCTCTCCAGCTACCCAGAGCTCCAGGGCTGGTGATCCATGTCATCATGACCAGACAGCCATGCCCAAGCATCCAGCTCCAAACAAATGCCAGGCAAAGCCTAAGTCTATAGCCCAGGTTCACCAAATGAGGATCTGGGATGGAGTTCAGCAAGGTCAGGCAGGCTGTGGGTAAATGAGGTTGGGGGCCAGGCAGGCGATGCATCCAGCGCTGCCCACTCCAGCTGTCGGTGCTCACTGACGACCCTGCTCCAAGAGCATCTCTCAGCCTCTTACTGCCCATCTCTCTGGCTGCCTCATGGGATTACTTATTTCTAAATGTGATTCCTCTTATCTGTGTTGTCAACACCGTGACCAGTGCATTCCAACTCTTGGAGAGTCACCCACAGAGACTGAAACTGGGAAGAATTAGTGAAAAAGGACTAGGTTAGCCGTCAGAGGAAGAAGCCCGCCCTTTAAGATTGCTTCCTAATGAATCTCTGGGAAAACCCTGGGACACAGAGAAACCCAAAGTCAGCAGGTCTCCCTTCAGGCTGGGAACATAACCAAGGAAATGTATAACCGGAGCCACTGACAGGCCCAGGCTGATAGAAGGTGAAAGCAGAAAGGCAGGAAGACATGAGGTCTGCAGGAAACCCAGCAACCCTGGAAGGCGGAGTCCCCTTTCTGGGCCACCATGCTCCCTAAGCAGTCTTTGGGTTGTGAGGAAACCAGTGGTGACAGGTACCAAAAGTTTAGAAAAATTGGCCTCCGATGTACATCCTTGCTACTCAAAGTGCAGTGGGGAGCTGGTTGGAAATGCGGAATCTCAGGCCTTAGCCCAGCTGTACTAAATTAGAAGCTGCATTTTTCAGGAGATTCCCATCCCCAGGCGCCCCCCGTGATTCCTGTGCATATTGAAGTTTGAGAGGCCTGGATTTACGCCACTCCCTCCCATGAGCTTGGAACGTATGAATCAGTGCTCCCTTGAGCCACTGATAAACTGAGCTCTGGACCTGCAAAACTGGTCCCCATCCAGGTAATGCTAACCTGGGACACCAGCCCTCCCCTCCACCAGAGCAACTGGCTGCCTCCACTTTGACATCTTTTCTTTCTGACTGCAACAGACTCTCCTTCCAGTATCAAAGAGTGAGCCAAGCAACAGACAGGACTTGTTTATCGTAAGGCGAAGGCAGCCATGCCTTGGATTCATCAAAAGTTTGTGAAACGAGGTTTATAAAATCATCATATTATTTGTGCATGGAATAAAATGGCCATGTGGGTGAATGCTGCTGACTCATCTGCTTTCATTATCTGATGCTGCAAAATATGCATAACCCTGCCCTCATCCCTTCAGGCTTCCTCCTCTCCACTCCTGGGGGAGTGAGTAGGCCGTTTCCATCCCATCCCACCTTTTCTCATGCAGCTTTGTTTCCTACTGCAAGGGTCTCTTCTAGTGGTGAGGTGCTCCTCTGTTTTCATGAAGCCATGTCATCAACTAGTGGGGCACCAGCTCGTACAGATCCATGCTGTTCCAAGCTCAGGTATATTTCAGGAAACATTGCTTGAGAGGAAACAGAGGCAGTTAACACCAACGAAACACCTACTTTGTGCACAGCAAGCTGTAAACAGTCTCTGCTTTCCAGGAACTTACATTTTGGTTCGGGAGAAAACCATGAAAAGATTGTTATGCATACATGAGAAGTTAAATGGTGAGTTGGCTAAGGAAATGACAAAAGTGTCATCAACTCTGACAGGGCAAGCACATGGTATCCTGCAGAAGTCAGGGGAGGCTCCCTTCCCAGTTCCCTGCTCTCTGCCTATGATGAAGATGATGAAATTGACAAAATGAATGAAACCCGTCCCTCCTTGTCTCCACCCTTTCTTCCCAAAAGAGCAACCAGCACCCCACCCGCTCCCACACACCAGTTACCCTGTCCCCGCTGCCTCCCCACGAAAACACTTCTCCTCAAGGTCACCAATGGCCTCCTCATTGCCAGATGCACTGAGCCAAACCCACCAGTCTTGTAAAGGCCTTATCTGACTTGATTGTTCTCAGTGTTTGCACCGCAGACCACTCCCTCCTTCTGGAAACCTTCCCTTCCCAGGACTTCCTTGCCAAAAGCAGTTCAATTCAGTTCAGCTTGCAAATAACTACTGCCTGCCCATTACATGCCAGTCACTGTTGTAGGCACTGGGGCCACAAGAAGAATTAACAATTGATTCCAAACTTTAAGGAGGTTCCTTCTGGTCCCATGTGGGAGGCCCTCATGTAAAACAGAGCCCTTGTGATATGAAGAGAAAGCTGCATGTTAGCTGTGTCCAGAAGAGGCATAGGAAGGGCTCCCAACCCAGCCACAGAGGGGAAGAAGTCGTGTTCACTGAACACCTTCTGTCTCGGGTTTCTTCCCCTGGAAAGGTGGGAGCCCCTCCTCTGGCCTCTCTTTTAACTGCTGCCATTCCTCGAGGCTCCTTAGCTCTTTCCTCTTCTCACTCTGTACTCTCCTTAAGCAACCTCATTTATACCCAGGACTTCAACTACTGCTTCTAATTTGAAAATTCTTAACCTTTTAGCTTTAGCCAAGCCAATCTCCTGGTTCTAAACCCATGAATTCCAATTCTGTGCCTATTAGCAATGCTTTTGCCGTATAACCTGAAGATCTAAAATTACAGTGGCTTAAACAAGAGAGAGAGTTATTTCTCTATTATCAGAGACCAAAGCTCCTTTCTGCTCTCTTCTGTCATCCTCAAGATTACCATCTGGTCCAATATTGCTGCTGGAGCCCCACCCATCATGTCCACATTCCAGGCAGCAGGGAAGATAAAGGAATCTGCGTTCTTGCTGACTACAAAGTGACCAAACTTGTCCTGGACTGCCTATGTCTGGACTTCTTCTCTGTGAAAAAGAACTAAACTTTTATCTTAACATAGTAAGAATTACCAGCTGTTCCAGTTATCTACTGCTGAGCATCAAAAGCCCTCAATGTATAATGGCATAAATTAACCACCATTTTATTATGCTCACAGATTCTGTGGGTCAGGAATTTGAAAAGGGCATAACTGCTCCATGTTTGGGGCCACAGGTCAGATGATCTGAACTGCTGGTGAGGACTCCAGTGGTTGGGATCTGGGAACAGCCTGGGCTGAAGGGCCCTCGTCCAACGACTCTTTCACTCCTGTGTCTGGTGCCTGGGCTGGGAAGTCTGTGAAAGATGAAAGGCAATCCCAGCTAGGAGTGTCAATCAGAGCACCTTGGTGACCCCAGCATGATGGACTCAGGATGGTCAGTCTTCTTAAATGGCACTCAGGGTTCCAAGAGTGTCTGTTACAGTGGCAGCAGCATGGCCCATTATGACTTAGCCTCAGAAGTTACGTAGCTCCACTTCCATGGAAATCTATTGGCAGAAGTAGTCACAAGCCAGTCCAGATTCAAGGGGAGGGGACAATGAACCCATCTCTGGATGGAGGGCATGTCAAGAACTGTGCAGCCATATTTTAAATTCCAGCTACAATATTTGAATCCTTAATATTGACCTTCCCCCTTGTCCGCTGAGCACATGTCACATTTTAGGTTCCGTTGTGGCAGACTCCATTTCTGGTAACAAATTGATTATTGGTTAGGAATTGCATGTTTATTTCTGAAAAATGGTGGCTTAAACACACTCATGTAAAAGACATCCACAGGAAGGCAGTTCAAGGCACACCTACGATTCGTCAGGGACCCTGCTTCTTCTGGCTCTTTGCTTTATCCACCCTTATGTGGTCCTTGGCTTCATGGTCCAGGGTAAGCCCTGGAGCTCCAGCTATCACACCCATATTCCAGGCCACCAGAAGGAAGGAGAAAAAAGATTGAACTCCTTCTTAAAGGGACTTCCTGGAAGTCCCACACATCCTGCAGCTAACATATCACCAACCAGAACTTGGTCTCATCATCACACTTAACTGCAGGGAGGCTGGAAGTTTTTGTTTTTTGCATGGGTGGCAATATGCCCACCTAAAAATCAGAGTTCTGCTGCGAAAGAAGGACAATTTATACGCAGCTAGCAGACTTCCTGCAAGTACCTCCTAGCCATCTCCACCTGTGTGTCCTATAAGCCCCTCCTCTGGGTGGTGGCAGTGACTTGGGTGAGTGGCCACAGAGAAAGGCCATCAGCGTGTGAGAGCACCAGGCCACAGCACTGCCTCTGGTCTCAGCACGAGTCTCCCAGGCCTTTAACCACTCTGCAATCCAGTTTTCAGGGTAAAACACTGGACTTGATCACCATTTAAAGCCAACCACTGAACATGGTCTAGAGCAAATCTTCTGACCATTATTACCAGCTTCCTAATTTCAAGCGTGCATTCAATACAATAGATTTCCGAACAACTAGTGGCATTCCCTTGTAGAACTGCCTGTGATAGGATTTGACCTGAAAAACAACTGGATTCAGATGAAAGAGTGACTGCAATTGGGACTGTTTAGTCTGAAGAAAGAAAACCAAAGAGCAGAATGATTTGCAAACAGATGCAACATGACTATGGCGGGGAGGATCTGCCACTGTCTGGCTTCATTGAGGGTAGAGCAAGCACAAGAAAGCTGCCGCTGCCCCATGAATATGCACACCTACTATGTGCCCACAAAAACAATAAAGTAAATAAGAAAGCTGCCGCTGCCCCATGAATATGCACACCTACTATATGCCCACAAAAACAATAAAATAAAGCTGTCACTGCCCCATGAATATGCACACCTACTATGTGCCCACAAAAACAAAATAAATAAGAAAAAAAGCTGTCACTGCCCCATGAATATGCACACCTATTATGTGCCCACAAAAATAAATTAAGCTGCTGCTACCCCATGAATATACACACCTACTATGTGCCTACAAAAATAATAAATAAGAAAGCTGCAACTGCATGAAGGCAAGCAGGGAGCGAAGCAAGATGGGACTGGTGCCTCCTCTGGGCCAGGCGCTTTTAGGACTTTCTCTTCTTTTCTTTTTTTTTTTTAAGATTAAAGACAGTACATTTTTTTCTTCCTGATAATTTTTTCTGCTTTTATAACAGGAACGTGATTACTGTGTAACATTTGAAAAATGCTACAGCTTATAAAGAGGAAACTAAGATCATTTACCAGTCCAAAACTCAGACATCGTTATTATTTGGGGGTTTTTCCTTCCCATCTTTTTCTTAGATACTTTAAACTGTTTAAAACAAAAGTACAAAAATCCTGTACGTCCACTTTAAAAGACGTGTGGTAGAAAACACGCACACCATTTACCGTTTTAATAATTTGAAGTGTAAAGTTCAGCAGTTTCAGGCATATTCACACTGTTGTGCAACAGATCTCCAGAACTCTTTCATTTTGCAAAACTAAAACTCTATACCCATTGAACAACTCCCCATTCCCCTCCCGCCAGCCCCTGATAACCACCATTCTACTTTCTGCTTCTGTGAATTTGACTACTTTAGAAACCTCATATGAGTGGAATCATACAGCATTTGGCTGTTTGTGACTGTCTTATTTCACTCAGCATAATGTCCTCAAGGTTCATCCGTGTTCCAGGGTGTAGCATGTACCAGAATATTCTTCCATTTTAAGGCTGAATAATATTCCTCTGTGTGCGTGTGTGTGTGTGTGTTACATTTCGTTTATCCATTCATCCATCGATGGACACTGGCTTGCTTCCACCTCTTGGCTATTATGAATGATGCTGCTGTGAACATGGGTAGACAAATACCTCTTTGAGAGCTTGCTTTTAATTCTTTTAAATATATACCCAAATTGGGGATTGGTAAATCATATGGTAGTTTTTGTTTTGTTTTGTTTGAGACAGTCTTGCTCTGTCACCCAGGCTGGAGTGCAGTAGCACAATCTCAGCTTACTGCGACCTCTATCTACCTCCCGGGTTGAGGTGATTCTCCTACCTCAGACTCCCGAGTAGCTGGGATTACAGGTGCCCGCCATGATGCCTGGCTAATTTTTGTTATTTTTAGTAGAGATGGGCTTTGCCATGTTGGCCAGGCTGGTCTTGAATTCCTTACTTACCTCAAGGGATCTGCCTGCCTTGGCCTTCCAAAGTGCTGGGATTACAGGCGTGAGCCACTGCACCTGGCCAGTAGTTCTATTTTTAAATTGTTGCAGAACCTCCATATTGTTTTCCCTAGCAGCTGCATGTACATTCACTTTTGTAATCTAGCCTTTTTCCACTTAAAAATATATTCTGAGCATTTTTGCACATCATTAATATTCTTGTCAAATGACATAGTTTTCAGTAACCACATAGGAACCCATAATTTGCTTAACTAATCCTCCATGATGATAGACAGCTCCATGCTGACAACCATCGTCTTAGATAAAAATTTACATTAATCATTTCCTCAGTATAAATACCCTCAGGATAAATTTCCTCAAGATAAAAATTCCTGAGTCAAAAAGTATGACCATATTTAACAACTAATCAAGGTGTAATAAACATATGATCAACTGTGCATATTTAAAGTACATTTATCCGTGAGTCCAGGACCCCTGGGAATACCAAAACCATGGATGCTCAACTCCCTTATATAAAATGGTATTGTAAAAAAAAAAAAAAAAGGTATTGTATTTGCATATAGCCTAAGCACATCCTCCACATACTTTCTTTTAAACTTAAAACGCCATGCATCAGGAACCCATATACTTTAAATCCTACCTAGATTACTTATTATTAATGTAGATGATATGAAAATAGTTGTTATACTGTATTGCTTAGGGAATAATGAAAAGGAAAAAAGGTCTGTATGTGTTCAGTACAGATGCAACCATCCATTTTTTTCCCCAAATATTTTCCATCTGTGGTTGATTGAATCCATGGATACAGAACACAGAGATATGGAGGATCCAACGTACATAATTTCATGAGTTTTTACATATGTATACAATGGTGAAACCATAACCACAATCAAGGTAATGAATAAACCCTTCAGCCCCAAAAGCTTTCCAGTGCCTTTTGCAATCCTTCCCTCTGCTCCTCCCCTGCTGGGTCATGTGGTAAGTGTACGTTCCACTTTTTAAGAAACTGCCACACTGTTTTCCAAAGTGGTTGTGCCATTTTACATTCTGACCAACAATGTGTAAGAGTTCCAGTTGCTCCACATCCTCATCAATGATTGGCATGATCAGTCTTTCCTAATTTTAGACATTCTAATAGGTATGTGGTAGTATCTTGCTGTGGTTTTAATTCGCATTCTCCTAACAAACAACAATGTTGAACATGTCTTCATGTGCTTATTTGCCATCCATACATCTTCTTTTGTAAAATATCTGTTTAGATCTTTTTTCCATTTTTTAAATGGAAATTTTAAAATTGGGGTTTTTACTATTAAGTTTTAAGAAGTTTTTAAATATTCTGGATACAAGTCCTTTATCAGATATGTGATCTGCAAGTATATTCTGTGCCTTGTCTTGTCTTTTCATTCTCTTCACAGTACTTTCAAAGGTCAGAAGTTCTCAAGTTTAATGAAATCCAATTTACCAACTTTTTTTTCCTTTAAGGATTGTGCTTTTGGTGTCACCTAAGAAATCTTTCCCTAACCCAAGTTCACAACAATTTTCTCCCGTGTTTTCTACTAGAAGTTTTATAATCTTAAGTTTTACATTTAGTTCTACATTTATATTAGTTTTATATCTAGTTCCATTTTAAGTTAATTTAGTGATGTATCTATTTAGGTTAGGTTTATTGATTGTAACGAATGTTCCATTGGTTCAGGATGTTGATAGTGGGGGAGGCTGTGTGTCGGGGAGGGTGGGGGTATATGGGAACTCTCGGTACTTTATGCTCCATTTTGCTGTGAACCTAAAACTGATCTGAAATTCACGAGTCATTATCACTTACATTCACTCTTGGTGTTGTACATTCTGTGGGTTTTGACAAATATATAATGACATGTATCCATCATTATAGTACCATAAAAAGTAGAGCCACTGCCATAAAAATCCTCTGTTCTCTGCCTGTTCATTCCTTCCTTCTCCCTAACACCTAGAAACTACTGACCTTTTTACTTCCTCCATAATTTTGCCTTCTCCAGAATGTCATAAAGATGAAATCGTACAGTACATAGCATTTTCGGATTGGCTTCTTTCACTTAGTAATAGGCATTTAAGTTTCCTCTGTGTCTTTTTATGGCTTGATAGCTCATTTCTTTTTAGTGCTGAATAAGATTCCATTGTCTGGATGTACCACAGATTATCCTTTCACTTACTGAAGGACATGTTAGTTGCTTCCAATTTTTGGCACTTATGAATAAAGCCACTATGAACATCCATGTACAGGCTTTTCTGTGGATATAAGTTTTCAATTCATTTGGGTAAATACTAAGGAGCTGATTTCTGCATCATATGGTAAGATTGTATTTATATCCGTTTGTTTTTATGTATTCTAAAAAAATACATCGAAGCTTTTACTTTTGTTGTCAAATATGTCAGCCTTTGCTTTCATAATTTCTGTCCTTAATGTTGGTTAGAAAGGCTTTTCCACCGCCAAATTGTATAAATCTCTTGTACCTTCTTCTAGTAGTGCAGTGGTTTCATTTTCTTTTTACATTTCAATCTTTGTTTTATTTTGACACAAGGCAGATGTCTAACTTTATTTTCCCTTGGCTTTCTTTTCACTTCCCTAGTTACATACAATTCCCTCCAACTATGTGACCCACACAACAACTCCAAAGGAGTTTCCATTTTGCTCTTAAGGAAACTAGGGCAGAGAGGTAACTCATCACATTTAAAATCACACAGCCATTAATTTACATAGTCAAGGTTCAAACCCAGATCTTTTGATGCAAAGTCCTGTTCTCTCATACTCCAAGTATGGTCCAGGGATGGGTAGCATTGGCAATACCCGAGAGCCTGTTAGAAATGTAGAGTCATGGGCCCCATCCCATACCTACCGAATCAGAATCCGCATTTCTGTTAGGTTGGAGAAGTACTGCAGGGTGTACTGTTTCCCCAGACTTAGGCCACATCAGAGTCACCTAGGGCATCTGTTGAGCTCCATCTCTCCTCAATATTTTAACTCAGTAGGTCTGGACTGAAGACCAGGAATCTGCATTTTAACAAGCATCCCAGCTCATAAATGCATATATGCAGGTGGCCCCATGGATCACACTTGAGAAATGCTCTAAAACAACTAAGAAATATTCCTAAGCTACAATCAAGGACACAAAAGGTGATTATTTCCCCCAATCTCAACTTAGATAAGTGAGTATCCTTTTAACCTAGAAAAGAAACAGGCCAGGGGCGGTGGCTCACGCCTATAATCCCAATACTTTGGGAGGCCAAGGCAGGCGGATCATCTGAGGTCAGGAGTTCAAGACCAGCCTTACCAATATGGTGAAACCCCATCTCTACTAAAAATACAAAAATTAGCTGGGCATGGTGGTGAGCGCCTGTAGTCCCAGCTACTCAGGAGGCTGAGACAGGAAAATTGCTTGAACCCGGGAAGCGGAGGTTGCAGTGAGCCGAGATCGTGCCACTGCACTCCAGCCTGGGCGACAGAGCGAGACTCCGTCTCAGAAAACAACAACAACAACAAAAAACAGCTAGGAGGTGACAATGACTCACATGTCAATATGTGGAAATAAAGTTGTAATAATGAGGATAATGTAATAATGAGAGTAATGACTAAATTTTCGGCTTTACAGAAAAACACATAAAGAAAACTAAGGGGAAAAAGCCTTTAGCTGATCCAGAATTTAGTGAGGGCAATGTGGAGAAGTAGGAGAAACGGCTACTCAAATAGATTCCAGTCCACTTCCCCTCAAGATTGTGTCAATTATGCCCGTGAGCCTGGGTCTCTTGGCCTGTAAAACGGAGTCATAACCACCCGCCCCCGGGAAGACAGAACCTGCCTGTCCACTTTCTGAACTTTTCATCCCCAGTATCGACGTCCAGAGGCCTGAATGAGTAAACGTTCCAGGAGATGGAGCAGCCTCCGGAGGCTCGCTTTGGGCAGCTCAGATTTACCCGGAAGCCGATGCCACCTGGCCAGAGGTGAGGCACCGGCAACCAGAAGGGGGCCCTGAGCATGACCGGTCAGTGCCACCCGGCCGGGAAGACACCATCTCCCCGCCCAGTCCTCTAGAATGACTCCGTCATCAATAATTCATTAAGAACCTCCTCTCAATTGGCTGACGCCTTCAGCCCTCTCTGGCAGAGATCCAATCAGGAAGGACCTGAGAGAGCTCGTCTGAATAGTGGGCGAGCGCGCGTGACGTAGCGGCCGAAGACTGGCTGTGGCAGCACAAGGCGGGGCCCTCCTCGGGCGGCGGCCAGCGCGGCCGGGGCGGCTCAGTGCGAGCCGGGGAGAGTCGAACCCGGAGCAGGGTCCCATCCGAGCGTGGACTGGCGGCAGGATGTTCAGCTGGATGGGGCGGCAGGCGGGCGGGCGCGAACGCGCTGGCGGCGCGGACGCGGTGCAGACGGTGACGGGCGGGCTGCGCTCGCTCTACCTGCGCAAGGTGCTGCCGCTGGAGGAGGCGTACCGCTTCCACGAGTTCCACTCGCCTGCGCTGGAGGACGCCGACTTCGAGAACAAGCCCATGATCCTGCTGGTGGGCCAGTACAGCACCGGCAAGACCACCTTCATCAGGTACCGTCACCGCCCCTCGCCCGGCTCCCGCCCCGCTCCGCCCTCCCCACGTGTGCGCCGCAGTCGGCCGCCTCCCGCCGCTGCCCCTCCCGGCCGGCGCGACCTCGGGGACCCCTCCCGGAGCTCGGCGCCCGGTGCCCTCGGCCCCGCCCCGGCTGGCCAGCCCCGCGCGCTGGAGGGTCCCGCGAACCCGCGCCCTGCGCACTCCGAGCCCTCCTTCCTTGCGGTTCGGAAGGCGTTGCTCCCGCTGGCCTCGTCCGGTCGCCCTGGCGGGAGGGTCCAAGGGAGAGAGGGGGCGCGAGCCATAATCAGCATATTCTTGACGAGGGAGTGATGCCTAGGGATGGAAATGGGGGGAGAGGCGTAGGGTATCCGAATGGGACAGAGTCCTAGTTGGAGAGTTTGTTTAACTATTCATTTGTTCAACTATTTCTTGAACAAATGAATGGCAGCAGGAGAGCGTATCGCCCAGGCCCCCTTCCCTTGAGGTCTTTACGTGCCACCCCACAGTGTTGTGGGGAGGGGATAAAGAGGCCGCCTACGTTCAGTTCATGCACCGCCTTTAGCCGCCCGTAGGAAGTGAGCTGCGTGTAGCAGCCGCACCAGCCTGTGGAACTAAGGGGGAGTGTCATATTACTATTTGTTAGTTTCCATTTCTTAGGTGGGTCATTCCCTCCTCGCTTACCCTTGACAACTGAAAATATTTGTCATGCTTACCGTGTTTCTGAAAGCACACAATCACTGTGCATACCCTGTGGTTCAAATCATATAGTTTCAAAAGAAGTGACTTTTGCTGGGAAATTATTTAGACAGAAACAGATTGCTTTGTTGATCACCTGTTTTATTTCTAAAGCAGCCAGCATATTTAGGCTCACTGTTTTTGGTAAGAAGAACTTATTTTTCTGACTTAAGCCGTGTATCAGTTGAAACAAAGTGCTGATCATTTAAGGTTTTGGTCCAGGGTTTTGGAAATTGTAACAATCTCTTCATCATTTGATGTGCAACAGGTGTTGAGAAAACTGCATCTATATTTGGATACATGCCATTTCTGTTAAGTAGCGACCTCTTTTTCTCCACTCCAGTGACCTAAATAGTTCCTACAAATAGAGTAGCTATCACTACAGGAAATATGTTAAATCCAGGCCTCCAGATACACTGCGAATGAATTCCACAAAACAAATATACTGTGTATTGAAATGTCGTTCTAGATAATAAATTGAGTGTGAAGAAAGTAATTTCAAAATTGCTTTATTTGGTGCTTATGGACAAGACAAAAATAGAATTAAATATGTCACCGTCACCCAGACACTCAAAATGAACCATAGCTGTATTACAGTAACTGGCACCTTGAAAGATGACAAATGTCACATTTAAGGTCTCAGTAATACTGTCTAGTTTTTAGGTACTAGGGATAATAAAGTGTTATGGCCAAGTGGTACAAGAGTGGGAAGCGGTACTGTTGAAACATACAAAGAAGAAAGGCATATATTTTTGTAATTTAGTGGTGGCATGTCCCCACACCCTAGGCATTTCCTCCTGTTTGTCTTTGCTGTGAGGTCCTTGTTGTGCCCAGGTGTCATCAGGGAGCCCCTGCTAGATGCTGTGCCAACCTGGAGATAATGCAGCCCTCTCTCTGCTCCCATAGACTGGATAGCTAGCCAGCCTGATTATCAACTCCCAGGAAGATGAATACAACTCACAGGAACATGAATTTATCTTTTGTATTTTTCCAGATTTCTCTCTCATTATATTCTCACTCTTCTCTCTGTTTCATTATTTGGAGAAATTTGTGGAATAGCTAAGCGCAGTTTTATGAAGGGTTCTGAGATTTGATTCCTGGCAGCTACCTCATCCAAATTGGCCACCTCTCAGCAGGTGCTGGAGCTGTGGGCCACCCTAGGGTGAGGGAGGAATCACCTTATTAGGAAGCCATTTGTTCTTGAGGCTTTCCTTGAGCTAAGTGGCTTTGTTGTTAGGTGATGTACACAAGGTAGACCAGTGAGGTTAGAAGAAAATCAGTGTGGGCAGGAAGCTTGGTGAGGCCACAGGAGACCTGAATTGCTTTTCAGATTGGAGCTAGGAGGAAGTGATTTAGCACCCGGGAGGAAATCCCCAAACAAAAGGGCAGCTACCCTGGAGACTTGTGAACTTGGAATTAAATATCACCCCAGACACTGTAAATGAACCATGGATTCATCTTGAGCGGAAGGGTTGGCCCAGGGTGCTGAGCATCCTGGATCCTGCCTTAGTTAGAGCCTGGTTAGTGGTCTGGGTTGTTTGCTTCTAGCGATTGGGCCCTAGAAGCTCATACTTGGCTGTGGGGTGTACCTAATCTACATAGCCATAGATTCTTATCTCCCTGGCTTCCTGCACATTCCAAGAGGTCACTGATGACACAGAACCTGTGCTGACATGGTGGGAATCTTCTCTTATTGCTGTTGGCTCTTCTGCCTTTGACTGGCAATAAAGAATTGGCCAGAGAAGGAGGGGAGATGGGCATGGGGGAAAGTGACCATGTCATCTTAGACTCTGTACTAGCCGAGGAAGGATGGATATGGAGCTCACCCAGGCTTGTGTCCAAAACTTGAGGAAAACAGATTTCAAAGATTCCTCCAGAAAATCCCTGGCCCCAGGTGCTGTGAAGGAAGACATTTCCACTGAAAAAGTATGAAGTCCATTTGAAATGAATGCAAACTACACAATTTTTTTTTTTTGAGACAGTTTCGCTGTTGTTGCCCAGGCTGGAGTGCCATGGCATGATCTCGGCTCACCGCAACCTCCCCCTCCCGGGTTCAAGCAATTCTTCTGTCTCAGCCTCCCGAGTAGCTGGGATTACAGGCATGTGCCACCACGCCTGGCTAATTTTGTATTTTTAGTAGAGATGGGGTTTTTCCATGTTGGTCAGGCTGGTCTCAAACTCCCGACCTCAGGTGATTTGCCCGCCTTGGCCTCCCAAAGTGCTGGGATTACAGGCGTGAGCCACCGCGCCCCATCCCAAACTACACATTTTTAAGAGCTCCACTTTCTCCCTTCATATGCTCTGTTCCCTCTCCCCAGAAAACTTATTCTAATGAGGAAAAAAGAGGGAAGTCACTCAAGAAACTATATAGGCTTTAAAAGGGTAGAGAGCAGGGAAATAAGGCAAGAAAAGAAATAAACTCCCAGACTGGAGAGAAAAAAGTAAAACTCTTTGCAGATGACATGATCTTCTATGTAGAGAATCCTAAGAAACCACTTAAAAACTATTAGAACAATGGGGGAAACTATAGTTCAACAAATGGTGCTAGGACAACTGGATAGCCGCATGCAAACGAAATAGAGAATGACTGTTAGTGGGCGTGGAGTTTCTCTTTGATGTGATGAAAATGTTCTGAAATTGGATAATGATATTGGTTGCACAACTTTGTGAATATACTAAAGGAGTGCACCCTGTAAAAGAATAAATTTTCTGGTATATGAATTATATCTCAATAAAAAACCAAAACAATTCAGTCTTTCAACACTAAGCATCATGTGATTTAATTTTCATGATTCTGCAACTAGCGCCAGCCAAGTAATTTCTGCATCTATGTGTAATAATTTAAAATAGAAATGGATGCCAGAAAGAAAACAAAGTAGAAATAAGCTAGAAGAACCCAAGGGCAAAGGAACTAAAGAGTAAAGATGAGGGGCCAGGTGCAGTGGCTCACACCTGTAATCCTAACACTTTGGGAGACTGAGGTAGGTGGATCGTTTGAGCTCAGGAGTTCAAGACCACCCTGGGCAACATAGTGAGACCCCATCTCTACAAAAAAAAAAAAAAAAAGGAGTAAAGATGAGGGAAAAGGGAGTGAAAGTAGCCATCCCACAATCCCTGTATGAGTATTCTTGTCAATGTATAAACATGTTCATTGTTCATAACACTCAAGTTGGTAAAATCAAAGTATGATAAAAATTTTTAATAAAATGCTTGATACCGTAATTGTGTTTAAAAACTTTAGATATTAACATTTAACTATAGTATTTAATAGGGGAAAAAAGGGGCAGGGGTGCATGTGCAAGGGTGCAGACAAGGTTTATGGGCGGTATGAAGGATCAAGAAGCTGGAGTGGGCTGAGAAGGTAAAAGTGCCTTGGACATTAAAAAAGCCTTTTAAGGTATGATTAGAACAAGAACAAGAATCAGGAAGTGATCGGCCCACTCATGGGCTCTTGCTGCAATATTAACAGAAAGCAGAACTACTCAGCTTCCTCCTTTTCCTCAAAGAAAATGCCCCAGAGATGGCAGAAGGGAGCCCAGCTGTGTTCAAGAGGGGATTAAAACCACAGGCTGAGGAGCTCTCCCAGGGCCTGCCACAGGCGAGGTTCAGGAAATCTCTGGCCGGACACATGGATGAAAGAACTTGCATTTCTGCTCAAAGAACTGTATTTGGTGGCTTTTAAGAAATTGTGAAGAATATGAAAAGTATTGGAACACTGGAAGCAGGCAGATGTTCTCATTTTCAAAAAAGCAGGGAAATGGATTCTGAATAGGAACAAAGGCCTGCTTCATTCCCTTGATAAGTTTCTAGACTCAGTAATTAAGGAAAAGGGAAGTGAAGGCATTCACTAATAGGCAGCCTGGTTCATCTATTTTTAAAAAAATAAAATCTCACACAGAAAAACTATGGGTCCTATTTAGTGGTTCTCACACTCATCCAGATACTGGGGCTCCTGAAAATCAATCTTCTGTTCCAAATATTATACCCTTTACAGATCTCTCTAAAATATTGAGATATTTAATTTTTACAGAAAATTAGACTATATTTTCAATATACAATATAAGATCACACCTACAGATGCTAGTGTTCATTTATTCAAATGATCTTGATTTCAGGGTTGGGGCCAGCCATCACAGAAGAGAGTCAACAGGCCACAGCTCTGAGTGACAAGGGCTGTAACACTAGAAACACAGGGTGGCTGGGGGCATAGGAGGGACCCCCTCATTCAGGCTTGCGGGTTGGAAAAGGCTGCCTCCCTGAGAATGCAGCCTAAAAGCTGAGCCCTGAGGAATGAGCAGAGAATTAGCTGCCCAAAGAGGGCCAGGGAGTGAGGGTGGGGAGGTGTCACCCATGAGGCCTCGGTTTCTGGGGTAACTGGGGAGTACAGCTGTTCACTGAGATGGGGATCCAAGAAGAGGAAGGATGGGGCATAATGATAAGTTTAGATTTAGACCTGTCATGTTTGAGTGGACACCAAGGTGGCGATGTCCATGAGGGGTAAGACATGGGTCTGGAGCTCAGGGAGATATCTGGGCTGGTCTGTTGACTTGGGAGTGTCAGCATTTAGTAGCCAGCATCTGGGAAGTAGAAGTCCTTGCACAGGACTCTTAAGTGAGAGGAAGCAGAGCTTGTGGAGACCCTCCGGGGAAAGTACCAAAGAGGTGGGTAATTGCCTGGGAGGGTAGTGGCTCAGTGCTGTCTCAGATCTCTTTAGGTTGCAAGTGACAGAAATCCAACCAAAGCTAGCTTAGATAAAAAGATAAGAACGTTTTCCTGAAACCCATCAGACCAGGATGTGCAAGCTTCAGGCTTGGCCCAGGACTGCAGGAGACACACCAGGACTCTGTTGGCTCTGTGGCCCTCCTCATGTTGTGTTCCTTCTCAGGGGTGGGCAGGCGGCCACCTCCATTTCCAGCCTCGAATTCTGCTGGCTCAGCAGCCCCAGTAAAAGTCTCAGGCTTGAGTCTCATTGGTTTGACCCTGACCATATGCCCATCCCTGAACCAATCCTTAGGGGCAGGGGCATGAAATGTGGGGAGTGGGGAGGTCAGCCCCACCAACCACGTGGCCTGAGAGCTGGGGAAGGCAGCTCCTGAGGATGCTGCTACCAAGAAAAGGGGATACGAGGCAAGTAAAGCAACGATGACCCCCACAAAAGCCAGGGAGAGAGGTGGTGGTCAGTAGTGTCAGATGCTTCCAGGAAAAGGACTGAAACAGAACCAGTAGATTAGCCTTTGGGAGCCAGGTGACCTTGCCAAGAGGTGTGCCTGTGAGTGGTGGTGAAGGAAGCCAGATGGCGCGGGTTGAGGAATGAGTGGGATGTGAGGCGTCAAATTCTCAGCAGCTAGGCCTGGGGGAAGGAGGCCTGGCCACAAGCATCACAGGGGTTTGGGTAAAGACAAGCACAACCTCAGCAGAATGAAAAGTGGACAGAAGGGAAGCCATGGAGAGGGAGCAGCTGGCATCTCAGAAGACAAAGAGGAGGCAAGACTTGGAGCAAAAGTCCTGAAGAGCAGGGCAAGGAGCTGCAGGGTAGGCGGGGCTGGGTGGGGTGGTGGGGGTAGGCAGGAGGTGAGTAGGTGGGGCGGGGGGTGGGCAGGGGAGCGCTGGCAGCTGCAGTCCGAGCAGGGAAGCGCTGCAGGCCAGCAGCTGGGCCAGTTGTCACATCATCCACCTGACAAGCAGCAACAGAGTATTTGGAGAAATGTAGGAGGGGGAAGGCTTTTTCCATCCTGACATTATCTTCCCTAACTCACATTCAGAAGCTGACTTACAAAAGGTGTTCAATGTCCTTTTCAAAACCTCGAACCAGAAGGCCGTGGTTCCTTCTGCACGTGGCTGTGCATCAGAATCACTTGGAGGCCTTTTGACACGGATTCCAGGGCCCCACCTCAGACCTCCTGAGTCGAAATCTCTGTGGGTCAGGCTCCAAAATCTGTTTTTGTTTTTCTAAACCATCTCTCACAGTAATTCTTATGTGCCCTCCCCTAGGAAACATTTGGGAACCATTGCCAGATGAAGGTTCAGTTAATGGAGGAATGGAAGAGGGCTAGCCTCAACCCAGAAAAGGGAGGCTGACTTTGCTGAACCTTCCATCCGTTCCAAACCCCATCTGTTCACATTTCTCTCAGTGACTTAGATGAAGACATAGAATTCATGCTTACAAAACTGAGGATTGTGTAAATATAATTTAATAAATGGGGTTCTTTTTTGCTTAATATGATACGATGAGCATTTTCTTATGTCATTATATAGTCTTCAAAAATAACTTCAATGACTACATCATAATCTATAGTACAGGTTGGACATTTAGGTTGTTTCTGTTTTTATGCTGTTATACATAATGTTGCAATGAACTGAACATTTTTGGCCATAAATCTTTGTATTTCTAGTTTTTTTCTTAGAATAGCCTAAGCATAAATTAGTGCCTCAAAAAATATAGATAATAGGCTGGGCGCAGCAGCTCACACCTGTAATCCCAGCACTTTGGGAGGCCAAGGTGGACAAATCACTTGACTCCAGGAGTTCAAGATCAGCCTGGGCAACATGGTGAGCCCCATCTCTAAAAAAAAATACAAAAATTAGCCGGACATGGTGGTGCATGCCTGTAGTCCCAGTTACCTGGGAGGCTGAGGTGGGAGGATCACTTGAGCCCAGGTGGTCGAGGCTGCAGTAAGCTGAGATTGCACCACTGAACTCCAGTCTGGGCAACTGAGTGAGGCCTTGTCTCAAAATATATATATATATTTTTTTTTTTTTTCAGGCTTATATATATTCCTAAATCTATGTATCTATCTTTCTTTTTTAGGACAGTTATTCCAAATTAGACTCCCACCAGAAATATGAGGATCAGTAATTCACCAAACTGCCAGTAAAACTAATTAAAATTAATTTGATAGGAAAAAAAAGTGTTTTAGATAGGGTCTTGCTCTGTTGCCCAGGCTGGAGTACAGTGATGCCATCATAGCTCACTGCAGCCTCAAACTCCTGGGCTCAAGCAATCCTCCCACCTCAGCCTCTGGAGTAGCTGGGACTACAGGTACATTGCACCACCACACCCAGCCAATTTATTCATTTTTTGTAGAGTTGGGATCTCGCTGTGCTGTCTAGGCTGGTCTCAAACTCCTGAGCTCAAGCGATCCTCACGCCTTGGCCTCCCAAAGTCCAAAGTGCTGGGATTATAGGCGTGAGCCATGGGGCACTCAGCCAGAACAGACTTATTTTAATTTGTTTATTTCTTACTAGTGACGTTGAACTTATAAAATATAGTTGTCTTCCATATTACTTTGTGAATTGTCTGAATTGTCTGTGAACTTTGTCCAATTTTCATTTGAAGTGTTGGTCTTGTCCTTTTTTTTTTTTTTTTTTTTTTTTTGAGATGGAGTCTCACTCTGTCACCCAGGCTGGAGTGCAGTGGCGCGATCTCAGCTCACTGCAAGCTCTGCCTCCCAGGTTCACGCCATTCTCCTGCCTCAGCCTCTGGAGTAGCTGGGACTACAGGCGCCCACCACCACTCCCGGCTAATTTTTTGCATTTTTAGAAGAGACGGGGTTTCACTGTATTAGCCAGGATGGTCTCGATCTCCTGACTTCATGATCCACCTGCCTCGGCCTCCCAAAATGCTGGGATTATAGGCATGAGCCACCGAGCCTGGCCCTGGTCTTGTTCTTATAAATAAATGTAAATGTTTTTCTCAGTAACAGATATCAATCCTTTGTCACAGTTGTAAAAGTGTTTTTCCAGTTTGAAATTTGCCTTGTAATTTTTGTAATAGTTTTTCCATGCAGATATATTTAATATTTGTGATCAAATCTAACAATTTTTCCTTTTTTATAATATCTTTTATTTTTTGGTTAGAAAATCCTTGTTTATCTTAAGACTCAGGAAATGTTCACTCATATTCTTTTTTTTTTTTTTTTTGAAACAGACTCTCACTCTGTCCACCCACACTGGAGTGCAGTAGCACGTTCTCGGCTCACTGCAACCTCCACCTTCCAGTTCAAGCGGTTCTTGTGCCTCAACCTCCCAAGTAGCTGGGATTACAGGCATGGGCCACCATGCCTGGCTAATTTTTGTATTTTTTAGTAGAGACAAGGTTTTGCCATGTTAACCAGGCTGGTCTCGAACACCTGACCTCAAGTGATCTGCCTGTCTCGGCCTCCCAAAGGGCTGGGATTACAGGCGTGAGCCACCGTGCCCTGCCTCTTTTTTTTTTTTTTTTTTAGTATTTATTGATCATTCTTGGGTGTTTCTCCGAGGGGGGGATTTGGCAGGGTCATAGGACAATAGTGGAGGGAAGGTCAGCAGATAAACATGTGAACAAGGGTCTCTGGTTTTCCTAGGCAGAGGACCCTGCGGCCTTCCGCAGTGTTTGTGTCCCTGGGTACTTGAGATTAGGGAGTGGTGATGACTCTTAAGGAGTATGCTGCCTTCAGGCATCTGTTTAACAAAGCACATCTTGCACTGCCCTTAATCCATTTAACCCTGAGTGGACACAGCACATGTTTCAGAGAGCACGGGGTTGGGGGTAAAGTCATAGATTAACAGCATCCCAAGGCAGAAGAATTTTTCTTAGTACAGAACAAAATGCAGTCTCCTATGTCTACTTCTTTCTACACAGACACAGTAACAATCTGATCTCTCTTTCTTTTCCCCACATTTCCCCCTTTTCTATTCGACAAAACCGCCATCCTCATCATGGCCCGTTCTCAATGAGCTGTTGGGTACACCTCCCAGACAGGGTGGCGGCCGGGCAGAGGGGCTCCTCACTTCCCAGACAGGGTGGCTGGGCAGAGGCGCCCCCCACCTCCCAGACGGGGCGGCGGCCGGGTGGGGGCTGCCCCCCGCCTCCCTCCCGGACGGGGCGGCTGGCCGGGCGCTCTTTTTAAAATAGGATTACTTTTTAAATATTTAACTTTTTAACCCACCTGGAAGTAAAATCTGTCTCAATTATATTGTTGTGGGTTTTTTTTTTTTTGTCTTTTGTCATTTTCTAACACTATTATTAAATCTACCTTTTTCTGCTGTCACATGAGGCTTCCTCATACGCTAAGTTATTAAATACTATATTGAGTCTGTTAGGACCTTTGTCTCGTGTTATTCTGTTTGTAAATTCTTATGCCAACACCATACCATCTTAAATATTGTCACTTTGAAATACTTTTTAATAATTTTAGCTCAAGACTCTTCTGCGTGCATTACTCTTTATTTTTCAAATGCTATCAATTCTCATTTTCTGTCATTCTTTGAGAAGAACTTTCTTAGTTAGGTTCTTCAAAACAAACAAAAAAAAATCCCACTGGGATCCATTTGTCCTGGAACTGCATTCTGTCTCTAAGTTACATTTTTGTATTTGCTCTTCCCAAGCAGCAGCTCACCATTGCTTTAACGCAGACCTTCTTGGAAAAGTGATTGATTTACTCATACAGGTCCTATGGAGCTCTTATTAATGTATTAGGTATTTTATGCCCTGTTGCTCTTATGAATGGGCTTTTTATTTCTCTTATTTTTTTTGGCAGGGTATTGCTGATATGTAAGGAAGCTACTGAGTTGTACATTTTTGTTTTATATCTGGTCATTTGACTCAAGAAGTTATTCTGACAGCTTGTCAGTAGATTCTCTTAGGTTTTCTAGATAGATAACTGTATCAGTTACCTTCATGATTACTTTGTCTCCCCTTCTGTTCCATATTTCATAATACCAGGAAGTAGGCATTCATATCAAGCTTCTAATCTTAATGGTATTGCCTATGTTATTTCACCTTAAGAGATTATGTCAGCTGGTGGCTTCTTATCTATAAATTAATTGCATTAAGAAATTATCTATTACTAGTTTTAAAAGGATTTCATTTAAATGATTCTATTTGGAGAAAAAAACAAAATGGATATGGAGTTTGTTAGATGCCTTTTAGCCTTTTCCTTTAACCTATGTTCTGTGGAATGCAGTTGTGGGAGATCATTCGTAAGTGTTCAAAGAAAATAAAAGGGTTCCATAGTCAAGTAACTTTGGGATATGCTGTGTTCCATAACCTCCTCATGACGATTTACAGTACTCCCAGATCAAAGAGTTTACAACCTAAAGTCTGTTGTCATACTCCTAAATTACAAGTTACAACATCAAAAACACTCAATAAATAGTCATTGCATGACTGAAAGACTGGAAGAACAAATAGAACTGTAAGAAACTGATTTGATTCTAGTGAAATTCCCCTCCCTTTCTTTCACCCTCCTCCCAAAACAGCATGGAAGGTGGAGTGGAGCAACTTACAGGTAATGGCAGTGGGTAGACAGCAGTGTGCTTTCAAGCACATCTCAGCCCTGAGGAGTATAAATCCCATCCATAGCTGGAAAAATAGCCTGAGATACGAAAAGTTTTACCCAGCAAATTCCAGTTTATTGGTTCAATGACCTAATGTCCATTCCCTTAGTAGGCACAGCAGTTTCAAAGGTGACATCATCTGAACAAACAGTCCTGGTGATAACATGTCAATGATTTAACTAAAGGAAAAATGAAAATAAAACTTAGTTTTCACATTTAAAATGTAAGTGAGGCTGGCGCGGTGGCTCACACCTCTAATCCCAGCATTTTGGAAGGCTGAGGCGGGCAGATCACCTGAGGTCAGGAGTTTGAGACCAGCCTGGACAACATGGTAAAACCCCGTCTCTACTAAAAATACAAAAATTAGCCCAGTGTGTGGCGGACGCCTGTAATCCCAGCTACTTGGGAGGCTGAGGCAGGAGAATCACTTGAACCCAGGAGGCAGAGGTTGCAGTGAGCTGAGATCATGCCACTGCACTCCAGCCTGGGTGACAAAGCAAGACTCCATCTCAAAAAAAAAAAAAAAAAAAAATGTAAGTGAAGATCAGCCTAACTTAGTTTTTCAGTAATTCAAAGGAGACTTTTTTAAGTAGATGAGATGTTTGTTCAGGGATGTTTATCTCAGCATTATTTATAACAGCAAAAAATAGAAAGCTATTTAAATGCCTAACAGGAAATGACAAAATAAATTGATACATATTCAACTTAGAATAGTATGCAGCCATTAAAAATCATGTTTTCAAAGAATTTTTAATGGTATGAGGAAAGACTAATGGTGAAAAATCAAGATGCAAAATTGTTTAACTTTTATCTCAATTTTATAAAGGAAAATTACATTTACTGAAAAATGATGGGATGGAAATA
Source organism: Homo sapiens (assembly GCF_000001405.40). Classification (NCBI taxonomy): domain Eukaryota; kingdom Metazoa; phylum Chordata; class Mammalia; order Primates; family Hominidae; genus Homo; species Homo sapiens. The sequence continues at coordinate 41,960,338 of NC_000015.10, read as the reverse complement.
CATCAAAATGTTAAAAGTAGTCATTACCCAGTATTAATGTGGTCTCCTGTAAGCTATTTAACTTGGCATAAGCAGTTTTCTCCTCTATAAACTAGGAATAAAAATACCTGCTCCCATGGCAGTGAGGATGAAATAAGCTGAATGTGTGAAATGCATTATAAACTGTACAGTACGGCTTCAGAGTAACCTGTCATTTGTTAGTATCTAGAAGCAGTGATAGTGCAGGTCATACTGTTTTGCTAGGAAATATTTATATATCTTGGCCTATCTTGTAAGACTTTGGAAGTAATAAATGCTTGATTCTCCCACTTACTTTTCCTGGTGTGAAACACAAGGATAGATTAAACAATAGAAACTGCTTTTTTTTTTTTTTTTTTGAGGTGGAGTCTCACCCAGTCTGGAATGCAGTGGTGCAATTTTGGCTCACTGCAACCTCCGCCTCCCAGGTTCAAGCAATTCTCCTGCCTCATCCTCCCGAGTAGCTGGGATTACAGGTGCGCACCACCACGCCCGGCTAATTTTTGTGCTTTTAGTAGAGACGGGGTTTCACCGTGTTTGCCACAGGGTGGCCTTGAACTCCTGACCTCACATGATCCATCCACCTCAGCCTCTCAAAGTGCTGGGATTACAGGTGTGAGCCACCGTGCCCGGCCAGAAACTGCTCTTAAAACATCTTTCCAGGCTCAAATCAAATCAGAGTAGAAGTAGTAACTCTTCCTTTTCATCCCTCTCCTAGTGAAATAGTGGATCAAGTAAGTATTCTGAAGAAAAATATATTACATGAAACTTTCCAAAACTTATTTTAAAAATGTTTCAGGCAATAGCAATGAATTGAACCCCCAAACTCCATGCACAGATGCCAAGGTATGCACGAACATATTTTAAGATCTCGTTTATCATCACACAAACCATTTCTTTTTTTTTTTTTTTTTTTTTTTTTTTTGAGACAAAGTCTTGCTCTGTCACCCAGGCTGGAGTGCAGTGGCACGATCTCGGCTCACTGCAAGCTCAGCCTCCCGGGTTCACGCCATTCTCCTGCCTCAGCCTCCCGAGTAGCTGGGACTACAGGCGCCCGCCACCATGCCTGGCTAATTTTATTTTTGTATTTTTAGTAGAGACGGGGTTTCACCGTGTTAGCCAGGATGGTCTCGATCTCCTGACCTCGTGATCCGCCCACCTCGGCCTCCCAAAGTGCTGGGATTACAGGCGTGAGCCACCACGCCCAGCCCACACAAACCATTTCTTTAGATTTGGCTTGATAATTTAAAAATAATGCTCATACAACACTCAAAATATATGTGCCGTATTATTTTTAAAATCTTACATTTGTGTATTTGTTATGATTCACAGGACACGTTCCTGTAAACATTCCCAGTGGAACCCGTCGGCCTCTCAGGCTCTGATTTAGGGTGGGTGGTGTCCTCATAAGACTAGTAAGAAATCCTTCATCTTAATAAACCGCTTAACCCATTTGAGCCTTAGTTTCCTCATCTGTAAAATAGGGATAGAAATAGTACCTGCCCATAAGGTAGTTAGGATGAAATGAGACTATTCATGTAAAGACTTTAGCACATAACGAGTCCTCAAGCGTTAGGTATATTTATTTAAAGTGTAATGCTTTGCCCACTACTCCAGCATTTGTTTGAATAATGTGCCACTTAGATTTGTTTGGTTTTTATTCATTCTTAAGCTCATCGTTGAGAAGATGGTGCTTGGACATATTGAGAGTATCTCTGTTTTCAATATCTTGAGAGTTTTTTTTCTTCCCCTTGTCATAAATGACATTCACTTCTATGAAGTGAAAAAAAAAATTCTAGCCTAAGCAATGAAAAAAAGAAGACACCATCCATATATACTCTTGCATCAAAGTAGCTCTGTGAGCTTGGGCTGAATGCTGGCAACCGGGGTACCCCAGAGCCACTTGGATGAGTCTGAACTGGGGACCTCATCGGACCAGGACAAGGGGATGTCAGGTCTCCCATCCATCCCACCATCCCTTCCGCCCAGCTGCTTGGAATCCAAATGTCCATACCTTTTTATGTGGCTGGCTTGGCTCGAGAACCTTGGAGCAATCATTGCTGGAATTGGCAGGCCTCTCCGAGAACACAGGAAAGGGGGAGCAAAGTGGAGCCAAGGACAAAAATCAAGTCTCCAAAGCACAGGATGCCTGTGGAGGGGCTAATCAGCTCTGAATCACGGTGGTCTTCCTGTGTCCTCTTGTTCCTTTGAATTGTTGTTATTGCAGATAATACTAGAGTCCCTGAAACTCGTAGCTTTGGGAAAGCCTCTGAGGCACTCCCACCGTGAGAAATGTCTAACACAGTTGATCAGGCTGTCTATCCCGTGTGGCTGTGTGATTGACCCATTTATGCACATTGCACCTCAGCATCAGCTCAGACTCTTCCCTTCCAGCTTGCTGTGTGTGGATCCATCACTTCATTCTCCCTTTTTCCATGTCAGATACTTGGTGTCTTGGTTGTTCCGAGTTCCCTCACTGCACTGACATGTACCTGTTTACCCAGCAGTGTAACAGATGAATCTGAGTTTCTGCAGTCCCCCAGTGAAAAATCTTCTTCAGGGCAATCAGCTTAGAGTGTCATATGTAAAGTCAGGGATCTGCCAGGTCCTGCTTAGAGCACCAGGGAGCTGGGGGCAGTGTAGGACCCCAGGGTGATGGTGCTGTGCCTGGTGTAAGAGCAGAAGTCTGGGGCCAGGAGAAAGGGGCTGCAGGTTCTGGATCCTGCATGGCCACCCTGTGAGTTTGACCAGCAACAAGCCATGTTCCTGCACTAACCCTCAGTCTTGTCGCTTGTAAAGATAAGAGGCTGACTCAAATCATTCCTACCAGACTCCAGGTTTCTAAAGTACTGAGTATATAGACCATGCCCTGCAGGAAATGACAGCCCAAGAGAGGAGAGGAAACAGGCCCTCAAATAACACCAGCACGAGCTGTTAGAGGTCAACTCCGCAAAATCCCCATTTGAGTTTATTTTTTCTTTATTTATTTAGAGACAGGGTCTCACTCTGTCACCTAGGCTGGAGTGCAGTGACATGGTCACAGCTCACTGCAGCTTCAACCTCCCTGGGCTCAAGCGACCATCCCACCCCAGCCTCTTAAGTAGCTGGGACTACAGATGCACGCCACCACACCTGGCTAATTTTTGTATGTTTTGTAGAGACGGGGTTTCTCCATGTTGCCCAGGCTAGTCTCGAACTCCTAGGCCAAGCGATCCTCCCACTGCGGCCTCCCAAAATGCTGGAATTACAGGCACGAGCCACCGCTCCCAGCAAGACCCCCATTTTAAAGGCTTCTAACACATGGTGTCAAATTGCTTTTTAGTGAAGTTAGACCAACTTATTCCCCCACCAACATATATAAGGGTGTTTATCTCACAGGACCCTTGCCAGCATTGATGATTCCGAGTTTTCAAAAATTTGTTAATGTGCTCTGTCTTTACTGGTATTTCTTTGATGGTGAAATTGAACACTGAATGTTAACTTTGTATTATCTGTGAAAGTATCACCAAACAAATTGATAATGCAAGCAAGCTTTATAATACAGTAATTCTTCCTAATTCTAGTTCTTCCTCTGTGTCTGAGATCCAGAGATTGATTTACCAAGGTCACAGTCAAAGGGGGACACCTTTGACTTCAAATTATTTCACACTTGAAGCACACTTTAAAAATGATTTATTGTTAAAGGTCTGTCCAGTAGGGTCGCTACTTAGAAAACTCTGGCTTCGATTGCAATATAAACTTGAATGTAGGAAACATCTGCTCTTCTTTAAACAATTTTTTCATTTATATTTTTCCTTGAAACCCCTGTTATTTCAAAAGTAGTGGGATTTGCTGTACTTGTACAGGAATGAAACATCAGAAAGTAATTCAGGCACTCCTCGACAGTGATGTCTGACTTCAACACCTGTGCTGTGTGAGTGATTGTCCAGCTGGGGGACTCACTGCTTAACTACGATATCCGTATGCTCACCTCCCTGGCCCGGAATCTGAAGGGCCTCCTCCTGGCCAGGCTTGGTGAAGGTGCCGAGAAGGGGCCGTGTTGCCGCGAGCCACCCAAGGTGGAGCTCCACACCGAGCTCTTCCCCAAAAAGCACACGCTGCAGTTCTCGTCTGGTTCATCCCTTTAATCAGTGTGTGTGACCTTTTGTAGGCCGTCTTGGCCAGCCCACCGTTGCTATTAGCACTGATTCTGGAGCAAAGTGCCTGTCAAGCTTCAAACCCACTCCCGCACCTCACATTTTCGTGAATTGCGAACTGTGTGTGCTGCGGGGAGCTGGGCGACACTGGCTGCTGTTCTCCCAAGCCCCTCCCTCCCCAGCAGTCTCTCCTCCCTCAGTCATACCAGCCTCCAGACATAGCCCCATCCAGGCCACAGGGCGTAAAAATCAAACTGGACGTGAGTGGAGGCAAGAGTGTGATCTGGCTTTGAATTCCAGCCTCGCTGCTGAATGTCTTCACCCTTGAGATCCCAGAGGGGCTGTAAAACCTAAATTCCACATTCCCATGGGTATATGGAGTCCACACGCTCTGCATCCACTCCATAGAGGCTGGAGTTTCACAGAGTGGGCATCCCTCACAGTAACTTTTACCAGCATTTCTCAGATTTGTGTGGAATGTGTAAGAATTGATCAACACGAACATTTCTAGGCTATTAGGGATACAGAGGTTTTGATGGAGAAACTCTTGAAGATATTTTAAAAATTAAAGCTGAACACATTTTGAAACGGTAGCACCTCCTGAGCCCAGCTTTACTCCAGGGAGAGTAGGGAGAGCTGGCCCTTGTTGTCAGGGTAGCCAGAGGACCGTGCAGGGGGACATTGTGGAGAGCTCTTCCCCTCAGCTGAGAGGAAATGGGGGTCCTCGTCCCTCATGCCAAGTGACACACCCTGGGATGAGGCCCTGAACTTTGCTTTGCTCTTCACCCCTGAGCAAACCACTAACTTGAGGCCATTTCTGAAGACAGTGCAAGTTCTGGAGTCTGAATGCTTGCATTCCATTTCCACTCGAACATCCGCTGTGTGACCTTGGGCAAGCCGCTTGGCCTCTCTGATGCCCCAGTTTTCCCACCTGTAAATAAAACGAGGGTAATGTCATCATCCACCTCAGAGCATGAGGTGAAACAATATAGAAGGCTCAGCGCCATATCAGGAATATAGCAAGCACTCAGTAAATGCCGTGTGCTATTAGCAGATTTTTTTCTCTAAATTTAGAGATAAAAGATATCATCAGATTTACTGTAAATTTAGGAGACATATTTTAATGGTGTATCTATTCTGGGGTGCCACAACTTCACAGAAACGTAGAAACTTTGGATGAAGTGAAAACTAGCAATGACATCAATTAAAGGTTTAGAATATAGCCCGTTAAGGTTGCTAAACAATTTCAGTTTTAGGCCAGTTGCGGTGGCTCATGCCTGTAATCCCAGTACTTTGGGAGGCCAAGGTGAGGGGATAGCTTGAGCCCAGGCATTCAAGACCAGCCTGGGCAACATGGTGAAACCCTGTTTCTACAAAAAATTAGCTAGGCATGGTGGCATGTGTCTGTAGTCCCAGCTACTTGGGAGGCTGAGGCAGGAGGATTGTTGGAGCCCAGGAGGTCGAGGCAGCAGTGAGCCGAGATTGCACCACTGCACTCCAGCCAGCCTGGGCAACAGAGCAAGACCCAGTCTCAAAAAAAAAAATTTTTTTTCAGTTTTATTTACATAGAAAACATAGGTCTAAATGGTGGCTTAATTTCTCATTCTTTTAAAGATGGAAAAATTGTATTTGGCATTTGATAGAATTCAGCACTTTCTCTCTTTCCCTGGAAATAGTCACAGATTGTGGGCTTACATTAGAATCAGTCAAAACTTTTTAGAAACAAAGAAGTAGTTTAGGACCAAATAGATTGTTAGTTGCAGGAATGGGGAGCTGCAGAAGGCTGTGCAGGTTTTTTCCCTTGAGCCCCTTCAAGGCTTATAAGACGAAGATCATCCTCCTGGCATGGTTGGGACATGAGTCTGCCCTCATCAGCTCAGACACCTTGCAGGGCCCATAAACAAGTAATTGTAGTACACATGCTGAGCACCACGCTGGCAGCAGGCACAGGGTGCCCAGGGACCACAAAAGAGGTGTCCCCACATGCAGGTCAGGGAGGCTCCCCTAAGGGAGCTGAGCCTGAGCAGAGCTTCCAGGATGCCCAGGAGCCAGCACGGTACACTTCCCTTGGGGTAGCGTCTGTTGCATCAACAGAAATGCAGAGGAGGATTGCGTGCTTTTCTTGGGGGTTATGTTTCTACGTTTTTAAATGATTATGTAAAAAAATTGGTAATCCCAGGCAGCTTTCTGGCCTCTTACTTTGTGATAAGATGCTAAGCTTTCTCTTCTTCTTCCCTCTCCCAGATACCTACTGGAGCAGGATTTCCCAGGCATGAGGATTGGTCCGGAGCCCACCACAGACTCCTTCATCGCCGTGATGTATGGAGAGACTGAGGGCAGCACCCCAGGGAATGCTTTAGTCGTGGACCCCAAAAAGCCGTTTAGAAAGCTCAGTCGCTTTGGAAACGCTTTCCTGAATCGGTAAGGACCAGCAAGCTGCCATCTTCGGTCAGGCTGTTTAAACCTTTTCTTTGAATTACTGCCAGTTACATATAAAGGTTCAAAAACAGAAGAACAAAGAATCTCTGCTCTAGAAGTCATACAAAATATGTTTATCATATTAAGATATTTGAAAGACTATCATAGGAAATAATCATTTATGCCTATTCTGGGTAACTTGAGAGGGCAGAGCTAAGGCCCAGAACTGGACATTATAAGGCTGCACAGGGCCAGGTGTGTGGCTCGTGCTTGTAATCCAGCACTTTGGGAGGCTGAGGCAAAAGGATTGTTCGAAGCCAGGAGTTTGAGACCAGCTTGGACAACGAAGTAAGACCCTGTCTCTGCAAAAAATTTTAAAAGTTAAAAAATAAAAATGCTTACAGTATAAGGAACAAATTTCTAATAATTTGAGCTGCACAGAAATGGATTAGGCTGCCTCATGAGGCAGTGAGCTCCTCGTCACTGGCAATGTTAAGCACTGGTTAGACAGACACCTCTCAGGCATGGTGCGCTGGGCTTCTGCAGTCAGAGAGCTTAGCCCAGAGGACCCCTAACCTTCACCGGACACTCGGATTTTACCCACTGACTCCAGAACAGGACCCCTCACCTCCCTGGCTGTCCCTTTTGCTTCTCACTCCCAGCTTTGAGCTGTTTCCTTATTCATCAGAGCAGGGCCAGGGAAACAGAGTGAAAAACATGAAAAGCTGATTTTCTTACGTGGTCGTTTTTTTTTTTTTTTTTTTTTTTGCGGGGGGGAAGATAGAGTCTCATTCTGTCTCCCAGGCTGGAGTGCAGTGGCATGATCTCCGCTCACTGCAACCTCCGCCTCCCAGGTTCAAGCAATTCTCCTGCCTCAGCCTCCCAAGTAGCTGGGATTACAGGCACCCACCACCACACCCAGCTAATTTTCGTATTTTTAGTACAGACAGGGTTTCACCATGTTGGCCAAGCTGGTCTCAAACTCCTGACCTCAGGTGATCCACCCGCCTCGCCTTCCCAGAGTGCTGGGATTACAGATGTGAGCCACCACACCCAGCCTACGTGGTCACTATTTTATAGATGTAAAGTTGTGGGGTCACTGAGGTTCTGCCTCACTTGGAGATGTGTTTTATTTGTACTCCTCCCATAACCTTTCATTAGAGTTCCCAGTGGAACTGAGGGCTGCTGGCCTGGGGAAGACAGGCCAGCTGGTACCCCTGGCTACAACTCTGCCCTTTCCCACTGGATCTGCCTTCCTTCCTCCCTCCTGCACCTCCTATTTGCTACCCCTTGCGTTTGTGTAATGCTTTTTTCTTGTTTCCTATCATCCCTCTCCCACCCCTCTATTTCCCTCTTTCCTGGGTCTAGCTTTCGTGTGGCTGATTTGGAGGAGTGGGTTGTAGGAGGCACAGAGCTAGGGAGGGTCATCCGAGCCTCTTTAGGGAGAGGAAGTAGCATTAGAGCTGACAGTCCACATCTCCTTTCTAGAAGTTTTTAAAAATAGGAACGGATCCTCCCAGCCGGCTGCTGTCCTCCCAAAGGCCGAAGCGCCTCATCGCGCAGCTCCAGGGGCACCATTCATGTGGCCTGGGGAATGAATGATGTGCTGGATGCTGTGCACTGGCTCGGCTGAGGGCCACCCAGGCCCCTCCGCAGGTGCCTTCTGTGGAAGATGGAACTCTCCGGGGAGCTGAATTCTCCATTAGGGGCTTTTTGATGATCCTATTGCAAATCAAAGAAAGCAACCAGGGAACTTGGCAGTGGGATGAACAGAAACCTGCAGGTGATGTGGAAGGAGTCCCAGAGGAGTTCCATCTTATTACTGATGGTGATAGGAACACTGTCCAGGTGATTTTTTTCCAACCTGCAGGGCTGACTTTTCTAGGAGGAGTTTACTCTTCAACTCCAGAGCTGACTTGGTTGGCACCAGAGTGTCTCATTGTGGGAGAGGGGGTTAAGCCCTGGGCGGGAGAACCCCAGAGGGTCAACTCTCCAGATCTCTCAGGACAGAGTGGCCCAGGGTGGAGGGGAAGTAGACCAGAACAGGAGGCCCCAGAAAGTTCAAGGCACAGGATCTGTCTCTGTGGAAGGCTTCCCTGGGGTCCTCTGGTTTCATTGCCACTGCCCTTTGTCTGGGGCTCTTTTTGCCCAACAAAGGCTTAACGAAATAAGCTGCCAGTTTTTTCAAATTCCCACTTTGTGAAGTCTGAATTCACAAGGGAGAAACCAGGAAGAGTGGTTATTGGCTTGCTTTATTTTGGCAAATGATTTACTTTCCTAACAAAAAAAAAAAATGTTTTTTTCTTCTCAAATCCCAAGCACATGACAGATGAGTACAGAAAAGAAATTTTTAGGAACGATTTTGAATGGCAAAGCTCTTGTCTCAGAATTTAAAACTTGCTGAAAATAATCCATGCCTTATAATAAAAGCAAGTGTCAGTTGAATTCAGAATAACATATAGAAAAATAATAGCAAATAATTATATGGCATTTATGTGTCAGATTCTGTTCTAGACTTGTGTATTAGCTTTAAATCCTCACAGAACCCCTGTGACATGATGCTACTGTTATCCTCAATGGAGGGGGAGGAATCAAGGCATAAAGAGGTTACTTTAATTTCTGGGGGTCACTCCACCAGTGAGATCAGTGCTGGGACTGGAACCCAGGCCAGCTGACCAATAGTATGATGTTTGGACTGGGAATCACTGCCCAGTGCCCCCTATTTAACTCTTAGGGTTAGGGTTAGGGTTAGGGTTAGGGTTAGTAAGGCTGTTCCTAATGTAGCCCTCCAGTAATGATGATGAAGATGACGGTGATTATGTCCCAAGTCATCACTTACGTAATTTCATGTACATTATTCTTTTGGCGTTGATAACACAGACAATACTGTTGCCAATCTACAAATGAGAAGGCCGAAAGCAAAGACATGACTTGCTCAGGGAGAGGCCATCAGGAAGAGGCAGAGAGGGGATTGGAATCCAGTGTTCCCCTTCTCCCCTGTCCCACACCCTATGCCTCTGCTCAGCATCGGCCAAGAGGAGTTTCTGTCCTTCTAGCCAAGTGTGTGTCAGGCTCACGTGTAAGGGACATGCCTCATGTAAACTCATAGCTACTTAAGAGTAAACAGCCTCATTAAGTAGTATCCACAGGACAGTGCCACTGCATCACACAGCAGTTATTTAAGAAAGAGTCAATTAGTTAGGGCGTTCAAATATGTGTACATAATTATAGCTTCCGTCTGGGAACAGCACAGGGTTAGTACTAGAGGCAAACCTCTTTTCACATAGCATACTTCTCTGGGAACTAGGTCAAAATGTAACACCTAGTAAAGAAAATTGCTTGTTTTCTGCGGAGAACTTTCTCTCCCAAGCAGCCACACCAGAATCTCCCTGTGACAGATCGTTATTACCTGGCCTTCTCCTTAAGGAGTGCTGGCTTGGGCATCTGCCCCCAGGGGCATCTTTAAAAGAGTTAAGTACCAGGTGATACCTGGAGGGGGACAACACCCTCCACCATTAAGCAAACCAGCAAAGCCCGAGTCACAGCCTCCCAGGCTGGCTTCTAAGGAGCGACAAGGGGTCTATGGTGCATTTCTGAGAAATGAAGATAAATTCCTAAAAAGGTTTATATTAGAGAAATTCCATACTTGAACAATAAAAGGAGTTTAGAACACACAGAGGTCTATGGAAATGGCTTTAGTGAGACATTCTGAAACTCTAGCAGACTGCTGTGCTCACGACGAATTCCTCAGTGGCCCATCTGGGAGCAGCTCTGGGGAGGTGCTTGTTGACATTCCAGAGGTTGCTATCAGGAGGCAGTTGCCCCTCACAGAGGAGGAGACAGCCAAGGGCACCCAGAGCATTGGATCCTCTGAGACGCCAGGGAAGTGCCAGGCATTGGGGTCTGACATTTCCCCTTGCAGTCTGCTTTTGAATAAGATGTTATGTTATTCCTCAGTCTCCTTTTCTAAAAAATGGTAATGTGTATATTTTCAAATTCAGATAGCTGTAGACATTTTTTGTCTAGGATCTAGTATTATTTTAAATTGTTATCTTCCACAGAAGAAATTCTTAATCTCATGTACTTCCTCATTGCCTCTGTTTCTTTCTAAAAAATAACTTGAATCACTGGCCCTGGGAATTGAAATTTTGAAACTTCCCTTTGAGCTGAAGGAATGTGAACAGCCCTTCCAGGGCTCAGTCATTTTAGCTGGGCCTGATGATGGTGATGATAAACAACCACTGTGTTATGCTTGAATGGTGATTCCCCCATCATAAAATACGCAGGTGTATTATTGACCTTCTACTCCATTTGTTACTTCTGTATTTGTAATTAAGCGAGGCTTCACTCAGTTTAGCTTTTGAGTTTTGATTTTATTTTATTATTATTATTTTTTTGAGATGGAGTCTTGCTCTGTCACCCAGGCTGGAGTGCAGCTGCGCAATCTCGGCTCACTGCAACCTCTGCCTCCCGGGTTGAAGTGATTCTCCTCTCTCAGCCTCCCGAGTAGCTGGGATTACAGGTGCCCACCTCCATGCCCAGCTACTTTTTGTATTTTTAGTAGAGATGAGGTTTCACCATGTTGGCGAGGCTGGTCTTGAATTCCTGACCTCAGGTGATCCACCTGCCTCGGCCTCCCAAAGTGCTGGGATTACAGGCATGAGCCACCATGCCTGGCCAAATTTATGTATATGTATGTGTGTGTGTATGTGTGTATATATATATATATATATATATATATATATATATAGTCTCACTCTGTTGCCCAGGCTGGAGCGCGGAGGCACGATCACAGCTCACTGCAGCCTCAACTTCTGCTCCAGCAATCCTCCCACCTCAGCTTCCCGATTGCTGGGACGACAGGCGTGTGTCACCATGCCCAGCTAATTTTTGTATTTTTTGTAAAGACAGGGTTTTGCCATATTGGCCAGGCTGGTCTTGAACTCCTGGGCCCAAGCAGTCTACCCGCCTTGGCCTCCCAGAGTGCTGGGATTACAGGCATGAGACACTGTGCCTAGCCAAGTTTTGAATATTTGATAGTCACTGTGTACCACTGGGAATTTTTAAAAACTGACTTACTAAAGTTCACAGCATCAGTCCAAGCACGTGCGGCTTCCCCCAGCCAATTTAGCTGCAGAAATTAAGGAAAACAGGCTTTTGCCAAGAATGACTCTTGATTCACCAGCAAAATAATTTTTTTTTAATCTGAGGGAATAACTGGGTTGTCTTGTGCATGTGTATTGTGGTTCATTTATCTATAATAAACTTGCTGAAGCTTTCCCCATTATTCTTTAACCTCAAGATTTGTTGGCCAGCCACGGTGGCTCACACCTATAATCCCAGCACTTTGGGAGGCCGAGGCAGGCCGATCACTTGAGCTCAGGAGTTTGAGACCAACCTGGGCAACATAGCGAGAGACCTTGTCCCTAAAAAAATAACAATAATAAAAAAGATTTGTGGTGGTTCCCTGGGTGGTAGTTCCCTGGTCACTAAACCATCGTGGTTTTTTTTTTGGAGGCGGAGTCTTGCTCCATCACCTATGCTGGAGTGCAGTGGCGCAATCTTGGCTCACTGCAAACTCTGCCTCCCGGGTTCAAGCAATTCTCTGCCTCAGCCTCCCGAGTAGCTGTGATTACAGGTGCTCACCACCACACCCGGCTAATTTTTGTATTTTTAGTACAGACAGGGTTTCACTGTGTTGGCCAGGCTGATTTGAACTCCTGACCTCGTGATCCACCTGCCTTGGCCTCCCAAAGTGCTGGGATTACAGGCGTGAGCCACCGCGCCTGGCCTAAACCATTGTTCTTGACTAGCAGCTGCCTGTACATTTCTGGTCCTGACATTCCAGAAATGCCTTTCTCCCTGGGGTCAGGCAGACCTTCCTGGCTGGGCCATTGCACTGGGCTTTCCCCTGTGGCAGTCAGGAGGGGATTTATAAAAGTACATATTTAGGTTGAACCATATGAAATTGGCAGTCTTAAATAATCTTTAACCTTTAAAAGTGGTAATTAGTTTCAATCTAATAGGGCAACCAGGGGCTTTGCTGTAATCTGGATGTGAAATTCAGTTCCTAGTTCTTCCTAGGCACTGGAAGATAAGATTAGCCATTTGTGGTAGGACCATATAATAAGAATTATTACAGTTCAGTTGTCAAAGTCTTTTTTGTGGGTTGTGTTCTATTTACTGTGCAAATTTAGGAAGTTGTATTATCTCTCTGGTTTTACCCTCATCAATAAAGTGGGCTGGGGTGAAAAGAAGTACTTTGAAACAATTCTATACTCTCTCCGCTGTAAGCTTAGGTTTATTTGAACCTAATGGCAAACCTGGAAGTCCGCAGGCCTGGTAGAATTGCTCAGAGAGGTTTAGAGACCTGTGCAAGGTCAAGGTCTCAGAATGAGTAAGGGAGACGTCTGGAGCCTAAATCTCCTACCTCCTGTTCCCCACCCTGACAGACACTCCACACCACTAGGTAGAGAGCAAACCACACAAGGAAGCCTCTTAGGGGCAAGTTCCAGGGCTGTGGCACGTCACCCCTTTGTTTTAGGATGTTGCCCTGCACATGATATGCCACACAGCAGTGGTTCCAGTGTGTGCCATGGTGATAGTAGCCCAGGAGTGAAGAACCTGGGCTCTGCAGTCAGCACTGCCAAGTTCATGTCCCAGCTCCATCACTTCTCAGCATGTTATGGCATGTGTCTGCTCTGTGCCCAGTCTCCTCCTCTAAATGCAGAGGCTCACAGCCCTACCTGTAAGGCTGCAGTAAGGCTGGAGTTAATGTGCATGGAAAGTACTTCAAACTGTGCCTGACACCCAGTAAGAGGTGAGGAAATGTTTGTGCTATTTTATTATTATTATAACTGCTACAGATATTACTGTTTTGTTGAGAAATCAAAATCAGTATTAAGGTACTGTCTGGTTCTTCTAAAAGTCTAGTTTTTAAAATGCTGATCATTTAATTGGAATTTTAGTGTTTGGGGGAAATTTTAAGTAATCTCCTTGCCCCCTCCTTCTGTAGATATGTATGTATGTATGTATTTATCTGAGACAGGGTCTCACTCTGTTGCACAGGCTGTAGTGCACTGGCACCATCAAAGCTCACTGCAGCTCCGACCTCCTGGGCTCAAGCCATCCTCCCACCTCAGGCTCCTGAGTAGCTGGGACTACAAGCGCATGCCACCATGCCCGGCTAATTTTATTTTTTGTAGAGACGAAGTCTCATTATGGTGCCCAGGCTGGTCTTGAACTCCTGGGTTCAAGAGATCGTCCCCACTCAGCCTCCAAAGTGCTGGGATTACAGGGAGAGTCATGGTGCCTGGCTTTGCTCTCTCCTTTTACTGTGTGGCAGGACTCCTAGCAGCTTGCCTGAGACCTCATAGCCTGGACCATTACTTTATCCCCCATCTCTGCTACCCCTGGCCCTTCCTTAGACGTGGAGAGGATATGGAGTTGAGGGGGCAGCCTAGGATCTTCAGTTGCTCCGTCTTCTTCTCTTACTTCAGAAGACAACATTTATCAGGTCATCCTCGGGTGAGGGCCATGTGAGGCTCCTGGGTTGAACCAGCATGTGTCTGCATATTTTACGTGAAATGTAGAGGGCAAGGCACAGATCCTCCTTGTGTTAATCTCCCCAGGAAGGAGTAGGAAATCCATCTTGGGACAGCAAATCTGTGCTTGGAAGCATTTCAATAAGCTGGGCCGGCCAGGGCCCCCTTACTGGGTGTCAGGCACCGTTCAAAGCACTTTCCGTGCACATTAACTCCAGGCTCACCACAACCTTACAGGTAGGGCTGTGAACCTCTGCTTATAAAGGAGGAGACTGGGCGCAGAGGAGTCACACGACATACCTTGCCCAGTCCCACGGCTGTGAGTTGATGGGGTCGGGACATGAACTTGGCAGTGCTGACTGCAGAGCCCAGGTTCTTCACTACTGGGCTACGACTACCACTGCACTGCTGTTATACACACAGCAAGTACGTTTGCCGTGCGCCTCCCTTTCTCAGAGAAGAAGCATGAGGCATGATTGCTAGAACACCATTAGGATTTTTTCTGATCCCAGCATAACTTCGTACGAATGCATTCATATGCAGTTGTCACCTCGCAGCATGAGCGTGGCACCACAGGGTCTCAATGCTCCTTTCTGTTCTCTTGCCTGCCCCTCACCCCTGGACACTGTCTTTCAGGGAGCAGAGTCCAGCTGTGCACCCAAAACCCCAGCTGCCCACTCTTGAGGTGCCCCAGCCAAAGCTCTCCCTCCGCCTCCACCTGCTGCTCCTCATCCTCTCTTTTTCAGCCATCCTGGGCTCCTCGCTTTGCCCGCTTGTATGCCATGTGGTGACGTCAGCACATCTCACGGTGGCTTGCTCTGTGGCTCCCGTGCCTGGCCTCTGCTGTCATGTCAGGAGGCCTGGGAGCTGTGGAAAGGCTGTCACTTTATACACAGGGAGTGAACAGTGTGCAAATTTTGAATCCCTCTGTTAGCCTCACCTGAGAATCTAGGGGGTGGCTGTTTTGGAAAAATGGATATTGAGTGTGAGCTTGTGGTTTGGGGAAAAGATCAGCCTGTCCACGGGAATGGTTTGCAGAAAATTGTTTCACGTAGGTGTGATATGTTCAGCTCCGCCAGATGTCTCGGGCCATCTGATGGAAAGAATGGGACGGCACTGAGAGACAATCATTCCTGACAAGAAACGAGGTTCACCACGGATGTGCCCAGAGCCCTGTTCCCACCCCAATTCTAGAGAATTGAATAATGGCATGGTGGGGTTTTTTCTGTGAACTTACAAAGAATGCTTGGTGAGCCTCATGTGCTTTATTCCCACAAACCTCTCCCCGTGTTGGGTAGTAGGGTTTATTTAAAGGTTGGGGTACAGGAGGGGACTGTGCACAAGTGTCTGCAGACAGGTGGAAATTGGGGGCTTCTCTTCCACTAACTTGACCCTTTACTTTTAATGTTATGAGGTTTTTAACTTTGTGGGTTAAATTCCACCCCACTGACATCAGAAACAGTAGGTTGCAGTCTGCAACCAGCCGTGCATTAGCAGCATGGCCTCAGAATGTCATAACTGCTTTGTGCTTCAACTTTTCCACCTGCAAAAGGATCCTAATGTCTTTTTCTATATCTTCCTGGGCCGATTTGAAAATGTAGGAAAGACTGTGTGAAAAATCGTATCCCAAGCCCCTTCAGAGAAAGTGATTTTGAAATGTCAGTAACGGCCGCTCATACCCAGGGCTGTGGTGTCCACATGTGCACTGTGGAGGCTGGCCAGGCCTCCCTGTCCTGCATTCCCAGCATTTTTACTTTGTGAGTAATCCCCACCACTTCCATCGTACGGAAGAATTGAGCTTTTAGCTTTCTGCCCACACAGACACAGATGTCAGCCATCCATAGTAAAGGAAAAGGAGAGGCATTCTACACTTTCTGCCTTAAACATGCACAGTGCCTCACAAAGGTCCATCCCAGACCCTGGTGCCCAGGGTGGAAGTAACAAAGCACTTCCTGCCATCACTTTTGGAGTTACTCAGTCTGAAAGCTAAAAGGACATCGCCAGACCCTGTCGGGAAGCCACCATTTTCATGTGAGGAACCCAAGACCCAGAGCAGGGAGGCCCTTACCCAGAGTCCCATAGCAGATTATCAGGAAACGCTGGGCAGAACTTGAACCCAGGTCTGCTGACCCACAGGCTAGATTTTTCCTCCGCACTCTGCTTCCGTGGAGTGGATACAAGGGCAGTGACTACAGGGAAAGGGACCAGGATCAGGAGGAGGAGATGGTATCAGGCAAATGAGGAACAAGAGGGGCCTAAAGATGCTCAGCCAGGGCCTTCCCCAACCTGGTCCCCTCACCTACTCTCCAGCTCCCCTAGACTCCTAAGCACCTGGAGGATGTTGGGTGTCACAGGTGCCTGCCCCTCCCTGGCCCTAAAGCCATAGGGGACACTGGGCTGGATGCTAAGTTCCTGGGGCATCAGATGGGGAAACAGGCCCCAGTCCCTTCAGCTTTCATGCTAGGAAATAGGCAGGGAGCTTGGGGCTCTCCAGCCCAGTGGGCCAGTGCATCCTGAAGAAGGCATGGGATTCCCAGGGGGAGAGGCCCAGGATGCTTGGGCAGGGGCCAGCATGGAGCCAGGAGAGGTGAGGCCCATGGCTTTGGAGGCAGGCTGACCTTGGTTTAAGGCACCGCTCTGAGTGACCCTGAGCATTACTTAACCTCTCTTATGTTAAGCATAATTCCTTCACCTCATGAGGTCAATATGAGGATCAAATGAGAGGATATTTGTAAGATACCTGCATGTTCAATAAATGTTAGCTAAAATCAAAATGAACAGAAAGGCATCAGGTGGCAGATGGCAGCAGGTGCTTGTGCACCTCTCATACCTGTCCCATGGGCCAGCATCTGTTCTCTGTGGCTGGATGGAGGTGCTATCAATCTCCTCCAAGCTCCTACTTCACAAACAACTTCATTAGGCATCCTCAGTTTCTGTCAGTCTCCTTCAGGCCCCCACTTTACAGATGTCAGTAAGCCCAGAGAGGCCAAGAAGCCCCATGGTTGGAGCACTCTGTGATGCCCAGTTTCTGACCCCTCCTTTGATCCGTCTCTTCCAGATTCATGTGCTCACAGCTCCCCAATCAGGTCCTGAAGAGCATCAGCGTCATCGACAGCCCCGGCATCCTTTCTGGGGAGAAGCAGCGCATCAGCCGAGGTCAGTGCCTGTCCCTGCCCCTCCCCACCAAGTGCTGGCTGAGGCCCTCTCTGCTGTGAGCAGAGGATTTCTGTCCCTATATTATTCTATCCGTCCTCCAGGACAGCTGTTGGGCAGCTGAAGGGGCCCCAAGTGTCAACCAGGAGTTCATAGCATCAAAGACTCTGCCCCCTCCAGAGGCTTATATTCTGTGAGAAAGACATTTGTCAAGTTACACATGAGTAAATGAAGATGAGGAGTGGGGTAAACAATGGGAGGTATCGAGGTGTGAGGGGACCTGGCTTGGCCTCGGGGGTGTTGGGAGAGGCTCCTGGAGGAAGCAGCATTGGAACTAGGATCTGAAGGAGTAGGAATTACCTAAGGGAAGCTGTGGGGTAGGGAGAGATTATGAAGCATTCAGAGGGGATCTGTGAAGGATAGAAAATGCTTGTGCCGAAGCATAAGTTTCTCCAGCCTTCACAAGACAAGGCTGAGGCAATAGCTGCTTCTAGGCCTGTGCTTTGTAGTCAAAACAGATGGGTCTGCTGGGTAGAGTGGCTCACGCCTGTAATCCCAGCACTTTAGGAGGCCGAGGCAGGTGGATCAGCTGAGGTCAGGAGTTCGAGAAGAGCCTGGCCAACATGGTGAAACCCCATCTCTACTAAAAATACAAAAATTAGCTGGGCATGGTGGTGGGCACCTATAGTCCCAGCTACTCGGAAGGCTGAGGCACGAGAGCTGAACCTGGGAGGCGGAGGTTGCGGAGAGCTGAGATCATGCCATGGCACTCTAGCCTGTGGGCAAAAGAGCGAAACTCCGTCTCAAAAAAAAAAAAAAAAACAAAAAACCGGTGGGCCTGCTATCTCCCTCCGTCCTGGAGGAAGGGGGCATCAGGGGCAGACCAGAGGACAGAGTTGACTTACGGAGAGGAAATGCCTGATCGGGAGGGTCAGGATGGGTTCCTGCCATCACAGGTCCAGAGGCAGCTCAAGTCTTTTCCTTGCCCTGGCCCTTGAAACAAAGGCGGGTTGCTGGGAGGGAGGAGATGGAGCAGATGCATCGCTGCCATCACTTCTGGCTGAGAACTCTTCACAACCCCTTGAACAGCAAGTCGGTAGCACCGTGCTGAGAAGTCTGGGCATGCCAGGGTTGAGCAGAAGCCTGTGTGGGGTCACGGTCGCAGGTTATGACAAGGCAGTGAACACCCCACAGCTCACAAAGCAGAAGTGCAGTTACATAGGCCAGTGAGGGTCCCGTGACAGGGGTCAAGAAAGGGATTCCGAGGCCAATAAGCCCTCCTTTCTCTTGGCATTTTGGGAATGCCATCTCTGCTGCTCCGTGGTCCCGCAGAGAGCTCGGGGCTATGCTGAGCCGAGGCCTCCCAGGGTGCCTGCTGTGCCTTCACTGTTTCAGTCAGGGACTTGCCAGCTATGGAATGCCATTAAGGTCACCTTTCCCGGGCCTCCAAGAACCTTGCAATTATGAAAAAAAAACAAAAAAAAAAACACCAAAAAACAGGTTAATGCTATTCATAAATATCTTGTTGGCTTTATTTTCTATTATAAAAGTATAGATGTTTATGGCAAAGGATTCAGTCAATGAATAAGAATTTAAAAAAAACTCACTGTCACATTTAACAATTATTAATGGTTTTCTCTCACTTCTTAGAGACTTTTTCCTGCGCATATGCAAACACATTTCTAATAGAAATGGGATTACCATGCACATTTTCTACACCTTGATTTTTCTTCATAACAGTCTACCTTGGACATCATTCCATGCCAGTATATTCAGATTATTTCATTCCTTTTAATAGCTACTTGGGTTCCATGAAAGTGACATAATATAGTTCATTTTGCTGATTTGTGGACATCATGATGGTTAATCAGTTTTTATGCTTACAAATAGTGCTGTGGATGGTCGTCTTTTTATGTGTGTCTTTACACCTCAGTGCCAATCAATTTTTTTTTTTAAGAGTCAGTTGAGGACCATTAATTTAGCCCCAGAAAGGTTGCTCTGCAGATAGTATGGATAATAAAGCAGGCCCATGTTCCACAGCTATTCTGAGCTGCCCGTGTTTCACTGCTTCTCCATTTCTGACTGAATATGCTGGAGAAATATGTGGTCCTGCTAACTCTTTCTTTTTACCTCTAAATTTTAAGGCCTCCGGATTTTGGCTCCCACCATATGCATTTGTTTTCATTGGTAGGCCTTTAGCCAGTTCTGTTCACCTGAGTCTTGCAGCGTCTCTCCTTTGCTTAGTAATCGTGTCTTTCAAACTGTAGCTCCCTTACAATAGTGTTGACACGTGGATTAATGCTTCCAGAATGCTTTGAAGATCAGTTCTTTGTATCACTTTATAATATGATCTGACTCATATCCTGGTCTGACTTACTATGGCATGTACTTACTCACATCCTATGCACAGAAATAGCATATATGTTCCAGCCAGTCGGCGGTCCCTGCCACACCGACGGACACAGCAACAGGTGGGGAAGGACCCAGAGCCACAAGCGATGACAGCACGACGGGCCACAGCTGTGGTTCCCAAGCCCGGTGCCACACGGTGTTAGGGGCGCAGCTGGTGGTGGAAGTCACTCAGCTGACATTTTCAACACACTAACCCCAAAGAATGCATACTGTTGTAAAGCAGCTTCAGCTCAAACGATTGCAAACAGTGCCACGTTCTCACGTATACTCACACCTACACCCAGCTTCGTAAGACCAGCTTCATAAGACCACAGCCCCACCTTTGCCAAGAATTAATGTCAACATGGGATAATAGACTGGGTACAAACTGTGACCCCACAAGATGTTTAAAGCATCCCCCACTGACTTTATTGGCGGGTCTTTGCCTCCCTTATGGGCATTGTGCCTGGGAAGGAGGAAAGGTGGCCGCTTGTGTACTGCCCTCCACTGCTCCTCCTTTCCCCTTTGTGCGGTTGATGATTAACCCTCAAAAGCTGAGTGGCTGGGCGCGGTGGCTCACGCCTATAATCCCAGCCCTTTGGGAGGCCGAGGCACGAGGATCCCTTGAGTTCAGGAGTTAGAGACCAGCTTGGCCAACATAGTGAGACCTCATCCCTATTTATTTAAAAAAAAAAATACATAGCATTCCAGGGGAGTAAACGTCATCTAAATCTCCTGTTTAGGAGCCGTATAAATGAAACCCATGAGGGCAATTGATTTTGGAGCAATTTTTAGTATACTACTCCGTATGGAAACTCCTTACCCCTCAAGTTTTCCTTAGTTCAATTATGGTTAGCAGAAAATCTTTTTTTTTTTTTTTTTTTTTGAGACGGAGTCTTGCTGTGTCACCAAAGCTGGAGTGCAATGGAGTGCTCACTGCAGCCTCTGCCTCGCAGGATCAAGTGATTCTCCTGCCTCAGCCTCCTGAGTAGCTGGGACTACAGGTGCCTGCCACCATGCCTGGCTAATTTTTGTATTTTTAGAAGTGACGGGGTTTCACCATATTGATTCTTGAGGGCTTTCCTTAACATTTCCTTAACATTGTCTAGGAAGACTTAAAGATGTTTGTATATAAATGTTAAAATGATAATCAGTATGGTAACCATATTGGCCAAACTGGTCTCAAACTCCTGACCTCAGGTGTGATCCACCCGCCTCGGCCTCCCAAAGTGCTGGGATTACAGGTGTGAGCCACCATGCCTGGCCATTGGCAGAAAATCTTTAGGGACAACAGACTAGGTTAGTTTAGTTACTAACCTGTAGCTTTCCTGGCTGACGTGAAGTGTTGAATTCCCATCAAGCAAGGATAAAAGTGTTCTGATATATTTATAATAATAATATTCTGATCAAGTAATAGCTTCCTAAAAGTCCTACAAACTTTTCTTGATTTCTTTTCTTGTATTTTAGTAGCCAATGAAAGAATGTTTGGATTCCTGCGGTTTTCTAAATTGCTTTCTTGAAGTGTGTGGGTAAATCTGAGTTGGTTCACTCTTCAGAACATCCTTTGTCCTTGGTGATAGCAGCCAGGTGTTTGACTCTGCGATGAGAAGAAAGAGCACCTTTATCCACACGCATAGCATTTTCCTTCCCACTCGACCTCTTATCATGCTGGCCGCTGAAATACTGTTTCCTAGAATACTATTGAGTCCATGCTGAACCTAAACATAATCTAGGATATATTTCTAGAGTTAGCATGAACACAAGTGTGTTCCCAGCTACTTAGTACAAACCTCCGGATTCTGACTCCAATCATAACATCCTTTGAAAAATTATAATGTAGCAACTGGTATTCTTATCAATCTATTTAGCATTTGGCATTTTCAAGGTGCTGTTTTAACCACAGATTATTCCTATGGTTTCTTGAGAATATGAGGTTTTGCGTAGCCTTCAATAGACTTGATTTTGGTAATAAAAATAGTACAGCTTCTCCCTTTTAAAAATTTAAATAACTCTAGAAGGAAAAAGCTCTATCTAAATTTTCTAACAGATCGACTTATTCTCTCAGGAACAACAGCTGTCAAATGAAAATTCGAGAGTGTCTTTTCCTGATGTTTAAGCTCTCGCCTCTTAATCCCAGCCTATTCATTATAAACCAATGAATAGAACTGGGAAGACAATGAAAAATAAAAGGACAGAAAATGCCCTGCTGGTAAAAGCAGTGGACAGTAATAGTACATGAAGCCGGGAGGATCTAACTGCACTTCAGGTAACATGACGGGCAATAACAGAAACTTCAGAATCACTGATTACCATTTTAACGTCTATATACAAACATCTTTAAGTCCTCCTAGGCAATGTTAAGGAGATGTTAAGGAAAGCCCTCAAGAATCAAAAAGGCGCCTGGGTAGTGATATAAACAGGAACAGGCTGTTTCAAGGGCCTGCCAACACAGCTAAGGTGCTCAAACACAATACAGGTTGAACATCTTGAAACTGAAAATTCAAAATCCAAAATCCTCCAAAATCCAAAACTTTTTGACGTGATGCCACAAGTGGAAAATTCTACACCTGACCTCATGTGACGGGGCACGATCCAAACTTTGTTTCATGCACAAAATTATTTTAAATGTTCTGTAAAATTACCTTTAGGCCATCTGTGTATGGTGTCTATGAAACATAAATGAATTTAGTGTTTAGGCTTGGGTCCCTTTCCCAAGATCTCTCATTATATATGTATGTGCAGATATTCCCCAATCAGAAAATCTGAAATCCAAAACACTTCCAGTCCCAACCTTTTCGGATAAGGTTTACTCAACCCATATCTCAAAAGAATCGACAGAGCTAGGAAATGGGGCCTGGACATCCAAGCTGTGACTAAGAGGGGTGCAGAAAAAAATGAAAAAGGCACCAGCAGACCACAATCAGGGAAGTACAAATGCATCCACTTTTGAACTTTGAAGACAAAAGACCGGATTTTGAAGCTTGCTCGGGAAAGGAGAGAGAACACTTAGAGATGTCCAGATAAGAATGACTTCCCCTCTCAGGCTTTGGTAACAAGAAGGATTTGAGAGGAAAACACACACATATGCAAAAAAGAAATGAGTCTTTTTTCCTAAAAGACCAAGAACCCTCAGTTCCCTTCCATTGCTCTATGTGTCTATCCTTCTGAAAGGCTGTTGATCAGAGCCTGGCTGGAGAGATGGGTGAGCTCTCTAGCCAGCCAAGGCAGGGCGCTGTAGGCCAGCGTGCAGACAAACTGAGACGAAGACATGACACTCTTACCACAGCCTCTGCCTAGCACCGAGTCGAGGGAGAGAGAACTGTGGCTGCCCTTCCTGTTGATATCTCTTCTAGACAACAGAAAGAGTGTATGAAAGAACAGAGAGAGATATGTGAGCTCAGGGCCCTTGGAGGAACGGAAGCTGTGCATGTGGCTGGAACATGGGTCCATGGCAGGTGGGCGCATGTGGCAGGAGACTCGAATTTGTCCTGAAGGCCACATGGAATACTGAGGGGTAGGAGGTATGGGAGGACGTGGTGGAGAATTCTGTAGAATAGAACATGCAGCCACAGGCGTGGATCATGAAGCCATTTTTTTATTTAGAGTTTGCATTCAGTGACCTGACTCTGAGCTTTGTCTGGATTTGGCAGTGACAGAAAAGTGTCCATCCCTGGAGGCTGGGGCCCAGCCCTGATGATTTGTTGGCAGATCCTGTTTTCCAGCCAGGGCTAAGGCCAGTCTGAGGTTGGGTTGTGAGGTCCTGGACATCACTAGCCACTTGGGCCTCTAGCAGGAAATCCTGATTTCTTTTTGTTTCGGGGAAGTTTTGACAAACGCATCCAGACTCCTTTTCCGCTGGTGCCACGGGAAATTCCACACCACAAGTGTTACTGCTTCCGGCCCTGATGTGAGCATATCGCCACTGTGACTCACAACAGCGTTCGCCAGCCCCGGCAGCTAGTTTGAGTTTTTGTTAATACATCAAATGCATTATTGATTGTGAGAAATGACTGTTTTTATCTAAACTTGAAACCTTGACTTTTAGATGAAAAACAAAAAATTTTATTTGATGGGGAGAAGGACACTTCACTTACTTTGCATATAGAGCATTTCATATTTATGTTTATGATATAAAACATTTCACGGGATATCTCAGACATTGGGATACAGAGATTAATCAGAGAAAAACATTTGCTCCTTACTCTTTTGAGTAATAATAATAATAGCTAATACTCTCATAGTGCATTGTTAAGTGCTTTCCACATATTATTAACTCATTTGCTCCTCACAAAAGCTCTGTGAGGTAGGAGCAATTATCCCATTTTATAGAAGAGAAGACTGAGGCACAGAGAGCTTAAGAAATTTGCTGACAATCATGTAGCAAGTATGGTAGCTTGTCTTCAAAGATACTGCCTCCTCCCACCACCACGCCAAGACCTGTGCCTCCCAGCATTCGTGCCTTGGGAGTCTTCTCTTCATGAGTCTGGATTGACCTTCTGACTCACTTTTGATCAGTAGAATTCTGCAAAAGTGATACTTCATGATTTCCTAAGGCTAGGTCATAAGAAGCCCTGCAGGTTCCACCTAAATCTCTACAAGTGTTCATTCTGTGGAAAGCCGAATGCCATCTAAAAAGTCCAACTACTCTTAGTAGTTGTCATACTGTGACTGAGACGGCCATTCTGTGAGGGAAGCCCAAGCTAGTCACAAGGAGAGGCCAAGAGGCCCAGGCAGCCTCCTTGGCTGGTCCAGCTGAGATGTGAGTAAAGGGGCCATCACAGAACCAGCTCAGTTGAGCTGTCAGGTAACTCCAGCCCCAACCACTGTCTGACTATCACCTTCTGACAGACCCCAAGCGAGAACCCAACTGAGCCCAGTCAACCCACAGAACCTCCAGAGAAAATAGAAGTTATTGTTTAAGCCACTACATTTTAAGGTGGCTGATGACCAAAATAGCCAATAAGTGGTTGAGTGGGATTGAAACCAGGCAGTCTGGTTCCAGAGTGCGTGCTGTTAACCACAAGAGGCGTGGATGCAAACCAGGGCAAAATACAGCTGCCAGTCACACACACGGAGAAGGCAGCAAACCCCATGAGAAAATGTAATTGATGCTTTCCCCCAGCAACATCAAATCTCCTATTTTTTTCCTTTAGCAATTTTTGATGATAATTTTGCTTGGAAAAGAGTACACACTACCCTGCATTCTCACTCCTAGGATAGTGGAAAGGGGAAAGAGGTTTTCTTATGTTGAATGTCTGCTGTGCACCCCACTCTGCTGTGCCCCCTGGTCAATTTCTTAAGCACCTACTATGTGTCAGGTGCCAGGTGCCTTAGGTTTCACAGCAACAGTGAGACCTCATGGCTGCCTTCATGAAGCATATACTAGGGGAGATAGAGGAGCCAAAACACAAAACAAATGCAATTGAAACAAAGACATGTCCCACAGCAAGGGGTGGGCAGTCAGGGAGGGCTCTCTGAGGAGGTGGCATTTAGGCTGGACGTAAAGAATGGAGGGTTTGCCTGGCAGAGAGTTGGGGGAAGAGCTCTTCAGCAGGAGGAGCTGCATTGGCAAAGGCAGAGAGTAGGTGAGACCTGGCAGATTCGGGGAAGGCAGAGGCTAGGGAGCAGCCAGGAAGTGGTGGGTGATGAGATCAGGAGGCCCCCCCGCCACCTGCTGTGAGCTGTAGGCCCTGGGGAAGTGCATAGATTTTTCTCTGAGAGTACCAGGAAGCCACTGAAGGATTGTCTTTTTCAATCTTCTGTTGATTACCTAGAATTATTAGGAATGTCCGGGTCTTCCTGTACTGGGCAAGAACAGCCCTGGGCCTGCCACTCAGTTCTCTGGGCGTGTTTGGTTGCTGGTTTTTCTCTTTCCTTCGGCCGTGCAATTGCTGTCCTTTCCTTCTCTGTCATACATGTGGCATATATGTTCTAGGCCAGCCTTTCCCTGCTGCCCCCTCCTGCTCTGGAGTCCACACGGCTGCAAATGATGCTCGGAAGACTAGCACGGTGAGCCCCAGGGTCCACAGACAGTTATCACCTGGGGAGCTGTTAAAATGCTGCTTCAGCCAGGCAGAGGGGCTCACACTTGTAGTCCTAGAACTTGAGGCTGAGTCGAGAGGATCACTTGAGGGCAGGAGTTCCAGACCAGCCTGGGCAGCATAGAGAGACCCAGTCTCCACAAAAAATAAAATAAATTAGTTGGGTGTGGTGGTGTGTTCTCGTAGTCCTATCTCCTTGGGAGGCCGAGGCAAGAGAACCTTGAGCCCAGTAGTTTGAGGCTGCAGTGAGCTATAATTGTGCCACTGTACTCCAGCCTGGGTAACAGAGCAAAACTCCATTTATTTATTTGAAAAAAAAAAAAAAAAACTTCCTGGCACATGGTTCAGGGGCATCTGGGCAGGGTCCAGAGGGTTCTGATACAGGGGGCCCCATTTTGAGGAATCTGGGTTAGGGCTGAGCCACCACTCCTGAGCCTGAGCCTGTCCCTCCTACATACCCTGCCATCCCCAAAACAAGTGAAAGAAGGGGCTGGCAAACTTGGAGAACCTACCGAAACCAACCTGGGCTTTGTCCTGCATCTCTGTATGCCCGAGGGTGAAGGCTGCCCTCTCAGAGAACGGAGGGGAGAACTTGAGTGAGAGAGACGATGGGGTGGGGCAGGCTCTGTGACTAACCAGCCTCCTTCCAGGGCAGGGCTTTGGAAGGAAGCAGAGGTGACTGTCCCGCAGGAGTCACCAAGTGACCCTGTCGGCCTCATGGGCGTCTGACAGGGAGGGCGTGAGGCCTGATGCTGGGTCCTCTGTCTGTGTCTCACTGCTTGCAGGAGCACCCCCGCCTAGCCTACTTCGGAAGCTAGGATTTTTAGGAACCCCTAATGAAAATAAAGAAGGAATTTTTTTAAGTTTTCAGGTACACTTTGAAACGTTTAATAACCTTCCCTGGTTTTATGGGGACATTCCTGTTACACAGCCTCAATCCCTGTTGCTAGAGGTGGTAAAGCTTCTCTCCCTCCTAATCACTGTGCACCAGTGGGGAACCCCCAGCCTAGAAGGTGGGAGGGAAAGATTATAAATGCAGGATTCTAGGTGGAAGAGAGGCAGTGGCAATCCATGCCGAGAAACACTGGCCGGGCACGTTTCTCCCTGTCCCTGGCTCTTTCCCTTGCCAGCTGGGCAACCTGGGCGAGTTACTTCACCTCTTTGAGCTTCATTTTCCCCTGCTCTAAAACAGGGGAAGGTACTTTCTCTCGTACAGTGGGATCTTACGAGAATCTGAATGATCTGTGTTCATACCTAAGTGCTCCATAGATATCAGCCGTTCCTGTTATCTATGAAGCTCAGAGTGAGAGGGAAACAGCAAAAGGTCCTCCCCAGGATACACGTGTGGCTTGAATTCAGGTTTCATGTACCTGTGCCCGGCAGGCAGGCAGGCATCTCGACCATCCAAACAAGCCTGTGGTTGGGGAAACGCTGAAAATAACAAGGCTTTCAGGGAGCATCTGTATTTTCCTTAGAAAGACAGAGGGAGGTGGGGAGATGCAGGCACACTCCTGTGGGCCCTGGAGGAGGCTGACCTGAGCTTGAATCCCAGCATGGGGCCCTGTGAGCCTCTTTCCGCTTTTATAAAGTGAGGGAATTTTCCTTCCCAGGGTTGTTTTGAAGATAACATGTGTAAACCATTTAACATGGATCATGATTAATAACTGGTGATAGGGGCGGTCATGATTCATTTTATAGAACTGGGGTGGTCCCAGAATAGACGGACCCAGCTCAGAGGGCCCTCTCGGCCAAGCGCTCAGCATTTCCCAGGGGAGGGCAGAGGATGGCCGAGTCCTGGGACTCAGACAAGGGCCTTGCTCTTCCAGAGATCCAAAGCAGGGGCGGTGAGGGTGCGTGAAGTATTTGGGCCTGACCGTAGAGCTATGGAAAGCCACGAGAGTGCAGACAAGGGCTGGAGGTGGGAAACCTGCTGAAGAGAATGACCCGGGAGCAGTGTTCCCGGGTGTGGCTGAGGGGCCCGGCTTCTGGCACTCCTCCAATTCTTTTTGCCATAATCCTCTTTCTTGTATCTAGGGATATTTCTCACACATGCCCTGATGCAGTTTCCTCAAGAAACCTCCATTCACCTGTAATCTTAGTCTCTTTCTCAAAATTGCCTCCTGTTGGAATCCAAATCGAGATGCAAAGCACAAATCAGACCATGTATGCAGCGTTTCACCTTTCTGAAGCACCCTGCGGTGGGTAGGTGTGTATGTGCTTGGGACAAAAGGCTACAAAAAGATAGTGAAGAATGTCTGTACCACCCATATCCCCCAGTTCCTCTCCCAGAGCAGACCCTGCCTGCAGACCCTGGGGCTTCTCCCAGCTCACCCGCCCACTCACGTGGAGCCCTGGCGGGATTCGCTCCACTGCCCTGTGTCTTGATTTTCCCACTTATAGTAAATCTTGGAGCTTGTCCATGTCTGTACTTCGGAGCTGCCTCCCGCAGTCCATCATATAGATAGACCAGAATTAATAGGTGCCATCCTTTTGGTGGGTGACATTCAGGCTGTTCCTAATCTTTTGCCGTTACAAACAGTGCCACAGTGGATTTACACAGTTTAGCATGTACGGTGCAAGTGTATACAGTTGGCACGATAACGTGCAAATATATCTTGAAAATTGCTGAAAAGGGAGGAGCTTAAAAAAAAAAAGAAATTGCTGGCTGGGCGCGGCGGCTCACACCTGTAATCCCAGCACTTTGGGAGGCTGAGGTGGGCGGATCACGAGGTCAGGAGTTGGAGACCAGCCTGACCAACATGGTGAAACCCTGTCTCTACTAAAAATACAAAAATTAGCCAGGCGTGGTGGCGTGCGCCTGTAATCCCAGCTACTCAGGAGGCTGAGGCAGGAGAATCACTTGAACCTGGGAGGTGGAGGTTGCAGTGAGCTGAGATTGCGCCACTGCATTCCAGCCTGGGTGACAGAGCTAGACTCCGTCTCAAAAAAAAAAAAAAGAAATTGCTGAGTAGATTTTAAGTGTTCTTACCACAACAAAACAAGTATGTGAAGTAATGCATATGCTAATTGCACTGTCAATTTAGCCATTTCACATTGAATGCATATTTAATTTTGTTTTATTTTAATTTAATTTTACTTTATTTTATGTTTTATTTTATTTTGAGACAGGATCTCGAAGCTCCGTCACCCAGGCTGAAGTGCAGTGGCACGATCACAGCTCACTGCAGCCTTGACCTCCTGGGTTCAAGTGATCCTGCCACCTCAGCCTCCTGAGTAGCTGGGACTGTAGGCATGCACCACCATGCCCAGCTAATGTTTTGCATTTTTTGTAGAGATGGGGTTTCACCTTGTTGCCCAGGCTGGTCTCAAACTCCTAGGCTCAAGTGATTCACCTGCCTCAGCCTCCCAAAGTGGTGGGATTGCAGGCATGAGCCACTGCACCCAGCCTCAGTGTATACATATTTCAAAACAACATGTTGGACATGATAAATATATACAATTTTTCTTTATCAATGTAAAAAAATAAATGAAATAGAGACTAATCCAAAAAATGTGCAGATGTAACTCTAAGATGCATTCCTAGAGGTGGAATTTTGGAATCAAAAGGAGCGGCGGTCTTTTTATTATGTTAGCTGGTGCCAAAAATGCCACTGTAGAAGGCATGCCTGTTTACATGCCCACCATCTCATTATGATTCTAATTTTCATTCCTCATGGTTAGTGTGGTTGAGCATCTTTTCATGTATACCTTTTTAAAGTATTTCCTTTTCTGGAGGTATTTGACTGTTTTGAAATACTGTTGGTAACTACATGGGCTACTTTTAGCAAAATCAGTGAGTCATTTTTTTATAAGGAGCCCCGTGTGGATTCCCATGGTTCCCACTGACTGGGTCTTTCTTTCCATCTGTGACATAAGCCCAGAAATAACTGTCTCTGAGTAATAGTTTGGCTTGAGGAGCTGGTTAGCTGATAACTTAATTGCTAGAGCTGGTCTGCAGTGCCAGCTGTTGTCCACAGGCATGCAGGACACTTGTGCAATGCCAAGATGTTTGAAAAGAGGAACAGGGCAGGGCGAGGGGTGGGGTCTTCAGGTCAGAAGTTGCTTTCTAGCCCTTTATGACCCCAGTTGTCATCCCGTTGGTTTAACATTTCTCTTTAGAAAACTGTAGCCTGAAGAAACATTACCTTTGCCCTTCTGAACCACAGAATGACAAGATGCATTGTCACGGTCAAAGCCTTGCTTATAAATGTTTGACCTCATCACATTTGGGTGGAGTCTGTTGGCATTTTGCCTCAAGAAAATTCAGTGCAAGTAATGTTTGCCACGCCAACTCCGTCTGATTTATAGACATATTGTATGAGACTTTCTAGCCTGACTTATACACAAAGCCCACTTGAAAAATGAGGAATGGACAATTTCCATGTGCGTGACACGGGATTCCTGGATCTGTTCATCCTAATATATAATAATATCAGAAGGTTAGATGGGGTGACTTCTTAAGCATCCTTGGAAGTCATACATTCCACAACCCTTCCTCAGATAGTTTCTTTCAGTATAGAGTTGTTTGGAATTGGATGACAATAAGTTAAACTTTGGGGCAACTAATTACACCTATAGAAACATTCAAGGACCTTCAAATTGGCCCAAATGCTATATAGCACATGAATCCAGTAGAAGGGATGTAATAAAATGAAACTTACTGTTTGATAATTGTGTCATTTAGAGTTGTTCATTCAGTATTCCTGTAGCCATCTGAAGGGTCTACTGTAGCCATCTGAAGGGTCATCTTAGGCTGGCACTGTAACTAGTTCGTGTCTGTACTATACAGACGCTGAGCTAAATCGATTTTCCTGGGAATCTGGCTTTTTATTTCAAAGAAGCTTACTGTTTGGAACCACCCTATATAGCTAAAATTTAAGATCTAGAAAGAATCCTTTTTGATCATCTGACTCACAGGTATAGAAACTGAGGCCCAGCAGAATGAAATTGTTAAGCCAGGCTCCAGGACTTACAGGATTTTCTTGGTAGGTTTTTTTACCAACTTCCCTCTCCAGCAAAGAGCCTAAAATGACTGATAATACCATGTTGCTGTCTTTCTCCAGGGCTCAGCCTTCTTTAAATGGGCCTGCTTCTTCATCTGGTATTTAATCTGAGATGGAAAGTGAGATGCGAAACCCAATTTTCCCTTTCACTTGGTCACATGCCCAGAAGCAGCAGCGTTCAGTGGGCCGAGTACTGGCGTGGAACCTTCCTCTGTTCCCATGTCTGTGGCGTGGCACGAACCTGTGATGTGGGGCTCTCCCGCCCTTGCCCTGGAGGGGCCTTCAGGGACATGTGGCTCACCCATCTGTTATTGTCACATATCCCCCAGAGGAAGGAGGGACAGGCTGTGAGGTTAGCTTGTTTATTTTATGAGGAAACAGGCACAGAAAAATTAATTTACAGAGTCTTGGACAAAATCCCAAAGGAAGGAGGAGTGGGAAGAGCAGAGAGCGGATAAACAGCACAACGCCATCCCTGGACACGCCTAGTTCTTGCTTTTATTTAAATTTTGGTAGGTTCTGTGGCCACACCCACTTTAGGCTAGGTACTGGGAGACAACCTCTGGGGTTTTCTGGTAACCAGTTACATTCTCCAAGAGGTGGCCATTACCAGCTGAAAGGTTCGAGGTGAACTCACATCCAGCCTCTCCAAAAGGAGCTTGGGAACCTGTGTTCCCTCCGGGCAGTCTCCCAGACCGGGTTTGGTATCAGCCCCTCCCTGCCACTGCCCTGCATCTGGTCAGCTGGGGAAAAGGGGGCAGGGAGGAGAGAAGGCCAGTGGAGCAGAGCCATTCATTCTGTGGCTTATTTTGTCATCAGCAGGTCCCATTGCTCCCGCTGATTGGGGACTGCCTCTTCCTCGGGGGTGTAGTTGCTGAGATACTGCTTCCCCCTCAGGGTGGTGCTCGGCACACCCACCATAGCCTCTGGCAGGGAAATGCTGGAATCCAGACCTTCACCAGAAGCACCATTGTAGAAGAAAAAGAACAACCTCCTCAATAATAATGCAAGTGGGCCAATAATTTTTACAATATGCATATTTGTTTTCTTGATATAAAAATAATATATATTCATTGTAGAACACTTAGGAAACCACAAATCAAAAAGGAGAAAATAAAGTACACTCACCTCTGATTCTACCATCCTGGTACACATATGGTGCAGCGCAGCGGGTGAAAGCACAGGCTCTAGGATCCGAGTCCCTGGGTTTGAATCCGGGCTCCCCTGAGAAACAGCTGTGTGCCTTGGGTCGGATACTTAACCTCTCTGAGTCTTTTTTCCTCCCCTGTAAAATGGGGGTAATAAAAGTACCTACTTCATGGGATTGTTGCAAGGATTACAAGATTGTAGTGATATGGAGCTCACAGGGCAGTGCAGGAATGTAGTAAGAGCTAAGTAAATATTTGCTGCAGTTGTTGATTTATAGCTATCATTTTGCTCTCTGCCACAATGACATTTTCAGAAGACATTTTCAGAAGCAGACTTTTCTAGTTGCGAAGTAAACTCAGCCAGGAAACAATGCAGAGACTCCTTGCCCTGAAGTGGCTGTTATTATTAACTAAAGGGACTCTTTTCGAAGTGTATTTATAATACCTGAGCGATCCCAGATAGTTGATGTTTACTTTGAGATGATTTACACTTCCCCTAGTTAGTAACAACCCTTTTTTAGAAACGCATACCACTATTTAAGCAACTAAACTTGCCAGATTGCTAAAAATCAGTTACATTTCTTGTTCAAGTGAATTCACTTGATTAAACCAATTTTACTGTATTTTACTGTGATAAGAACACTTAACGAAATCTACCCTCTTTACGCATTTTTAAGTATCCATTACAAGCACAATGTGGCTATAGGCACAGTGTGGTTCCGCAAATCTCTAGAACTTATTCATCTTGCCTAACTGAAATTTTATGCTGGTTGATTAGCAAAGCCCCATTTCCTTCTCCCCACAGCCTCTGGCAGTCATGGTTCCCCTCTCTGATTTTGTGTGTTTGACTATTTTACATATCTTATACAAGTAGAATTATGTATGTTTGTCCTTCTGTGATGGGCTTATTTCACTTAGCATGTTTTTTTCCTCAAGGGCCATCCATGTTGTTGCATATTGCAGAATTTTTTTTAAGGCTGAATAGTATTCCATTGGATGTGTACACCACATTTTCTCTATCCGTTCATTCACTGATGGATGCTTTTCTTATTTCTACATCTTGGCTGTTGCCATAAAGCGTCCATCAATGAATGAATGGATAAAGAAATGATGCCAATAATGCTGCAGTGAACATGGGTGTGCAGATATCTCTTCAAAGTCCTGATTTCAGTTCTTTTGGACAAATACCCAAAGTGGGATTGCTGGATGATATGATAGTTCCATTTTTAGTTTTTGGAGGAATAAACCAAATGTATTGAACACCTACTGTGCTCAGTAGTAATTCCTGGGTGTATAGTGGTGAATAGAATAAGGAGTGGAGTCTCTGCCCTCAGAATTTCTGTCTTATAGTCAGCAAATGTATATACCATTTCAGAGTATAAGTGCTATGAAGGAAATTCATTAAAGCTATAAGACTCTATCCCCGGGAACCTGATTTGATAGTGTAAGGCATCTGCAGTGGGCCTTTGGGTTACAGACACAGTGAAGACTTGGCCCTGCTCTCAGGCTGCTACAGACCCCATCAGGAGGAAACAGGAAAGGCGGTTCTGTTCCACTGGGTGGGGGAAGGCCACCTGGAGGAAAGTTCCCCAGAGGGATGAGTGGCTGTAGTTGGAGAAGAGGAAAGGGCATTCCAGACAGAAAGAAAAGCCTGAGCAAGGGTGTGGAGACAGGGAAGTACAGGATGCTGCTGCGGAACAGCAGAGCCCAGTGTGGTTTGTGCAGTGGAGAGGGTGGGGCTTAGTAAGAGACTGAGCAAAGGTTGAGAATTGCAGCAGAGGCTAGTCATGGAGAATTTGTTCTGGAAACATTTATTCTAGACATAATCAGGGACACTCACAGTTTTGGAGATAATCTTTGAGTTCTAAGAAGGGATGGGGATCGTCTGAGGGCTAGATTAGTGAGGTTGGAACCTGGGGACAAGAAGGAACTCTTGGTGCCTGCCTCGTGCTGGATGCTCACTGCACGGGTGCTGGAGGGACACAAAGGTGAACATGCAGCCAGGAGAGCCTGGGGTTGCACAGACAGAGCCACACAGAAAGTGCTGGGGGCAGTGGTAGGAATGCCCACATGGAACTGGAGCTACTAACTATGGGAGGGGCGGGCAGGGCCTCGAAAAGAGGAGAGGTTTGAGCAGTTTTAGGCAGTGTTCCGTCACCACCACGGGCAAGTGGCCCTGCCCACCCCAGGAGTGGGAGGAGGGACATGGCAGGGGGAGCTCGGCTGCATTTCTGCCTGCCTTCCATTGCCTTGCATCCTTTCATTAACACACATCTTTCTTTGTTTTTTTTATTTAAGTAGAGACAGGGCCTCACTCACCCAGGCTGGTCTCAAACTCCTGAGCTCAAGTAATCCTCTTGCCTTGGCCTCCCAAAGTGCTGGGATTACAGGTCTGAGCCACCGCACCTGGCCATAGACACACATCTTGTTTAAAACTCATAATTAGAAACTTGGCTCTGAAAAGAAATGTAAGCATTATTTTTCTCTTGTTCTATTAAAAATAGACTGCCAAATTTGCTTCCTCAGGGACCCCCGTGCTATATTTACCTGAGCCAGGGAGCAACTGTTCTAACCCCTTATGCCATTCCCTGGTGGCTCTTTCTCTGGCCAGGATGGAGGACCACAGTTTCCACAGGGGCTGTGACGGGAAGCCCTTGATTGGGTAGAAGGGGCTCCTTCCTTCCTGCCCCCTCCTTTTGTTCCCAGAACATGGAGCCAGGAATGCCAATCTGGGATCTTCCGCAGGACAAATTCTTTCTCCTAGTTCCCCAAGCTGTGTAGCTTTTGGGTCCTTTGGCAAAGAAAGAAACTATATTTTGAAACAACTGGACTGATTACATCTCTTTTTTGTTCCAGACTAATACAAGTTTCACTGGAAGGTCTTAAAGGATTGAAATTTCTATTAATTGCATGAATAAGTGTTGAAAATATACTGAGCACCGTGGGATGATTCTATGATTATGTTGAGTCCTGCACCCACAACACACACTAGTACATGCAAACACACATAGGTCCAGATCGTTCCATGCCCCAGGCCACGTTGCATTGTGCCTAGCTGAAACCAGTTCTCACAAACTTGGAGCATTCTCACTCCTGTTCTGTCACCATGAGAGGTTTTCATCACCTTGGCCAGAAAGCAGGATGCAGGTTAGCCGCTTCGAGTGGTTCTTAAGGCCGATTTCTTCTAAAGCTTAAGGCTTCTACTATAGCTTCGTTCACCTCCATATACAGCCAGCTTAGGTATGTAGCCCCTTGATGAACAGATTTCAACTTCCTGGTCCATTCAGCAGTTTGTGGAGATGTGTATCTTTAAACAAGTTTAGCAGCCTTGGGATTTTTCTTTCTTTTCTTCCTATTTACTTTTGCTTTTTAAGTCAATTTTGTTGAAGTATAACATATGATTAAATGCACCTTTTTTTTTTTTTTTGAGATACAGTCCCTCGCTGTCACCCAGGCTGGAGTACAGCGGCACAGTCTCGGCTCACTGCAGCCTCCGCCTCTTGGGTTGAAGCGATTCTCCTGCCTCAGCCTCCCAAGTAGCTGGGATTACAGGTATCTGCCAAAAATTAGCCTGGCTAATTTTTGTATTTTTAGTAGAGACAGGGTTTCGCGAAGTTGGCCAGGCTGGTCTCGAACTCCTGACCTCAGGCGATCCACCTGCCTTGACCTCCCAAAATGCTGGGATTACAGGCGTGAAAAATGCATCTATTCTATCTAATTGTACAGTTTGGTGAATTTGACATATTTGCATACTCGTGTGACTATGGCCATCATCAAGATATAGAAACTTTCCATCACCCTGAGACGCTCCCTGTTTGTCTGTTCCACTCACCAGCCGGGCTCCCGTCATAGGCAGCCACTGCCTGCTTTCTGTCACTTCTCCCACAAATATTTCTTGCATCCCCCCTGTATGCCAGGCACTGGATACAAAGATTTTTTAAATAACCAGTAGATAGCATTTTGGACAGCTTTCTAGGTGCCAAGGTGATTCTAAATGCTTCACGTATATTAACTCTGCAGCTCCTGAGGCCTGTGGATACTATTATCAGCCCTAGGGTAGCCCCAAGACACTGTTATTACAGATGAGGAAACGAGGCACAGAGAGGTGAAGTAATTTGCCCAAGGTCGCAGAATTAGTAAGTGATGGAGCCAGGAAGGTCCCAGGCAGTCTGGGTCCAAGGCCCACATTGTCCGCCACTATCTTGTGTGACCATGATGAAGACACAGTTCCTGTGGTTAGAGAATATATAATCTAATGAAAGAGACCAGCCCATCCCTCTGATTTTAATACCCTGTGTGAAGTGGTGCCATAGGCAGCACAGGCAAGGGAACTCAGGATGGGGAGCAGTTGAGGAAACCAGAGTAACCACAGCTCAAATTTGCTGAAAGTTAACAAAGTCTCAATGCCTTATGGATAAAAGCATTTTCTCAGGTAATCACTCAACAACCCGATCTTACAGGTGAAAAAAACTGGAGCTTAACGTTAAGTAATGTCTAACTTAATCAAAGTTGGCCCAGATATTTTGAAGAATGACTAGGGTTTGGGCTGGCTTTCTAGGCTCAGTCTAGACCATAGAGGAAGGGTTCACCAGGGCCATAGCCCAGCATGGGCAAAAGCAGGGAGCTTGGGTGAGTTTTAAAATCTGTCTTCAGATAAGCATGTTTCAGTTCTGTTTCCTCGACCTGTGATGCACCACCTAAACATCTATTGGTAACTTTTTGGAATAAAAGGAACTAATACTACTTTAAATGTGTTTGATTTGCTTTGTTGCTTGCTAACCAACAGGAACATAAACCTATCTGTACAATTTCCCCACCCTGGTATTCAGTCTAGACAGTGATCCTCAAACTGCACCATGCATTGCAATCACCTGGGAAGCTTCCAAGTGCAGATCCCCAGGCTCAGCCCCAGGGATTCTGATTCAGTGGCTCTGGGGAGGGGCCTAGGAGTCTAAACTTTAGCAAGCCCCTTATTTCATTCCAACACAGGAACAGGCTTTGAGGATCAGTGGTCTCTAGGTCCTTCTGAATCACCGTTTTCCTTTAGCAGGCAGACTAAATGACATGTTGGGAGTTAGATCCGCTGGGATTTTTGGGTAGCTAGGTATTTGCCGCCTGAGTCCTTCATGACACAAGAATCAAGCCGACCTATTCAGCCTTAGGAGGAGGGAGAGACTCTGACACATGCTACACCACAGATGGACCTTGAGGACGTTGTGCTGAGTGAAAGAAGCCGGGCACAAAAGGACACTTCTCTGAAGTACCTAGAGTAGTCAAATTCATAGAGACAAAAAGTAGAATGGTGGTCGCCAGGGGCTAGAGAGAGGAGGGGAGAATTAGTGCTTAATGGGTTCAGAGTTTCAGTTGGATGGTGGTGGTGGTTGTACGACAATGTGACTTATTTAATGCCACTGTGCAGTACACTTAAAATGCTTAAAGTAGCAAAATAATCCTAACTTTGTAGGGGGAGGTGGTAAGCAGACCAACCTCTCCCAGCTTTGATCATTCCTTGCTCTCTTTTGGACACGGTGATTTCTACTCCTTTGATTGTGTTGCCTGATGTGTGACAGACCGTCCTCTTACACCTGCTCAGGGACAGAACAAACACAGCTCTGCCTACCTGTACTTCTCGAACTATATTAAGCTCTCATTGTTGCTTTAACACAAGAAAATATGGATATGTACCTGTTCCTCCAGACATGAGTATTGGCGTCACTTATAGTAAACTTAAATCTGGCAGCTCTGTTCCTAATAACTTTTGATTTCACTATAGCATTGAAATGGCATCTTTTTTAAAGATGCTTAAATTAACTGTTAGGAACTCAAATTTAAGTTAAAGTTTAAACACAAGTGTTGCAATCAAAGGTAACCATTCAACCCAGGCGGCCCTGGGAGGAAGAGAGACTGCATCTGCACGGCTGGGTTGGCACAAGCACGGCAGGGTTGGCGCGAGCGCAGCTAGCAGCAGCAGCTGTGTTTCAGTTTGGGTGGCAGGTTTCTTTCGGAACCGACAGTAAGAGGTATTCCGAAATCTTAAATGGGGGTGAGGGGAGGATTGTTTACCAATTGTGGTTTTGTTTGTTTTGTTTTGTTTTGTTTTTGTGACAGGGTCTCACTCTCTCACCCAGGCTGGAGTATAGTGGTGGGTCCATGGCTCACTGCCTCAAACTCCTGGCCTCAAGTGATCTTCCTGCCTCAGCCTCCCAAGTAGCTGAGCCCACATGCATACGCCACCACACCCAGTTAATTTGTTTTTATTTTTTGTAGAGACAGGGTCTCACCATATTGCCAGGTGGTTTCAAACTCCTAGCCTCAAACAATCCTCCCGCCTCTGCCTCCCAGAGTGCTGGAATTACAGGCATTAGCCACCGTGCCCAGCCTTATCATCACTTTCAATAGCAAACCAAAGAAGCTGATTCTAACTAATTTAAGCAGAAAAGAAAATGTTTTGGAGAATTTGTCACAGGATTAATGGGAAAGTTGGAGAACTAGGCTTAGAAAAGAGTTAGGAAGCCGCCACCACCATGAGTAAATTCTTATTTTCACTGTGTCTTCGTGTCATTTCCCCAAGGTTCAGCACTCCTCTCTGGTGGAAGGAAGTGAATGTCTAACTCTAGATCACATGCTTATGCCCCAGCTTGCTAAGGAATGGGGCGAGGGACTCTCTGCCACACCTTCAGCCTCCACAACCCATAAAGGATACCTCCTGACCCAACAGGAAGGGTATTCAGCAAAAGCAACTCACATTCACTCCATGTGCACAGCGTTTTCTTTGATCTGTTTCTGAACCTTCAGATACCCCATCTGATCACTAGGAAGACCACGTGGGAGAGTGGTCAGGTCAGCATGGTGAATCAATCATCTCTCCTGGAAAAGCAAGTCCCCATGCAGGTCCATCTATGGGTGGCTCCAAAGCATCTTCCCGGCACCCAGCAAACAGCCAGTTCATTCATCCGCTGGGGACCTACAATCCTGTGAGCTAGGGCTGTCTGTGCACACGTCTGTCTCAAATGGCAGTAGCACTTAGTGTTACCCTAGGAGGCAGTTTGTTCTGGCCTTTCAGGGACAGAACTCAGAGTGAAACCTTGACTATGTGTGACCCTGTCAGTAGGTCTTTGATATTCCTCTGACCTAAACTGGCTGCTGACAGCAATGAAAATAAACTCTGGCCCACATTCCGAGAACTGCCTTTGTCTTCCTTATCCCCAAGGAGTCAGGGAGTGCCGCAGTGAGACAGAACAGAGAAATGAAAAGCATGAACTGGAAGTATCCACGCGTGTGGCGGCATAAACACCACACTCAGGACAGCGGCCTGCTAGTGGGGGGAAGGGCTCAGGGAGGGGTGCACAGGGGGCTTCAGCGTTACCAACTGTCTTGTTTTCTTTATGAAAAATGGACCTGAATCCAGTTTGCTTGTTCAGCTATTCCTCTAACACCTGTTCTTCAAATGCATGGAAACCTTAGTCCGCAGACCCTCTTTATTTTCACCTAATAGATTATTCACCTCAGATACTTTTTCCTCTGCCTTGGATTCACACCTTCTCCACCCCCACAGCCAACCAGGGTCTCACAATCGATGTTGACATTTTTGTATTTGTGCTATAGTCTGTATCCACAGATGGTTGAGTATTTTGTATTTTAACATTTTACATGAATGTTATCATGCTGTATATGTCCTTTTGAAACTAAGCTTTTACTCTTGTTCTTTTCTGGAGATTTACCTGTGTTGACAAGTGAAGATCTAGTTCCTTCTCACCACCGTATGGTATTTTGTTATCTAAAGAAACGATACTTGGTTTTAAAACATATCTGAAATAGCAAACAAAGCAAAGTGTCAACATTTGTTAAAATTATGTGGTAGGTACATCAGCATTCATTATATGACTTACAGATGTTTATGTATGTTTGAAAGTTTTCAAAATCTAAAAGAAGAGGGGAGACGACCCCTAGCATGGGGGTCAGGCAGGTGACATCTCAGCACTAGCTGGGCTGGATTGAGACTCTGCTTCTGCAACTAGTCAGACTGAGATTAAAAGTCAACTTTGTGGGCTTGGCCTCCTCTTGTTTGCTTTTCGTGGGAATCTGCCTCCCTGGGGAAAGGCCTGAGAGCCTTGACCTTGGGCTGAAGAGTGTTTATGCAGCTGCATGATTTGTGGAGGTGGTCAGAATAGGCTGGACAGAATTTGCTGTGGGCCAGGCCATTTTAAAAAAAGAAATTGGCAAGAGACCATTTTACACAATGGCTGTGATACGTAATGTTAAAAAAATATTCACAATATACCTGAGTTATAAATAGTCCAAAGATAAATATTGATCACAACACTGGCTGGGCCAACCTTTGACCTCCTCAGCACTCTACAAACTTGGGTTAATTGAAGGCGATGCCTCTTCTGTTATGCTTACTGGATACCCCCATGGGATGCCAGGTGGCCTCTGGTTCTCTTTCTTCTGTATTTGGGGCTTTCAGAAAAGTGAGACTTTTCAGAAGTAAGATCTTTTGACCCATGGCCTGTGTTTTTATAAAACCATTGATCAATTCTGCCATCAAGCAAAAGGTCTGTATTAGGTGAAATAAAACACTCATGAGGACTAAATGAAATCGCAGATATGAAAGTCAGCAATTCCCAAAGTGACCATGAGCCCCATTCTCTTTCCTCCCTCCTCCTGTGGAAGGGCTCCCCAGGTCCTTCCCACCCGGATTCATCCAGCCCGTGATTTTCATGTCACCAGGCCTCCACTGCCTCCAGGTTGGAGACAGGGCTCTCTCCCTGGCAGCTGCTGGAGAGCGAGACTGTTCCTGAGCCGCCCATTAAACGTGTCTCCTGCAGCAGTGGCTACACTGACGTGTCCTTCTCTCCACCCAGGCTATGACTTCTGCCAGGTCCTGCAGTGGTTTGCCGAGAGGGTGGACAGGATCATCCTGCTCTTTGACGCTCACAAGCTGGACATCTCAGATGAATTCTCAGAGGCCATCAAGGCCTTCCGGGGCCAGGACGACAAGATCCGTGTCGTGCTGAACAAGGCCGACCAAGTGGACACGCAGCAGCTGATGCGGGTCTACGGGGCCCTCATGTGGTCCCTAGGCAAGGTCATCAACACGCCCGAGGTACTGCGCGTCTACATTGGCTCCTTCTGGGCGCAGCCCCTGCAGAACACGGACAACCGCCGGCTCTTCGAGGCTGAGGCCCAGGACCTCTTTAGAGACATCCAGAGCCTCCCCCAGAAGGCAGCGGTGCGCAAGCTCAACGACCTCATCAAGCGAGCGAGGCTGGCCAAGGTAAGCCAGGAGATGCCTTGCACAGAGGCCAGGGGCTGGGACTCTGCTGTCTCCTCTCCAGAGGCAAGATGGGTGGGAGGAGGCTTCGTTCCAGAAGGCTTAAGGAATGAACATGCGCTAGGTTAAGAATACAGCCTCGAGGTCAGGTGGCCCTGCTGACACCCTAGCTCCTGGCTCTGCACTCCTGGGCAGATGACTAACCCTGTTCTCCAATCTGTACCATGGAGCTAATAAGAGCACTTCACAAGAACTTGGGGTGACAGTTGGTCAGTGTGACAGAGCACTTGGCATAGTGCCTGGTGCACAGGGAGGGGGATCAATCAGTGCACCCACTACATGGTAGCTGTTAGGATGTCAGGACGATAGGAATATAACCAACCAAACCTGAAAGAGGTGGCATTGGTGAGACCAACAGGATGCTGAGAGGCCACTGCTAGTCCCCGTGCACCAAAGGCCAGTGTTACCACCTGGATCCAGGGGAGCCCTGGGAAGAAGTATGGCTCAGTCTTACTCTTGGAGTGTGCTGGTTTTGGGTCACCCCCGCATCCTCATTCTGGGCTGCGGGCTGTTAGCCTGCATGCCTGGGCTCCTGGCTCGCCTGCCTCATAGCTGAGCCTTTCAGCAGCCCCAGGAGTGTGTGCCCAATGGGGCAGTGAGAGGTGACCTGCTGACATCCCTCAAGTGACAGAGTCAATTCATGTCTCCAAAGAGAGAAAAGCATATCCCTCCTCCAAGAGAAAATACAGAGAAAAAAATGGCTCTTTAAAAAATATGTGCATGTTTCATAAAATCATTGTCCTCTAATGCTGGAAGTGCCTTTAGAGTTTTATCTAGTCCTAGTGAAGTTCAAACCTGGCTGATCATCAGAAGCAACATACATTCCCAGGCCCTGCCCCAGAGCCTCGGATATAGGGGTGTGCGTGCACACATGGCCTTGTGTGAATATGCATGTGTGTAAACATGCGCGTGTGTGTGTGTGTGTGTGTGTGTGTAAAGCTCCCTGGGTGATTGGCTATGTGCCAGTCATGGTATGGATGCTGCCATGAGTGCTCTGGGAAGGGTGACTACGTGCCTGGCCAGGAGGCAGGGAGGGCTTCCCTGATGGGGACAGCCAAGGTGGGGACAATTCTTCCTCCTTCTTGCTGCTCATTAGCAGCCTGTCCTCGTGCCAGTGTGCTCACTGGGCAGCCTCTTGCCTGGGTGAAAACAAACACCGTCCTGGCTGCTGCTGCCCCTCACACAGGACCTCGATGTCCTGTGTCCCTCTCTGTCACGTGTGTCCCAGTGCGTGTGCATGCATTCCTCCCATATGGCTCAGCTAACCTGCAGTGGTGTGGTGCTTGTGTGAGTCATCCTTCTTTATCTGTTCTTCCTGGTCCAAGTGGCTTCCTTTCCAGAGCTACAAGCCATTTTTGCTCCAGTTCTGCAAGGCAGATGTGCTAACTAGTTTGTAAATCCACTTACGTGCAGCTCTCCTGAAATGATTTTGCCCTCGCCCTTGTCCTGGGCCTAATGCTTGGTAGCAGGAAGGCTGTTTTTCCACTCGGTGATCCCTTGGTTTGTGGTGTTTCCTTTCTCCAGCAGGTACAACTGAACAACCTTCAAGGTGTGTGACACCCCACATTAGTTTATAACCAAAGTTGGTGACTCATGTCATAGCCTTTGCAGATTTTGAGATTTTTTAAAACTATTTTTAAATGCTCATGGACATTCTTCATTTACCAGTTATTGGTAAATGAAGACCCAGTGACTGGAGATGCTGCTGTATTCAGTCATATAAATAAATAAGGAGGCCGGGCACGGTGGCTTACGCCTGTAATCCCAGCACTTTGGGAGTCGGAGGCGGGTGGATCACAAAGTCAGGAGTTCAAGGCCAGTCTGGCCAACATATTGAAACCCCGTCTCTACT
This sequence comes from Homo sapiens, assembly GCF_000001405.40. NCBI lineage: Eukaryota > Metazoa > Chordata > Mammalia > Primates > Hominidae > Homo > Homo sapiens. Next base: position 41,917,300 of record NC_000015.10, on the reverse strand, counting down.
AAAAATACAAAAATTAGCCAGGCATGGTGGCAGGCACCTGTAATCCCAGCTACTCAGGAGGCTGAGGCAGGAGAATCGCTTGAACCCAGGAGGTGGAGGTTGCAGTGAGCCAAGATCGTGCCACTGCACTCCAGCCTAGGCGACAGAGTGAGACTCTGTCTCAAATAAATAAATAAATAAATAAATAAATAAATAAATAAATAAGGAGCAGAAAGCTCGCTGGAAATGCCAAGCGCCTTAACCCGTAGAGCTTCCCTGCCATCCTTGAGCCTCGGGCCCTCTGAACGGGCCAGCGCGGCCTGGGTTTGGAGGCACAGAACGCTGCTCTGTATTCTGACACTGTGAATAATGAAAACCCTTGTGTGGATGCAGGGAGTGGGGGACGGTCAAACTTGCTGAGCTTACTTGCAGGAAAAAGGCTTGTGGTTTTTTTCTTCCTAAGAATAGTATCTGGCTTGTTCCTTTTCACAAAGGAAAATGTTTGAAGTATGGGTATTTGCAGCCGGAGCTTCTCAGTGCCAGTTGCTCGTGGGCAGTGCCATGCTGAGGAACGGGGACAGGAAGCGGGCTCACCCGGAGGAGAAGCCGGACTCAGCACGGCGGCCTTGGCCACTAACTCATGACATTGACCTCACGCCACCTGCAGTTTCATGTTCCACCGCTGAACTTGTTTCTGCTTAAATGGACAGATGCTTACCTGAGTTTTTCTTTTTGGAGTGTTTATATTTTCCAAAAGTGCTTTTATTTTGGTTTATTAACCTTTCTCTTGATCCAGTTTTCCTTTTTCACACCAACTGTTCCAAAGCTCTGTAGTCTGCATTATGTGTGTTTTTTTGTTTGATCCTGTTGACAACTACACAGTTGGGCATTTTTGTCCTCATTTCCCACCTGAGGGAACGGAAGCTCAGAAAGGTGAAGTTATGTCCCCGAGGCTTCACAGCCTGTAAGCTGCAAAGTATACGTTCAAACCTCGGTCAGTGTGACACCTCAGTCCAGAAAGCAGTCACCTGAAATCGGGAGTGAACAGCAGCTACAGTACCTCCTCCCTGTGTCCTTGTTTTCTGCACTGATCTGTTAATCTATTTATTCCATAAAAGTCTCCATCCACAGAAACCCTACAAAGTTTAGGTTTATCAAGCTGACACTTTGAAAACATGCAAAGGGTAAGTTTTCAGATGTCAGCTAAGAGATGTCAAGTCTGAGTTGGGTTGTGGAGTATGTTTATTTATAGAACACCATAATTAACCAGGATTCATGGCCCATCCAGATAAAGCAAGTGCGCCGTTTTAATCAAACTCGAAGTGTCATAAAGGTGACATTTTAATAATATGAAAAGTAGATAGATACTCTTCCCAAAGAGCTCTTGAAGTTTATTTCCCTTCTTTTTCTGTTTGTATATTTTTTTCACATCTCTGTATTTAAGGAACAGGGAAACTTTAGAGTGGGTTTTTGGTTAGCCTCAAAGATCACTTCTTACAATCTCAGTAGACATCCTTCTTGGAAGACGGCTCACACTCTGAGATGCCAATCAGGGTTCATTTCATGATTCTTTAAAGGAAGCTGTTTTGGGAAAGCCCAAAAAAGGGTTTGGAACATGTCATTTACTTTTATTCAGCTATAATTAAAATAGCCAAATTAAAGAAATTAGACTCATACAAATCCCAAACAATGCAAGTTCACTATCAGACCCCACCCTTTAGAAGCGTATTGCCCAAGAATAGGAAAGGCTGTCACCCATTTGGAGATCTTTGCTCAACAAAAATGAGGCAACATTTGAGGAAGAAACAAGTAAAACTGAGAAAGAAGAGGAGAGGTCAGTGATTTTCAAGGTTCACTGTAGTTCTGTGGAATTTAGCTTATTCTTTCAAATGTAGACTCTTCTCAGTCACATGTGATGTGCACAGCCTGGCTTTCTTGTCTATAGGCTGGGCACGGTGGCTCACACCTGTAATCCCAACACTTCAGGAAACCAAGGCGGGCAGATCACTTGAGGTCAGGAGTTCGAGACCAGCCTGGCTAACATGGTGAAACCCCGTCTCTACTAAATGTCATCAAAATGACAAAATGACAGTTTTTCTCTAGGCTAATAACTCAATGAGCAGAAAGGAAAGTCCTCCCTTTTAAATGTATATGAATGTATATGTAGTTCACACTTACACTCTGACACAGATCTCATTGTGTCCAATGATGTGTGTGTGTGTGTGTGTGTGTGTGTCTCCAAGACTGAGACACATGTACTAAAGAGTGATACTGGCCACATCTACTCTGGGCTTGGAGGGTAACTTCAGCAAGTGCTGGATACAAAAATTACAAAAAAAATTACAAAAAAATTACAAAAAATACAAAAATTAGCTGGGCGTGGAGGTGGGCGCCTGTAATCCTGGCTACTCAGGAGGCTGAGGCAGGAGAATCACTTGAACCCAAGAGTTGGAGGTTGCAGTCAACCAGGATCGTGCCACTGCACTCCAGCCTGGGCGACAAAGCAAGACTCCATTTCAAAAAAAAAAAAAAAAAATTCTCCTGTAAAGAAATGAGGCATTTTTTGTGCACCAAATGGATTCAGGCTAAAGCGTGTGAGAATCATGATATAATGGATCATGAAGATCCTGGTATTGCCTAGTCCTCGGCAGGGCTCTAAAAATAACTCAGTCAGCAGCCCTGAGCTACTGTGGATGTGTGTGTGTCAGTGCTTGAGCCCATAAATGGAAGCCTGTCTCTTTGAAGGTTGACCTCAGACAAGTGTGCAGCCCCCTCCGGTCCCCTTTAAGGCTGCACGGAATTACACGTGCCATTGGTGCCAGTTTTGATCTGAGCAGAATAACAAACCCTTGCTCAAGTCAGCTGCCCTTCTCTGCCTCTCACAGTCTCACACTCTTGTTACCCCATGGGTTCATCTTTTGGGTCTCAGGCTTATTAACTGAATTTTTTATATTATCATAAACCCACTTTATAAACGTGCTGATACCCTGGCTTTAAATACTCTATGCAGGTTTCCAGAGCTGGGCTTCCAGCCGCAGGTCTCCAGCAGGTTGCGTTAAGTTTGCAGATGAGCGTGGCACAGTGTGTCACCATGCCTTCCCAGCCCGCCTTCCCCAAACTACTGCCTGATCCTCACATTCCATGAAGCTTTTCATTCCAGCACTGGTCGCTTCCAGCATCCAGCACTCGCTGAAGTTACCCTCCAAGCCCAGAGTAGATGTGGCCAGTATCACTCTTTAGTACATGTGTCTCAGTCTTGGAGGCACACACACACACACACATCATTGGACACAATGAGATCTGTGTCAGAGTGTACGTGTGAACTACATATACATTCATATACATTTAAAAGGAAGGACTTTCCTTTCTGCTCATTGAGTTATTAGCCTAGAGAAAAATTGTCATTTTGTCATTTTGATCCATTTGATTTCCCCCAGTCATCCCCATTAGATGCCTTAGGGCTTCTGCAAGTTTACACAAGGCAAAGGATGACTTGAACAAGATACGAATGTTCAAAAGCCCCCAGGGGTCAATGTAAATTAAACACTTGGAACCCAAATTCATTATATTACTATTTAAATAGAGAGAGTTTATTAATTATTTGGTAAGGAGTAACCAGCCGGGAGCCCTCTCTCTCATTACTGTACCTCCAGCTGTTGGTCTTTGGCCATTAGTTGATAACAAGTTAACATTTGCTCCTCTTTCTAGTGAGCAGAGTGCATTCAAATACATGACCTCTTTTATTCTCATAATAACTCTGTGAGATGAATGTTGTTGTCATTTCTAATTTGTGGATGAGCACGCTGAGGTGGAGATGCCATGCCTGGCCCCAAGTTGCTCAGTGGGTAGGCAGTGGTCACGGGGCCTGAGCCTCATCTTCAAGCTCCAGGTCTAGTCCCCCTCTTCTCTTTCGTACTCCTCCTCTTCCCAATTAGTTTTCTCTCATTATAAAGGTCAGAAGACCCAAGTGTTTCCACCTCCTTCCCCAGGGACAACCACCAGGTCTGGCCCTGGGTCTGGCATGTATTTGGAGACACCTTTGACACATAATTGCAGGAGTGATCTCTGGAGGCTGACTGTGGATTTTAGTCATTCAAGCTGTCCCGTCTGTTTACCAGAAGACTTTAGAAAATGACAGGATGCCATCCTGCCAGCAGCTCGCAGTCTTCACCCGCATTCCCACGTGGTGTCCCGACGTTTGTGTGCCATCATTGTGTCCGTGTTTGATGTGTGGGGAAAGGGAGAATAAAGGACCCTTCCAAAGCCTCTCAGTGAATTAGGCACGAGCAGAAGTCAAACCTCAGATCAAAGTTTTCCAGACTCATTCTATGGGACACAGTTCATTTTGAATTCCAGATTTTGAACAACTTCAGTAAGATTATTAATGCATACCCACAGGGCATACCCACAGGGAGTCATTAGTTCTTTAGGGACAGGAACGAGGCACTTGGATGCTAGTGCCAGCTCTGTATCTACCAACTAGCTGTATGACCTTGAGTGAGTCACATGGATGTCCTGGAACCAGGAATTAAAGTAGATATTGGGGGGTCACTTCCAGATTCAGTATTTCATGATGCTAAGGATTATAATTTACCTTGTGACTTGATGAATTTTTTTTTCTTTTTTTGAGATGGATTCTTGCTGTGTCACCCAGGCTGGAGTGCAGTGGGGCAATCTCAGCTCACTGTGACCTCTGCCTCCCGGGTTCAAGCTATTCTCCTGCTTCAGCCTCCCGAGTAGCTGAGACTATAGGAGCACACCACCACACCCAGCTAATTTTTGTATTTTTAGTAGAGACAGGGTTTCACCACATTGGCCAGGCTAGTCTCAAACTCCTGACCTTAAGTGACCCACCTGCCTCAGCCTCCCAAAGTGCTGGGATTACAGGCATGAGCCATCGTGCCTGGCCAACTTGATGAACTTCTGAAAGCAGGTCTGTGCACAGAAGTTGGCCCTGGGTTATTGTTTAGGGCGCACCAGGAAGGGCAGGACGCGGGTGGACATGCAGAGGCAGCGTAACAGGAGACTTCCACAAACCTCGCTAACAGAACTTCCTAGAAGTGGAGGCTGGGACCGAGAGCAGCTGCAGTGTGAGCAGGTCACCTAAGGGTCATGACTCAGGTGGCACCAAGCTGGCGGAAGGAGGAGGGAGTTGAGACCTGGCACAAGATCAGCCCCAGGTTTATCAGGGCTGTGAAGGCCTAGTGTCGGGGCCACCTCGGTCATCAGCCAGCAAACACCATGAGGCCTGAGACGAGGGATCAGGTGACACTCAGTGGGTGAAGGGTGTGGCAGGTGCACATCAGCTGAGTTCAGTGCAGGTAAAGCAGGCCCTGGGCACCAGGGAGTGTTCAGGAACAGTGTGCCCAACCTCGGGGGGTGGGCGGCAGGGAGTGGGTGAGGAGTCAGCCAGATGAGCGGGAACTAAGCCCTCCCTGAGCTGGGGCCTGGCGGCTCAGAGGTACCTTACTAGTACGTGGTGAGGGCTCTTGGGAAGCCCTACAGAGGCCTAGGCAGCTGCTCCAGGGCTAGGCCCCAGAGCAGGGAAGGGGGTGGTCTCAATAAGAAGCCCTTGTGTTTGGGAGACTGAGCAGCTGTGGGGGCCTCCTGCTTCCCTTGGGGTGGCTCCAGGGTGGGGTGAGCCTGAGCACAGAAGAGAGAGGTATACATAGGTATACATAGAGAACATACTCATAGGCCCAATCCAGAATTTCCAGGAAGGTGGAGGCCAAGGAAATGATGCAAGGACAGCTGGTGAGCAGCTGGTTCTCCCTGATGGAACGTGGCAGCTCCTCCAGTCCAAGGGTGCTCCCTCAGCCCTGGCCCTCCCCAGCCCACCCACACCAAGCCAGGCATTCACTGTCGGAGGCAAAGGAGTTGGTATCTTACCACTTGCTCATCACAGCGGTTAAAGCCCAGGATTCTAAATAACGGATCCCAAACTTCGGGTTTCTCAAGTTATCTCTAAGAATCTTGTAAATCATTTCAATTGTCTTCATTTGAAAAATAAGTACATAAACAAGTTTGCTGGTGACAGAAAGGTTTAGCGTCATCTCTCCAAGACCATCCTCTCAGCGGTAGCCAGGCTGCACAGTGCATGCTTCTGTTAAACGACCCTTGTGCAGATGGGAAGTTGACATTGTCTGACCTCAGCATGTCAGACCTTGCATTAGGTACTTAGGTTAGCATCCAAATCCTCACAAAATGTTTTTGGCTGTGTCCAGCATGTGTCCACACACGGGCCCTCAGCTGAGCTATGGAATGTATCTGCTTACCCCCTTTATTTAATTTCAACTTCTACAAGATTACAGTAGAAGTCTGTTTTCTTTAATAGGATTTTCCGTTGCTACATAGTCATTTTCTTTTTGTAATCACCACTCTGTTTTTCATCCTTTCTTATTTTAGTTACTTACTTGACTTCACAATTACTCTGAAGTTCAAGATATACAAAGTAGCCGGGCATGGTGGTTCATGCCTGTAATCCCAGCACTTTGGGAGGCCAAGGTGGGTGGATCACCTGAGGTCAGGAGTTCGAGACCAGCCTGGCCAACATGGTGAAACCCCGTCTCTACTAAAAATACAAAAATTAGCCAGGCGTGGTGGTGCACACCTGTAATCCCAGCTACTCGGGAGGCTGAAGCAGGAAAATCGCTTGAACCAGGAGGTGGAGGTTGCAGTGAGCCAAGATCACGCTGTTCCACTCCAGCCTGGGCAACAGAGCGAGATTCCATCTCAAAAATATATATATACAAAGAGAACTTTTGTAGTGAACATTTCTTAATATCCTGAAGTTGGAAATCAGTAGAAGAGTGGAAATGTTGAGGCCAGATTCTCGCCCCTCCAATGACAGCCTGCTGGCTACCCCAAGCCCCAGTGATCAAGGTTTCTGGGGCTTCTGGGCTCCTCTCCCAGGGGGATCTTCTGCCATCCAGCCTGATCCCAGGCAGCTGGTCTTGTGCAGAATGACTTTAATTCCACCTGTAGAGATCTCAGAGTCTAAACCTCCCATAACAGGGGGGTTATGGGGATTCTCATCTCATCGTTCACTGGGTACAGATTTCCATGTTGATCAGCCATTGATGCCAGCCTCCAGTTTCATTTCCTGTTGCTCCCAGGCACCAGCCTGGTGAAACTTTCTCCTGGGTATTCTGGTTAATTGCCAGAACTAAGAGCTCTCCCACCCAGGCCCCACCCATACCACTCACTCCCTACAGACACCAGAATTGCCACTCAGAGGCACAACAGAACAGTAGCCGTAGAATTTCCCCAAGTCTGGCCACATTCCGGCCACCCTTGGACAGCTCCACTCCCCCTGGACCCTCCCCTCCTCCTGTCCTTGGGACCTGGTTTGTGTGGGTACCTGTTATGTGTTATGATGGAGTTAAGATGCAATCTTGTTTGTTCCTTCTCTGATGCAATTCTAAATGACACTTCCCTGCCTGATCTATACCCCTCCAGGTGCATGCCTACATCATCAGCTACCTGAAGAAGGAGATGCCAAGTGTATTTGGAAAGGAAAACAAGAAGAGAGAGCTTATCAGCAGGCTACCGGAAATCTACATTCAGCTACAGCGAGAATACCAGATTTCTGCAGGGGACTTCCCTGAGGTCAAGGCTATGCAGGTACTGGGAGCCCACTACAATGTCACGGGCAGAGGGCAGAGGTGCAGTGCCACATTGTCTGGCTGTTTGCTGGAGACAAATGAGAGTCCCATGGTTTAGGATCAAGGACAACGCATCTTCCTAATGGTGATCCATGATAATAGGCTATGAATAAAGCAGAAATTGCCTGTCTTCCAAAATGCGTAAACAAAGGAAACACATGGCCAAAGGTAAATGAAGCTCCCATGAGAAAGTCAGGTGAGCAGCCCTCTTAGACTGTGTCCAAGGAGGCTGGTTGATGTTGCGGTGACATTGGAATCCCAGAACTGTGAGGGAATCACAGCTGGGAGTGGCCTTCAGGGTCACCTTGGGCGGCCTCCTCCAGCCCTGCCCTGACCTGCCTCACGCCGTGGGATTATGTGCTCAGGCAGCCTTGCTGCTGCAGGCTCAAGGGCTCCAGCAGGGGCTGTGGGGCTCTGCGGACGCTGCTGGACTGCGTGGGCACAGGGAGGACTGTGCTTAAAGGCTGGTGCTGGGCAGCCATTGGCCTGCTGTCAAGGCCTCTCTTGAGTTGTGGCTGGGCAGCTCCAGCCAGGCAACAATGGGTGCTGCATTCAGCCGTCCTGCCCTGACCGGCATATCTACCTCTCTGCACTGCTGTTAGACGAGCGTGTCCTCACAAGCGAGGCCACCCATCTGGCTTCTGGGCTGACAGTCCTCACAGAGCCAGGCTGGCCGTCTTCTTATCTGCTGCAAGGACCCCTCTGCCCTGGGGGCCACAGTCCTCTCTGTAAAGCAGGAGCCACAAACTCAGATGCCTGCAGCCACCACCCAGTAACGCAAACAGTGGAGCAGGCCAGGCGAAAGAGAAACTCTGTCACCCTCTCTGGCTGCCTTTGGTTTTCCCACGTTTGATAGAGAAGAAGGTTCCAAGAAACATGTGTCAGCAAGGAAGAAAACCATCCCGAGGTGTGCTAAGAACATGTCAGGGGTCTCATGGCAGGGCAGATTGGACAATGCAGAAGCCCCGTCTAGCCCAGTGGTCACTGCCTTGTGGGACTACAGACCTGGAAGGCTCAAGAGAAGCTGGAAATCTGGATTTGTATGTCAGATCACCTGATTTTCACATTTAGGCTCAAAAAAATACTATGTAGGACAAACAAAGCCCACCTGCATATGGGCTGCACACAGAGACCACCAGTTACCATCTTTTGCCTTGAGCCACAGAGTGACAGCATTGAAGCCAGCATAGATTAAAAACTGCAAGCAGGTACAGCCCGAGGCAGGAGGAGGGAAAGGTGAAAGCAGAGAGGATACAGGGAGAAGGGAAGGTCGGGCAGAAGAGGCAAGGGCCAGCAGGTGATGAGAGGGGAACTTTGATCCTAAGGGGTTTTTTAATGCAAGCTTTATATAAATTATACACTAACTCAGAGGTGGGTTTTTCTTGCTGTTTTGATGACAGCTCTTTACACCTGGATTCAGAGTGAATCAGTCTAATATATTTGATCTGACCCAATATGCTTTAGCTGTATTTATTTTAAAATATATTCAGAGGGCCGGGTGTGATGGCTCATGCCTGTAATCTCAGCACTTTGGGAGGCGGATGCAGGCAGATCACCTGAGGTCAGGAGTTCAAGACCAGCCTGGCCAACATGGTAAAACCCTGTCTCTACTAAAAATACAAAAATTAGCCGGGTGTGGTGGCTATAATCACAGCTACTTTGGAGGCTGAGGCAGGAGAATTTGTTGAACCTGGGAGGCAGAGGTTGCAGTGAACTGAGATCGCACTGCTGTACTCCAGCCTGGGTGACACAGGCAGACCCCATCTCAAAAAATAAATAAATATATACACACACACACACACACACACACACACACACACACACACACACACAGAGCCTGGGCGCAGTGGCTCACACCTGTAATCCCTACACTTTGGGAGGCCAAGGCGGACAGATCACTTGAGCTTAGGAGTCAAGAGACCAGCCTGTGCAACGTAGTGAAACCCCGTCTCTGCAGAAAATCCAAAAAAATTGGCCAGGTGTGGTGGTGCATGTCTGTAGTTCCAGCTACCCGGGAGGCTGAGGTAGGAGGATTACTTGAGCCCTGGAGGTGAAGGTTGCAGTGAGCCAAGATCGCACCACTGCACTCCAGCCAGGACAACAGTGTAAGACCCCGTCTCAAAAAAATATATACACGCACACACAACAGAGAAATGTCTCTTTTCTTCCAGCAGTGAAATGGGTATTCCTGTGCTCACAAGCTGAATTGGGTTTTTCTGGTCACCAGGTGGTATTGGAGGGCTGTTGTGGCCTCCAGGAGCAGTCTCCCTGGGCAACTTCCCCATTCACACCCCTGGTTATGCCCTGTATCCCATGACCAAGGAGTAAGACAGCTGTTTCCTTGTACCCTTCAGATATTTCAGAAGGGAACTTGGTTTCTTGACCTAAATGAAAGTTATAAAGAAATACAGAGCCTGAGCTGTGGCCCAGTTGGGGCCTCTGTGCCTCGCTGGCTTCCTGAAGTTGCTACAGTGCCTTGCCACAGGGAGACGCTGCTCTTGAGCCCTGGGGCTCCACAGAGGCCTCCCTTGCCAGGCCTCTCCTGCTGGTCCCCTGTGAGCCCGATAATGTAGGGAGCAGGCTCTGGGACCAGAGCTACTCATGACAAAGCTAGCCTGGGCTGGCCAGGTCAGAAGACACCCAGGGTCCTCTGAGCTGGGGGAAGGCAACAAGGAAAGCATGATCTCAGGAGCAGCCATGGCCCACTGAGATGGAGGGTACAAGGAGGGCCAAGCCTTTGCTGAGAATCACCTGGACTCAGGTCTATGCCCAGTACCTTAGCACCACGGAAGGTGGGTGAGCAAGCAAGTGCAGGATCCAGCCAGCCACTCCAAGTGCTGACATAGGAGCAGGCTCTGTGCATGGTCTGCAGCCAGACCAGGTGTGTCACCCCAAGGGGAACGTGGCAGTGCCCAGGCAGGGATGCCCGCAACCCCAAAGCCCCAGAGGGGGTGCTACAGTGTGCTAATTAGCTCTTTTAGTTGTGCATCATGTTAGCAGCTCAGTCACCCTCTTGCCCCACTCTGGCCCATGGCTCCGGTCCAGCTCGACCCCACCACTGCTTCTGTTGAGTGGCACGGCTACCCTGCAATGGTGAGGGCAGAGGGCCAGTGTTACAGCCTTTCTGGGTACCTGCGTTTGGTGGGTCCCAAGCTTTTGTCCTGCATCCAAGAAGAATAAGGTCATGCTGACAATTGAAGAGTGATGAGGGTGGAGGATTTTACTGAGCAACAAAACAACTCTCAGTGAAGAGGGGATGGGAAGATTGGGTTGTCTCTCCTGAAGTCAGGTCATCTCCCCAGTGTGGCTGAGTCTGGGGTTTTTATAGGCACAGGATAGAGGAGTGCATGCTGATTGATTTGTGAGTATGCAAAAAAGGTTAAAACAAAGGCACCAGTCAAAGGTGGACATAACAGTGTAAAAACAATTAGGGAAGGGTAGGTATATGTAAAATAGGTGAAGGGTGAGGATCAATCAAAGAAAAGCAGCCAAATGGAAAGACAGGTTCTCAATCCAGTCCATGGATTTGACTTGTAGCTTGGCCTGCAGGCTTTAAACTGCCTTTGGCTTGAAGATAGGGTTTCACTGGAGACCCACCCCTATCTGCCTCAGCATTTTTCTGCCTCCTGCTGCTATCACTGTTCTAGGCCCCTGGAATAAATCAACACAAAAAAATGAACAAATGAGGCTGGACATAGTGGCTTACGCCTGTAATCCCAGCACTTTGGGAGTCTGAAATGGGAGGACTGCTTGAGTCCAGGGGTTGGAGAACAACCTGGGCAACATAGTGGGACCCGATATCCATTAAAATATTTTAAAATTAGCCAGGTGTGGTTGGCTCATGCCTGTGTTCCCAGCCAGTTGAGAGGGTGAGGTGGGAGGATGGCTTAAGCCCGGAGGTCGAGGCTGCTATGAGCCATGATCACGCCACTGCACTCCAGCCTGGGCGACAGAGGAGACCCTGTCAAAAAACAGAAAAAATGAACAAATGGGGGTAAAAATAATTGACAGCAACCCCACTGTAAGGACACATGTTTCTTGTTACAATATGAGCACTGTTGTGCTTCCATGTAATTGAATTATCTGATGTCTGATATTTAGTATCTCTCTCCCACGTAAGTCTGTGGCTCCATGAGGTCAGTGACCCATGCCCTGTTCACTGCCATATCCCCAGCATCTAGGACGTGGTGAGTGCTCAATTCACACAAGCCAAGTGAATTAGTAAGTTAGTGTAAGGCCATATCACAGCAGGCTCTCAGGCCCTGACGCAGCCTCGATTCCCACAGGGCTTATAGACCAGGGGTTCCCCGTGCCAACCCCTAGAAGCTGCAGGAAGAGGCCTCCTTGGGAAGTAGGCTGAGGCCCAGTCACATCACCCCATTCCTTCGGAGAATCCCCAAGGAACAAGGCAGCCTGGAGCCTGTCAGGAATGCTTAGTGTCACCTGATACTGCAAGCTAGCTTGCTGTCACCGGAAGCTTTGAGGGGCGCGTGTGTGGGTTAGGGCCTGTCCCATCCCTGAGGCTGTTAAAGTCTAACATCCTCTGTAACATAGGCCTTGACAGAGGGGGGACATACGCTTAGAAGTGACCACACTGTGATCTTTGCACATATCAGGGTCACGCAGAGAGCTCGCTGATGCCAGCTTTAGGTTGTTATTCTCCCTGTTCTCTCATGGAGCCAGCTGGTCAGAGTGACTCTTAGCTGTAGCAGTGAGAGGAGAGTGTATTCTGAAGGCCCTTCCCTGAGCTGGGACAGGCCCTGCAACCCACCTGTGTGGCTGCCTGTGCGTGCCTGGCACGCTCTGGGGAGGGACCGTGACTGACAGCACAGTGTTAATACTGCAGGACAAGATGAGCACCCGAAGGGCCACCGTTACTGCTGACTCTGCTCCTCTGACTGGAAGGAGAATTTGGACCCCTCAGCTCATGAGTTGGCAGCATTTCAACAGCAGAGGGCAGCAGAGTCAGCCCCATCTGCTCAGACCCTCTGGTGGATTTGAAAACTCTTCTGGTTAATGTTGGCAATTAATGGGCAAGGGACAGCCCCACCAGAGACGGGGCTGGGAACTGACCTTTGCCTCTTGAGAGGGAGCAATTCCAGGGTCCTGGCTTAGTGGATACAACTGTTGATGGGCAAATACCTTTAAGTTCCCCAGTGTGTATTCATCCCAATAAGAACTGTTTTGGACTCACCGTGGCAGAGGGCAGGGATGATGATGGTTTGGTGCTGATGTCAGGAGTGACATGATGATGGTTTAACTGGTGCCCCCGCAGTCCCCGGTCAAGCCTGGGGGGGACCACAGGGATGAGAATGGAGGGTTTATTTCTTGCCTGCCTCCCAGGACAGGAATAACTGCTGCCTCCTGTCCACCCCTGCAAATATGCGGCCACTCCCCCTGCCAGTTTTCCAGAGCTCTGCAGTCGGAATCCACGGCCCCTGCAGGCTGGTGGGAAGTTTGGGCAGGCATCACCCTCCTTTGTCTGCTGGGCCAGACACAGGGGCTCTGTGTGCGCTCTGAGCGCAGGCTCATTCTTAAGGAAATGGGGTAGGTGTTCACGCACCCGGGGAATCCAAACTCGTTGACCCAGCAGCACTGGGATTTTTGTGGGGGACGCCTGCTCCTCCACCTGCTTAGCGTTCTCTTTTCCATCTCCTTGGCCCATTGAGATGTTGGTGGCAGGAGCCCGAAGTGCAGGCCGCATTGTTTGGTGCTGATGTCAGGAGTGACATGCTAGTGACTGCGTTTGAGAGACCCGGCCTGCAGTACCCGCTGCTCTGAGCTGAGCAGGGGCCACACGCTGGGTTTGCATGGTTTGATGGCTGCTGACTTTACTTCCTGAGAATATGTCAGAGTCCCTTCCCTAGAGAAATGTCAGCCCGTTTAGCTGATATTTCTCAGCTCTGTCCCCCCACCAACTACCACCCAGGAATCCCCTTCCAAATGTCAGCCCAGAATTCCTGCCCTGCCACCCTAGAGACCATGATTTTGATTCTCTATTGGAAACAACCTGTGTGTCCAGCTATAGGGGACAGGGTTAATTAAGAATGGCCCAGCTCTACAGTCTAAGTTCAATATTCTGTAACTGTTAAGAGAAAGGTTATGTAAAAATTAATACCACAGAAATATATGACATATTATTTGTTAAGAGTGTGGTATTGTTTCAGTGTGTGTGTGTGTGTGTGTGTGTGTGTGTGTGTGTGTATGTATGTTAATGGCTAGAAATGCATGCCCAGATATGCTAGCAGAGGTTTTTGCCAGATGATGAGATTATAAATTATTTTAAATTTTTAGTTTTGCTTACCAGTTTTTTCTGTTTTTTTTTTTTACAAGAAAGCATGATATTTATGATAACACCAAGTTTTTTTTTTTTTTTCCTAGCAGCCTGTCACATTGCTTCTGTCCAAAACAGCGAGGTCTGACTTTTCCTTGCAAATCTCCCTGCCTCATCTCCAGAAAATTGCACACCTGCATGGCCTCTCTTTGGCCCCCTCTAGAACTGTACATACAGAAATACTTCACATATAAAACCTGCCATACCTGGAACATTTCTGCATTTATTTAATAAAACTACTGTTGAAGACACTTTTCATCAGATCTTTGAAGCCTGTCATGTAAAGCTCTAGGTAACTCTCGCAGTTCAGAGCCACAGAAAGTTTGTCTCTTGCAATAAACAAGTGTTTTCTCTCCTTAGACAGTGAGGGTCCCCAGGGGTCCCCCTGGGCAACTGAGCTCTTCTCCTTATACAGGCGGTAGTTTTCCTTAACCTTAGCCATCTGATGTGATTATTCCCTTCCTCTCCCTAACATATATATATACATATGTATATATATACATACATATATATACACATACATATATATACACATACATATATATACACACATACATATATGTATACACATACATATGTATATATATATATATGGGTCTAATGACCAGGCTGGTCTTGAACTCCTGGGCTCAAGCAGTCTTCCCACCTTGACCTCCCAAAGTGCTGGGATTACAGGTGTGAGCCACTGAGCCTGGCCCCTCTCTCCCTTTTAATGACTTGGCTTTTTTCTTTCTAATGACTTTATAGATTTCATGTTATCCTTTTCACTGTGTTATGTCAAGTCCTTTTTTAAACAATTGGAGTATCCTTCCTCCATTACAACATAAGCTCATTTAAAGCAGGAATTATGGCTTTTCATATTTATTCTGTATCCCCAAGCCCCAGAACAGGGGCTGGTGCAGAGTAAATGACAAATAAAAGTTGGTCGGGTAGGTGGATGGATGGATGAATTGTTGGCTGAATGGATGGATGGAGGGTTGGTTGAATGGATGGATGGTTAGTTGGAGGATTAGTTGGACAGGTGGGTTGTTGGATGGATGGATGGATGGATGGATGGATGGATGGATGGATGGATGGATGGAGTAACCAAGGAGAACCAAGGTAGGAAGGTCAGTTTCTACGGTGCCATCCACAGAGCCTCTGTGGCATCCTGTAGTCTGCCCCAGCCTGGTTGGGCAGTCACAGTGTTTCCCAGGCCCCCTCTAGAGCCTGTGCTTCTGCTGCTCTGTCTGCTGACAGGCTGCCTCACTCAACAGGTAGAGCTAAGATATGTCCTGACCTGGCCAGTGATACTCAGGCTTACCAGCTACGTTTATTCCCTCGTGCTCCCCAGCCCTACTCCCTGCTCTTACAAGTTCCAGCTTTTGCTTATTTGTCCATATTTTAGAAATGACAGTGGATTCATGATGATTATGTTGTATATGCAAGGTCTCCGTGGCCCTGCCTCGATACCTTCCTGGGGTAGCACAGGTGCCCCTGGTCAGGCCGTACTTGGTGGGGCTGGTCCTACGGGGTTCCTGTTGAGTAGCGCCCTCAGCTCATTCATAAGAGGTTAGAGCCACTAAGAAGCTGTCCTACACTACATTTTTTTACGTGTTCCGAAAACAAGGTATTTAATTAGTTGTTTTATGTAAACATAGTCCTTCTGTCACAGCTCTGTGTTCCAGCACAGAGAGCATTAGTCAAGAGCCAGGAGACAGGGGCTCTGCTTTGACTCTGCCAGACAGCCCCTCACAGCTCTCTGTAAAATGTGGTTCTAAATGCCTGCCCCTCCTTCCTCCCAGGATTGCTATGAAGATCGGCTGAAGTGTGTAGTGAAATCCCTTGAGAAATAGAATACTAACTCTAGAGCATTTTTAAAAAGGCAGGTGAAAGAAGGTTTCTCAGAGTCCTCGGAGGTTGCTGTCGCTCATGCGGCCACCAGCAGAGATTGGCTGCCATAGGAAAAACACTTGTTTCTTGTTCCAAAACAACCACTCCTATATGTGGTACATCTGGATGTGGGAAGCTCCCAAAGAGTGCACTCCTGAGTAGTGGGTGGGACGTCTGCCTGGGGCAGAATTAGTCTCCCTCCAGTGGCCCCCAACTGTTTCCCCCTGAAGAGACCACATGTAACCCATCCTGTGGTTTGTCCTTCTGCAGGAACAGCTTGAGAACTATGACTTCACCAAATTCCACTCGCTGAAGCCCAAGCTGATCGAGGCAGTGGACAACATGCTGAGCAACAAGATCTCGCCCCTCATGAACCTCATCAGCCAGGAGGAGACGAGCACGCCCACGCAGCTGGTGCAGGGCGGCGCCTTCGATGGCACCACCGAGGGCCCCTTCAACCAGGGCTACGGGGAGGGTGCCAAGGAGGGCGCCGACGAGGAGGAGTGGGTCGTGGCCAAAGACAAGCCCGTCTACGACGAGCTCTTCTACACTCTGTCGCCCATCAATGGCAAGATATCAGGTGTCAACGCCAAGAAGGAGATGGTGACCTCCAAGCTGCCCAACAGCGTCCTGGGCAAGATCTGGAAGCTGGCCGACTGCGACTGCGACGGCATGCTTGATGAGGAGGAGTTCGCGCTGGCCAAGCACCTCATCAAGATCAAGCTCGACGGCTACGAGCTGCCCAGCAGCCTGCCCCCCCACCTCGTGCCCCCCTCGCACAGGAAGTCCCTGCCCAAGGCCGACTGAGGGGTGGGCTGCAGAACGGGGTGGGAACTGGGGGACCTGGGCCTCAGGCCTGCTCCACCACTGACTCACCGAATGACCTTGGGCAAGGCACTGCCCTCTCTGTGCCTTGGTTTCCCCATCTGTAGAATGGGGAGGGTGGACACTGGAAACTAGATGACTTCTTTCACCTCCAAAATTCCCTTAGTTTCTATGAAAATATTGGGGGTAGGGGGGTGGATTAGGAGATTGAAGGGTTGAGAAGAAAGAGAAATTGTCCAAAGAGTCCTCAGAACCTGCCTGGAGAAATGCGCATGGGGGTGGGCCTGGTAAGTCCCAGGAACCACAGGAAGTGAGCTAAGGCTCACCCAGAGCAGCTGGGTCTCCAGGCTGCCTGGGCTTTTTGTCCTCATGAACAACTCTGGAGCAGCTGTCTGTCCCTCAGAGGGCACCTGGAGGCAGCAAAGATTATCTTATTTATTTTATTTTGTTTTCTGCTATATTTAGAGTGGCAAAAAAATAGAGCAGAGGGTTTCTGCTGTCTCCAGACTGTCTACCAAAGAGAAGGCGACAGATGCCTCCTGGGTTTGGAAGGGGGATGCACTGTGGATCTGCCATCCATTCTGCAGTCTCCAGCAGAGCAGGCAGTCAGGCCCCAGCGTGCCTCCATCCCAGTGCCCCGATGACCATCTGGTCAGCCCTCCCAACCTCCCTTCCAGGGGGCTTACCAGCAAAGCCATATTCGGCTAGGAATTTGGAATTCACAACCTTTATTAACCCCTGGCAAAACTTCCCGTTTGCATGTCAAATCACATTGAAGCCTGAAAATTAGCTTTTCTTACTGGTTTTTCCAATAAGTAATAGCAAAGCCCACTTATCATACTTAAACTACAGTAAAGAAAAGAGGTGGTTCTCTGCAGTGATCGTTTAGTGTGGCCCTCAAACATTAAATATCCCGAGGTCTCCTTGGTGGGTGGCAGGATTTAAATTCAATCAAATCCTGTCCTAGTGTGTGCAGTGTCTTCGGCCCTGTGGACACAGGTGAATGAGGGACCAGCCCTGCCCTGGGCTGTTGAGAAGAGATCAGTCCACCCAGAGTTAGACATTGTTTTTGTAGAAAACAGGCATTTATTATGTCTAGGGTTTTGTGTTTTTTTTTTTTCCTTACAGGATAAAAGCCTTTATACAGAAACAAAATGGAACCTTTCATATAAAACCTTTTCTTTAAAGGCTGTGTGGTTCGTATCATGAATGCCCATCACGAGGCAGGATTCGGGCACATACCTGTACTTCTGCTCCAGAGTGTGCGCTCCCCAAATCCCCTGAGTAAACCTCTCTGGACTGCTGCTCAGACACCTGCGTCAGGTGGAGGTGCCTCCCCCTCTGTGGGCACCAGCTTGGGGAGGTAGGTGACTTTTCCTTGCAAATCTCCCTGCCTCATCTCCAGAAAATTGCATACCTGCATGGCCTCTCTGCATTATTTATGCAGGAAGAGACACGAAACAGCAATGGCCACATGGTATGGGGGCCTGCTGGCACCAGAAGTGAATGAAATCAGAACCGTCCCACTGAGTCTTCCAAAAGGCACATAATTTTTTTTTTCTGTCACCTGCCTTTGGTGACAGGGTCAAAGGCACAGATTGAAGAGAAAATCTTGATTTGGGAGAAGCATTTATATCCAGATGCCTACCCTTACACTCCCTAGCTTACTTTCTACATAATTTAGTTTTAAGAGCAGGAAATGCATAACATGGTTTTTAGTCTTAACAAGCACTTAAATTCATTAGACGCATAGAAAAGAACCATTTATTATTTTATTATTTTTATTTTTATTTTGAGAGGAAGTCTCTGTCACCCAGGCTGGAGTGCAGTGGCGCAATCTCAGTTCACTGCAACCTCCGCCTCCCAGGTTCAAGTGATTCCCCTGCCTCAGCCTCCCAAGTAGCTGGGACTACAGGCACCCGCCACCACGCCCGGCTAATTTTTGTATTTTAGTAGAGATGGGGTTTTACCATGTTGGTCAATATGGTCTCGATCTCCTGACCTCGTGATCTACCCACCTCGGCCTCCCAAAGTGCTGTAACCTAAGCAGACAGTTCTGTGAATGCGTGAGGACCACCTGAAGTCTGCAGCCACGGTGGAGGTCACCAAAGGGTGAACTGAGAGAGAAGAGGGAATTCACTTGCCCAAAGGTTTACAGATGCCCAGGCAAACTGATTTTTCCATCCAGAATTATCTTGTTCTTTAACTCTCCTCAATTGTCATATATAAACATGAATTTATATACATGTGTGTCACATGAGTATGTCGTTTTAAAACAACGTGTACATATGTAAGTTTTGTCTGGATACAGAAAGCTGCTTTAGAGGGCAGCAGGTTGAGGTCTCTGATTTCTCCGTGGAGGAAAACCTCTCAGGCACTGTGATCTCCCTACCTCTGCGCTCTCAGGTGGGAGAGGCGTCAGGCAGCGGAGTCCTTTCCCTGCTGGCACCTGGTAATGTTCTTGGAGAGAAAGGAAAAAAAAAGGAAATCATTTGGCCACTTTTCTTAATATCCTCTTACATGCAGTCATTCATCAAGAAAAGTTGACTGGAAAAGAAAACACTAGAAAATATGAGGGATGGCGACCAAGTGAGGACTTGTATCTTCCCAGGACCAGTACAAAGTTCTGTGAATGTGTCCACACCACCAGCTGTCTCCCTACCCCACACGGCAGGGCGGCAGGGCCGACCCTGGGGCCTGCTCACCATCACCGTTGCCCTTCCTGCACCACCCCAATTTTCAAAGAACCTCTTCCACAGAGTGTTTATGTATAGGAGAGAGGGTGGAAGTACCTAAACTCTAGAACTACAACATCTAAGAAGCTGAGGCCCTGTTTTCTACACAGCATATGGTATCGCATAACACAAACCTTCCGGTCTTGAGTTTAAAGGGAAAATGAAAACTCCAGCCTATTGCTCCCACAGTCTGCTTCCAAGTTGTCAGCCTGCCAGTGAGGGTCTCCTGACCCCGTTTGTAGAGAAACACTGCACTAAGACTTGGGAATCTCCCCAGCTCCCAGGGAGGGGTGGCACACAACAGCCTTCCAACCTGCTTCCGCCTCCTGCTCCAGCCCTGCAGCGTCTGTCAATTCATTTCTCAACTCACCGCACTTGGATGGCCTGGGGGCAGGGTTGCTCTTCTGGGGGAGGGTCATTCATTCAGTTGGCTTTTGGCTTTCCTTTCTCCGGGCTGGGCCTGGTTCTCTTTTGAACACTTGTCGTGCTGCAGCAAGAGCATCTTTGGATTTGGGGCTGTGGAGCTGTGGTTCACCCGCGGGAGTCACAGCCGCGGCCTGGACCTTTCCACCTCGCACCCTCGCTCACCCTCCTTCATGATGCCTGGAGGATGCCTGAGACAATTGCCTTGAAGATGAGGAAAGTGTTTCACTGTTTATTTTCTCCATGGGATGTAGCAGGCAAGCATGCTTAGGACAGAAAACCACTGAGTTTACTCAGGTAAATGCGGGCCTAATACAAGAGTATTGGGTTCCAATGTTGGTTAACCAATGCAGTTAATACGCAATGCTTCTATTTTTTTTCTTTTTGTAATCTTATTTAGAAGTTTCAAACAAAAAGACATAGTCTGCTGATCAATAAACATGGAGCTGCCCTCTCCCACTGGCTCATTTTCCAGTGGCTGCGTGCTGGCCTCTCGGAGCAGAGTGTGGATCCCTGGATCCAGGTTGAACCGGGGGAGAAGAGTTAGGGAGAGGGTGTGCCTGTGAGCCCCAACTCTTCCTGTGGAGAGAAACCCAAAATGCAGCCGCTTCAGAAGGAAAGCGGCCCCATCAGGTGGGGACAGAAGAGGGTAGGCAGCAGAGGCCAGGTCTGTGGACAAAAGCCCCACTTCAGAGTGGTTGGAAGCCAGGACAGGAGGGACTCATGGAGGTGACCGCTTCACAGGAGTCCTTTCTCCAGTCGTGCTAGGGAGGAGCCCCTGCCTGTCCAGCACTGCCCCTGCCTCTTGCTGTACCTTGCCAGTGTGCCCTCCCCCCGCCCACTACCATAGTAGGCATCTGGCTTTTCCCACCAACCCATCTACCTTTTTGGTGGTCCAGACCTACAGTCTCCTTGCAGAGCACTCCTCCTCCCACCCTCACTTCAAGTGAGGTTTGGATGAGATTGACCACATCCCCTTGGTCACAAATATTGGCTCAGGAATGGACATGTGGCCCTGTTCAAGCCTATGAGAGCCAGGACCCCCAGACTTATGTTAGAACTCTTGAGAGAGATACTCTGTCTTCTCTGAACCTTGCAGTATATAGAAATGAGCCTATTGATGCAACAATATAAATGGCACTGAGAGGGGTGTCCAGAGCTGCTGGGGTCAGGGGAGGGAGGTCAGCCTGGCAGAAGCCATCTTGTGGAGCATGAAAATGAAAGAGACCTTGAGAAAGGCCAGAGGAATCCAGGCCTGTGGTGACAACATTTGAGCTGCTGGATCAAACCTCACCTGAAGTCCTTCCTATTCCTACTAGATATTTTTTTCCACTGTGTGGGCCAATGCATTCCCTTTATACTGTGTAAGCCAGGCATGGTGGCTCACACCTATAATCCCAGCAATGCAGGAGGCTGAAGTGGGAAGATCGTTGAGGCCAGGAGTTCAAGACCAGCCTGGGCAACCTAAGAAGACCCTGTCTCTAAAAAAGAATTAAATATAAATAAATAAATAATAAAAATATAATGTTTAAACCAGTTTCACTTGAGATTTTAGTTACTTGCAACATAAATAATCCAAACTTTGTTCCGACCCACAGGGTTCTCATTTCACCAGGGGCTGCAATCAGTCGTGGCCAAACAGGAGCCAGTCCTTGCATTGTATGCAGTGGCTTTAGCTGCCGTTGAGCTAGAAAGGAAGAAAAGCAGTCCACAGCCCCCGCCAACAGCTTCAAAATGCCAATCCCTGTTGAGGTCTATGTGCGAAGCACCACGCAGTTCAGTCTGTCCTCCCCGCTCACAACATCACACAGGACTCCACGGGCCGAGCAGTTCAGTCTGTCCTCCCACGCTCACAACATCACACAGGACTCCATGGGCTGAGGGTCTTACTAGGAGAAGGAACAAGCTCAGTCTCCCTGGGGTAAGCGGGTGGGATGAGGGACTTCCTAGAAGAAACAGGATTTTAACTGGGGCAGGCAGGATAGGTGAATGTGGATGATGGAGAATGGGAAAGGACGTTCAAAGCTGAAAGAGCAGCTGAAGCCCAGCCTTGGGGCAGGAGAGCTCTGGTCCTGCTCAGGAAATGGTGAGTGGCCCATGGAGAGCACCCAGAGTGAGGGGGGCAGACTAGCCTGGTTAGGTAAGCTGGCAGGCTTCCAAGGCCTGGCTGAGGCAAGGTCTGGCAAGTCTGGATTTTCCTTCCCAGGCTGTGGGAGGCTTCACAGGCACGAGCAGAGCTGCACTGTGGAAAGGTGCGGGGTGGTGGTGTCCAGGATGCCGAGTTAGGGGGTCCGTGATGAGGACCCCCAGGGGCAGTGAGGGCAGAAGGGGGGGTGCACGGGAGGACCGCCACAGCAACTGCTGCGAGCAAGGGAGGGACGCAGGGTGTCTGGAAGCCAGCCGCTGCAGAAGGGGCCTGGCAGGGAGAGGACAGCAGGAGAGGAAGCGTCTCTCAGACGCAGGAAGCCGCACCCCACCCGAGACCACGGCACCTCTCAGCGTCACCCCTGACTGCCTGCAGTGGGCCCAGGCGGTTCAAGTGTGACTCATCCCTAGCCCAGCTCTCAAGGGCGCGCTGAGCGGCTGTCCTGCTGTGGGCTGTGGCTGCCAGGAGCGCCTCCCTGAGGAGCGGGCTGTCGCTTCAGAGGCTCCAGGGCCGCTGGAAGACACCCACACACACACACCCCAGCCCACACTGCTACCCTGAGTTTAGCCAGAGGCGGGTGAGACCCCCAGAATTAGAACTCGCCTTCACTCTGGCATGTAGTCCACGGCTGCTCGGGGAGGAAGGGATGGGCGCCCACCAGCTCCCTCTGCACCCCTGCCTCCGAGCCCCGGGCCACGGCCAGCTCTGTGGAGCCCAGAGTTAACACCGTGTCTCTAATTTTGGAGGAGACTCCACAGCCCTCGCAGTTCCAGGTCACCCCTTCCTCCAGGGAGCCTACCCTTCAGCCCCGGGCTAGGCAGGCTGCACTCTGGCAGGGCCTGGAAAGCCAAGCCCAGGGTCTGTGAGGCCCTCAGTCTATGGGCTGTTCCCTGGGGGTGAATGAGAAGACCACGGCCCAGGACGCTCCCTCATCCCCTCGCCCTGGGTGCTCACAGAGAGGCCCCAAGAGGGTACAGAGGGCAGTCTCAGATTGGGAAGTGCGTCCACAGGCTTCCCACAGAGGCTCTGCCCTTTGGTACCTCCTACGCAGACTGCAGCACCCCATGCGGTGGCAGGGCCGCTCCATGGGCCTCTGCGTCCTGGGAGCCAGGACCCCCACCTGGAGTTGGAGAAGTTGCTGGCGGGGAAGGGAGGATGATGAAGGAGGACATCATCTGGCAATGGCCCTGGAGCATTCCTGAACCACCCCCTCCCTGTCTGGGCCACGCCCTGTGGCAGGTGGGAGGACAATGCCGCCTGTGTGCCGTCACCCCAGCACGCTGGCTCAAGGGGAGGGCTGTGGTGCAGCCCTGCTCCAGCCTTGGCCTCTCCTGATGTCCCTCTCCCTCCCTCCACAGCCCCTGCTATCTGCCATCTCCATCCGTCCAGCTGGGCCGCCTCTGTGGAACCCAGGCATCACCAAGGTAAGCAGCCCCTGCTATCTACCATCTCCATCCGTCCAGCAGAGCCGTCTCTGTGGGACCCAGGCATCACCAAGGTAAGCAGTTTCCTGTCTTCCTTCCACCTGTCCCAGTCACTGTGGTGGAGGGACCTGGCAGCAGGGGCTCTGAGAAGAAGAATCTGGAAGGTGGGGTGGGGCAAAGGGGGCCCTGGGCCATTCAAGCACAGGGGACCAGAAGCACTGGCCCTTACCTGGCTGGGCTCCAAGCTGCAACCCCCATGAAATGTGAGGACAGTCTGGCAAGGCGGGACCCCAGGCCCCTGGTAGAGGGGCCATCTCCATTCACATCATCCCCTAATCTGCATGCCCTCCAGGTTTAGGGAGCCATCCAGCAGCTCCTCATCCCCAAAGTCTGCAGGGCTGATGGCTGGTCAGCCCCACAGTCCCCGGGAGCTCCTCGGGGCTGCAGGGCACCGCAGCAGGAGGCCCAGCACAGAACTCCGGGTCCCGCCCAGTCCAAGTCTCACCATGGACTCTCAGTACGAGACGGGCCACATTCGCAAGCTACAGGCCCGGCACATGCAGATGCAGGAGAAGACTTTCACCAAGTGGATCAATAACGTCTTCCAGTGCGGCCAGGTGAGTATAGCCAGCTGTGACCCACAGCCCACCCATACCAGGCCCCCAGCTCTGGCCAGTGGGCCTCCGGGGTGAGCTGTGGGGTCATCTGCCTGAGGCCAAGCTGAGGCCAGAGCTCCTTCTTCCAAAGCAGCTGCTCTGGGTCGTACCTCTCAGGTCCCAGGATGGGAGGACAGGTGAGGCTGGGCTGACCCCATACTTACCCCTGTCCCCTCCCCAGGCGGGCATCAAGATCCGGAACCTGTACACAGAGCTGGCTGACGGCATCCACCTCCTGCGGCTGCTGGAGCTCATCTCAGGGGAGGCCCTGCCACCCCCGAGCCGGGGCCGCCTGCGTGTGCACTTCCTGGAGAACAGCAGCCGAGCTCTGGCCTTCCTCAGGGCCAAGGTGGGCCCCAGGGAAAGGGGTCTGGGATGGTGCTGGGGCAGGCAGCTGGGACAGGCTGAACTACTGGGTCACCTTTCCTGCGCCAGGCCACTGGGCAGAACAGAGGAGCTGGGGCCTGAGTACAGGAGGAGTGGCTGGGACACAGAGGAGCAGAAGCCACGCCCTCCTCGCACAGCACCCCTGACTTGGAGAGCACCCAGCTGGCCATGGCAGTAGCAATCCAGGTCCCTACTGGGGTGGAAAATGTCACTGTCTGTCATAAGAGAGACTCACAGGATTCTAGGCCAAAAGAATCTTAGCGTTCTCTTAGGCTTTTCATTTCACAGATGAGGAAACAGAGGCCCTGAATTATTTACCAGGCAAGATCGATGGTTAACCAGCCAACAGAGCCCAGATGTGGGACTAAGACGGCAGGTGGGGAAGAGGAGCAGGGCCTGTCTTGGAGAAGGAGGGAGGAGGCCTCAGCAAATGGGGGGAGGCAGAGTCACCTGAAAGAAAGGGACAGGCTAAGGAGATGGGCACTAAAAGGAGGCCGGAGCTCCAGGGACAGAGGGACCCTCATGGCCAGGGTGAGGGGCTGGTGCAGGGGTGGGGTGGGGCAAAGGGATCATTGGAAACCGGGAACTGTGAAGGCCAAGGGCTCCTGGAGGTGGCTGTCCCTGGAGGCTGTGAAGTCACTGAGCTGGGCCTGGCTGGATGGAGCCTGACTGTGCGTGCCTATCACTATATCCTGGAGTGGAGCTTACATCCAGCCTCCTGGGGTGTGTTGGAGGAAAGCCAGGGAGGGGAGAAGCCCAAGCAAAGGGAATGGGAGTGACTGCTGTCCTGAGCAGGTGCAAGAGCAGAACGCTGCCAGCTGCAGAATGCTGGGCCCTAGTTGATCCAGGGACAATGACCCTGTGAGCCAGTCATCTCCCCTCCAGGAACTGGGGAAGGGTGTAAGCCCCACAGCCTTTGTCAGAGGTGTTGCAGCTCTCCCCAAGCTTTAATATACAGCATGTCACTGATACCTGTGAGGGTGACATCCTTGTCTCCATACACATAGGAGGCAACTGTGGTCTAGAAAGGATGACGGAGTTGCCGCAAACACACAGGGAATGTGTGGCAGAATGAGGGATGCATTCGCTTATGGAGATGCTCCCATGCCCTGGGCATTCTATGCAGGCGCTGGGCTCCACTAAGCAAAGCCCAGACCCCCACCTCAAGGCACCTGGCTTCAAAGGGAGACAGATTCATTGAACCCAGATCAGCGGTGTGCTGGTAAACGTTTAACAAATGATTCTCTGGGGGAAATAAAAACTCCAGTGTGCTGTATTCGCTGATCCTATGGCGTTAATACCCCCCATCACGGTGAGTTTAAGCCACCAGCGTGACATCGCTCAATAGGAAGTCAGGAGGATAGGCTCTCAGGAGCTGGGAGGAGCAGACAAACACCCCACTCACCAGAGGCTCCAACTCTAAGCCAAGGTGATTGACATGGCAGGTGGAATCCACCCCAGGAGCATGGGTGGGATCCTTTAGAGGCCAGCCAGATATACCAAAGTTTACCTAGGGGGACACCCAGGATTGCAGCTCCTCCCACAGGGCTAGTAGTGGCCGGCTGAAGCCAGTTGCCCTTCAGGTCTTATGGAAAGTCTCACTCCTTTTCTTTCTCCATTCAGTACTTACTGATCGATTGCCTGCTGTGTGCCACTCCCCTAGGATACACCAGAAAACAAAGCCAAGATCCTCACTTGAGCAGGGCAAGGGGATCGAGAGTGTGTATTTGGGTGGGAGAAATAGTCCTTAAGTTTCTGTGTTAAATAAAGTGGTCAGGCTAGGCAACATCTGAGTGAAGAGTTAAAGGCAGGGAGGTGAATAGCCATGCAGATACCTGGGAGAATACTTTCAGACAGCAGGCACGGCCCTGCAAAGGCCTGAAGTCCTGTGCTTAGAATCCCATGGAACTATAAGAATCCCATGGGCCTTGGAGCTATGTGATTCCACAGGGTGGAAGATGGAGCCACAGGGGGCTGGGGGCCAGATCCTGCAGGGCTTCTCCCCTTGACTCACCCATCCTCCCTGTCCAAATGGCAGGATGTAGGGCAGAGGAGTCTCAACTTTGGTGTACCTAAGAGCCACCCAAGGTGTTGTTCAAGTGCAAATTCCCAGGCTCTGGCCCAAGACAGTCTGACTGGGTGGAGCCTGGGAGTCTGGATTTATAGCTGGCCCTGTTGGAGCCGGAACAGAAGAAGAGGGCTGAGATTTGGGTGTGAGCCCAGGGACCCAGCCACCCCCTGAAGATCCCAGGACACCCTGGGAGATGGAGGCAGACAGTTGCTATTGTCTGTTGGGCTCACACATTGACTGTTATGACCCCTCATTTCCAAACCCTGCAGCTGAACCACTGATCTTGGCCCAGGTCTACCTGTAGCCCACACACAGGGAGTCCTCCTGCTCTGAGGGCCCAGCCCAGTTCACCAGGTTGGGGCTTCACCCAGGTGGGCTTGAGGCCATGGCTCCAACCAGGCAGGAAGCCTTTGCTTTCCTGGACTTATCCCCTGCCTGCTTCTCCCTGAGGGAACTCCCAGCTGGGGCAGGATAGATTCCAGGATGCTCCCATCCCGCAGCTGGCCCCCTAAGCTTTTGGTGACTGAGTCCTCTCTGGACATGGGCTTCATGGCTTAGCCCATCCAACTGTGCCCACAGGTGCCAGTACCACTCATCGGGCCAGAGAACATCGTGGACGGAGACCAGACACTCATCCTGGGACTCATCTGGGTCATCATTCTGCGTTTCCAGATCTCCCACATCTCCTTGGACAAGGTATGGCTCAGTCCCCAGTACCCAGCACCTGGTGACCCAGCCCAGCCCTGGCCTCACCTCAGACCCCTGGGGATTCATAAGTTCCACACAACTTTTATGATCCCCATAGGAGATCCTGGAAACTGCAAAGTCCATATTCACTCTCCAACCATGGGTGAAGAACCCAGGATACCAGAGATATTGTAACATTGTAATATGCTAAAGTGAGGGCCAGGGCCATGGGCTTCAAACCAGGTCTGGGCAAGTCATTCACTAGTGGGGGGTTCAGGGTCACTGCCCAGCACCCACTTTCACCCCTGTGTGGTGCTCCCCACTTGGCACTGAGGCTCTGTAACTTCCATTACACCACAATGTACTGTTGGGAAAAATGAAATGTGTGGAGGGAGTCCCAGCTCTGGAGGTTTACAAAGTCCCTGGCACCCTACACACCAAAGATACAGCATTTCTTTCATGGTCCCCAGCTTCCTTCATTCCACCTCTTTCCCCCACACTGGATCAGAAAGACTATAAACTCTTTGTGGCACATGCCTGTAGTCCCAGCTCTCGGGAGGGCTCAGGTGGGAAGCTAACCTGAGCCCAGGATGCTGAGGGTGTGATGAGCCGAGATCACACCACTACACTCCAGCCTGGGTCACAGAGTGAGACCGTGTCTCAAAAAAAAAAGAAAGAGTCCTTATAGTTATACTTTTTCATAGTTTCATGATTTCCAAAATGCCACCTAAAACTCAATTCTAGTAGGTAAGGAAAGCCAACCTGGAGAATGAAACCCTCATGAAAAGAAGCCAGAGATCTGGCAGAAGTCCAGGATGGCCTGGAAACTCAGGGCCTGAGCCCCAGGAGAGCAGGGGTCTTGTGTGTCTGCAGGCTGAGCATCTATTTGAAGGCTGAAGGGACGGATGAATTTCTAACTGACCTCAAGCCCTTTCAGGAAGCCATACTCACCTCCTCAGGCCCCTGGCCAGTTTCAGGTGTCCCCTGCAGCCCAGGCCCTTGGGAGCAGCAGGTGGGCATCCTCCCTGACCAGCACCGTCTCTGTCTGTCTGCAGCCCCCTCCAGCCCTGCTCCCTGCTGACTCAGATATGTTTGGGCTCAGGCTAGCCCCGATCCCTCACAAGCCATCCCAGCATTTTCCTTAGTTCCGTCTGCCAGCCTGGCCCCACCATGCAGGGTACTGGGGCCTGACCTCGCTGGGGCCCAGGGCCTCGAGACTCCACTCCCCCTCATGTGGGCACCATGCACGTCCTTCCTACCCAAGCTCTGGGGCCCAGAGGGCAGGGGAAGTGCAGCCTGCTGAGCCTTGATATTTTGAGTTTATAAACAGGAAGTGAGGCTGGGCATGGTGGCTAACACCTGTAATTCCAGCACTTTGGGAGGCCAAGGCAGGCAGATTATTTAAAGTCAGGAGTTTGAGACCAGCCTAGCCAACATAGTGAAACCCCGTTCCAACTAAAATACAAAAAATTAGCTGGGCATAGTGGTGCCTCCATGTAGTCCCAGTTACTCAGGAGGCTGAGGCAGGAGAATTGCTTGAACCTGGGAGGCAGAGGTTGCAATGAGCCGAGATCGTGCCACTGCACTCCAGCCCATAACACTGGGCCTGGCTCACAGAAAGCCTGCAGTGACGGGACCCAGTTTCATGAAGCCCAGCCACAATCCCATGAGCCTAGGTCAGTTAGCACAGCACCTGGCCCGTCAGAAGGGCTCAAAAAACGGGAGCTGTTGCTGTGTGATCACCTGTGGTGACACAAAGCCAGCGCCTCTGCAGTGACGGCTTTTCCCTTGCTCCACTTCTTTGGAAGGCCAGTCACTCTCACCCCCAATCCTTGCCCACCGTGGATGAAATTGGGCAAAATCAGATACTCTGAAGAGAGGAGAGTCACACTGGCCCCGGGCCAGGGAGGAGCAGGATCCTGCTGTGGCCAGCCTGCCTCTCCCACAGCCTGCAGGCTCTCTGCCTCCCCACCCCATCCCCGCATGGTGACCCTGCTGCCCTGTCCCGCCAGGAGGAGTTTGGGGCCAGCGCAGCCCTGCTGTCCACCAAGGAAGCCCTGCTGGTCTGGTGCCAGCGGAAGACAGCCAGCTACACCAACGTGAACATTACAGATTTCTCCCGAAGCTGGAGCGATGGGCTGGGCTTCAATGCCCTCATCCATGCCCACAGGTGTGACCCCACCCTTGTCAGGAGGCCTCTGCCCACTGAGCCAACAGCTCCTGGGTTTGGGTCCTCAGCCCACCCGTTCTCCCACATCCCTAGGCTTGAAGGAGGGAAAGTGGACACAGATGTAGAAAGGGCTGATGGGTTAGCCCCTTTCCCTTCCCTAGACAATGCCATGAGATTGGCCAAGTTTACCTTTGACCCCAGCCTTCTCCACTTTCTGTGCCCCTCAATTCTATTCATGTTCTACACCCTGCAGCACCTGCCCTTTGGAGATTCCTCCAGCCCCCCAGCCTGGTCCCTGTGCCGAATGAACTCTCCTCTTTCTCTGTCAGAGTCCTCCTCCTTCAACAGGGCCTCAGATAACTGTCGGGAAAACGAATTCACAAGAAGATGTGAATGGCCAATAGGAGCATGAGTGCATTTAAGAATCTACTTAAAGGAAAGCAGTAGGTTCCTGCTGGTGAAGAGCCCTTCTCACTGTCTGTCCAGGCCAGACCTGTTGGACTACGGCTCCCTGCGTCCAGACCGCCCACTGCACAACCTTGCTTTTGCTTTCCTGGTGGCTGAGCAGGAGCTGGGCATTGCTCAGCTGCTGGACCCCGAGGACGTGGCAGCCGCACAGCCAGATGAGCGCTCTATCATGACCTACGTCTCCCTCTACTACCACTACTGCTCCCGCCTGCATCAGGGGCAGACTGTCCAGAGGAGACTCACTAAGGTGGGGGAGAAAGGAGGGGTGGGGTGAGCAAGGGCTCCAGAGGCAGACAGGCCTAAGCGTGAAGCCTGCCCTGCCACGTACTAGCTGTGTGGCCTTGGCCAAGTCACCCAACTTCACTGTGCACCCTCTATCACATGGAGATGATGATGCCTGGATAACAGAAGGCCCTTGTGAGTGTTCCAGGGAGCATGGGTAATGGACCCAGCACGGTGCCTGGTATACAAGGGAAGCCAGGGGAGGAATGGCCCTTCCTGGGCCTCCCCCTTCTTCCCGACTCTCGGGCTATTAAGCTTCTAATGGGATTAAAAGGCTTAGAGAGCCAGGATTCTGCAAGGACAGGCACAGAAAAGGCTCTGCCAGCGGGGGCTACGCAGAATTCATGTTTTTGGGGGGCTTCCTTACTCTCTGGACACGATGGCAGAGGCTAAGGCCTGGAAGTGCTCTTCTCAAGGTGGGTATCTCATTTGGGGTGTGGGTGGGGGTGACACAGGCCAAGGGCTGTGAGCTGCTTTATGGGGTAGGAGGCTCAGGGAAGGGAAAGGCGGCCTAGAAAAAGAACAGCAGCCTGAAGGGCCTCAACCCCACCAGTGAGGCCAAATGGGTAAAACAAGAGGAAGAAGGCAGGATAGCCTCACCCTCAGTCATGGAGAGGGTCCCCAAGCTCCTGGGTCTGAGTGTGCAATCCAAGCAAACCCAGTTCTCTGGGGTGGGGGTACCACCACTTCAAAGCATCTTTGGCTCAGAGAAGTAGCTACAGCCCACCTGGGGAACTCTGGCTGGCACTCAGTGCCCATTCCAGGGCCTGCCCTGAGAAGGACCCTGACCCCTTCCTATGCCCTCCACCAGATCCTGCTTCAGCTCCAGGAGACAGAGCTGCTGCAGACCCAGTACGAGCAGCTGGTGGCTGACCTTCTACGCTGGATTGCAGAGAAGCAGATGCAGCTGGAGGCGCGGGATTTTCCAGACTCGCTGCCCGCCATGCGGCAGCTACTGGCAGCATTCACCATCTTCCGCACCCAGGAGAAGCCACCCCGGCTACAGCAGCGAGGGGCCGCAGAGGCCCTGCTCTTCCGGCTACAGACAGCACTCCAAGCCCAGAACCGCAGGCCCTTCCTGCCTCATGAGGGCCTGGGCCTTGCAGAGCTGTCCCAGTGCTGGGCAGGGCTGGAGTGGGCAGAGGCTGCAAGGAGCCAGGCCCTGCAGCAGAGGCTACTGCAGCTGCAGCGGCTAGAAACCCTGGCCCGGCGCTTCCAGCACAAGGCAGCCCTCCGGGAGAGTTTCCTTAAGGATGCAGAGCAGGTGCTAGACCAGGCCAGAGCCCCGCCAGCCAGCCTGGCCACAGTGGAGGCAGCCGTCCAGAGGCTGGGCATGCTGGAGGCTGGCATCCTGCCCCAGGAGGGGCGCTTCCAGGCCCTGGCTGAGATCGCAGACATCCTCCGGCAGGAGCAGTACCACAGCTGGGCAGATGTGGCCCGCAGGTGAGCCCCAGCACATGAACTCTCCCCACAGCTGGCTGAGGCTGTCCTACCACACCCCCATCCTTCCATGTCATGTGCCCATTCTTTGCCAGAGAGGAGAGGGATGATTTATGGGTTCAGGGATCCCTCTACAAAGATCTATCTCCCAGTGATGCTTGCAAGCCCACTATCAGTAATTCATTCCTATTGGTGAAGCACTTTCACTTTCTAGGTAGCCTCTGATTCATCCACTAAACAAGAATTTTTTGAGTGTCTACTATGTCCCACACACTGTGCTAGGTGCTGGAGATTTAGTAGAGAAGAGAAGAAACAAAAATTCCTTCCCTCATGAACTTACACACTACTAAGGAAAACAGACATATAAGAAAAATTCATAGCATGTGGTAATAAAAATAATAATAATAAAGGAGAGGCCGGGCGCGGTGGCTCATGCCTGTAATCCCAGCACGTTGGGAGGCCGTAGCAGGCGGATGACCTGAGGTCAGGAGCTCAAGACAGCCTAGCCAACATGGCAAAACCCCGTTTCCACTAAAAAATACAAAAATTAGCCAGGCGTGGTGGCGGGCGCCTGTAATCTCAGCTACTCGGGAGGCTGAGGCAGGAGAATCGCTTGAACCCAGGAGGCAGAGGTTGCAGTGAGCAGAGATGGCGCCATTGCACTCCAGCCTGGGAGACAGAGTGAGACTCCATCTCCAAAAATAATAACAATAAAGGAGGATAGGGGAATGAATATGAGGTGCTAAGTTTGAGTGGCTAGAGGGGATTCACTGGGAAGTTGACTTCTAAGTAAAAACCAGAAAGAAGTGACGAGCTGGCCATGCAGACGTGGGAGACAGAGTATTCTAGGCGGAGGAAACGGCAAATGCAGTGTCCTTTTAGGCGAGCACATGCCTGGCAGGTTTGAAAAATAGCCTGGAGGCCAGTGTTGGCCAAAGTGAACAAGTGGCAGGAGCTGAGGTCAGGGGGGCACAGGGGTGACGAGGTAGGGAAGGAGGTCAAGTCGGGCCTTGCAGGGCACAGTAACGATTTGGCTTTTA
The DNA here is from genome assembly GCF_000001405.40 of Homo sapiens. Taxonomy (NCBI): domain Eukaryota; kingdom Metazoa; phylum Chordata; class Mammalia; order Primates; family Hominidae; genus Homo; species Homo sapiens. The sequence continues at coordinate 41,884,697 of NC_000015.10, read as the reverse complement.
CTCAGAGAGATGATGGGAAATCAGTGGAGGGCTGGAGCAGACGAGTGACACAATCTGACTTTTGTTTTGCGATGCTCACCTGGATGTCATGTTGGGAATAGATCCAAGGGGCAAAGGCAGAAGCAGAGAGACCAGTTACAAAGCTATTGCAGTAATCCAGGACGGAGCAGCAGTGGTGACAAGGGGTGGGGTTCTGGATAGATTTTGCAGGTAGTGCCAAGTAGAATTTGCAGACAGATCAGATGTGGCATGTGAGAAAGTGAGTTATCAAGATGTTAGGCCGGGCCTGGTGGCTCATGCCTGTAATCTCAGCACTTTGGGAGGCCAAGGCGGGTGGATCACCTGAGGTCAGGAGTTCAAGACCATCCTGGCCAACATGGTGAAACCCGTCTCTACTAAAAATACAAAAATTGGCCGGGCGCAGTGGCTCATGCCTGTAATCCCAGCACTTTGGGAGGCTGAGGCGGGCAGATCACGAGGTCAAGAGATCAAGACCATCCTGGCTAACACAGTGAAACCCCGTCTCTACTAAAAATACAAAAAAATTAGCCAGGTGTGGTGGCGGGCACCTGTAGTCCCAGCTACTCGGGATGCTGAGGCAGGAGAATGGCATGAACCTGGGAGGCGGAGCTGGCAGTGAGCCGAGATCGTGCCACCGCAGTCCGGCCTGGGCGAAGGAGTGAGACTCTGTCTCAAAAATAAATAAATAAAAAATAAAAATAAAAATAAAAATACAAAAATTAGCCGGGCATGGTGGCCCATGCCTGTAATCCCAGCTACTCAGGTGGCTGAGGCAGGAAAGTCACTTGAACCCGGGAGGTGGAGGTTGCAGTGAGCCAAGATTGCACCACTGCATTCTAGCCTGGGTGACAGAGCAGATTCTGTCTCAAAAGAAAAAAAAAAAGATTTTAGTCTGGGCGCCTGGAAGGATGGAGTTTTCATCAACTGAAATGGGGACTGCATCCAAGTTAGGGGGCCCCAAAGGCCTGATCCTTCCAGGCCCTCCTTCTGGCTTCTCTGCATGTGTCCAAAGGTAGGACACACTGCCTCTACCACCGCCTGCCAGGATGCTGTCAGAGTCCATAGACCTTGCCCCAGCCATGGAGGTCAGACTCTTCCAGGGCAGCCAAGCCCCACCACAGACCAGGAACCCTGAAGTAGCTTCCCTGCCCCAACCCAGAGGAGATCTCCCTTATTCTCATATCCTCTAGGCAGGAGGAAGTTACCGTGCGCTGGCAGAGGCTCCTTCAGCATCTACAGGGACAGAGGAAGCAGGTGGCAGACATGCAGGCTGTGCTGAGCCTGCTGCAGGAGGTGGAGGCTGCCTCCCACCAGCTGGAGGAGCTGCAGGTGGGCACTGGACCAGCAGGCCCTTGGGAAACACAGCAAGGTGGGGGACTTCCCCAGTGCCAGTGCTCAGAGGGACCCAGCACCTTGGGACCACTGCAATGACCATCATCTCTGGCCAGGAGCCGGCCAGGTCCACCGCCTGTGGGCAGCAGCTGGCAGAAGTGGTGGAGCTGCTGCAGAGGCATGACCTGCTGGAGGCTCAAGTCTCGGCCCACGGAGCCCATGTGAGCCATCTTGCTCAGCAGACAGCAGAGCTGGACTCCTCCCTGGGCACCAGTGTGGAGGTGCTGCAGGCCAAGGCCAGGACACTGGCCCAGCTCCAACAGAGCCTGGTGGCTCTTGTCAGGGCCCGGTAAGAGCCTGCCCCAACTCTTCCACCTTTCCCAGAACTTTTCTGTAACCCAAATTATCTCCTGCCCAGGTTAAAGTACTGTTGGCCTGCCAGTTTTCTCCACACTGACCCTCACTTCCAAAGCCTCCGTCTCACCTGTTGAGTCATCCAGGGAAAAGAAAAATCCTGTCTAAGGGGAGTGTCTAAACCCGGAGGGGAACCCACTGCCCATGCCTCACGACTCCCCATGTCCTTCGGTGGCCCCTATTGTCCCTCAGGCGGGCCCTGCTGGAGCAGACCCTGCAGCGGGCAGAGTTCCTGCGCAACTGTGAGGAGGAGGAAGCCTGGCTGAAGGAGTGCGGACAGCGGGTGGGGAATGCGGCCCTGGGCCGGGATCTCAGCCAGATCGCAGGCGCCCTGCAGAAACACAAGGTGTCAGCTCCCCGAGCGCGCCCGCCGGTCGCCAGCGCCTTGCCCTTCCCTCTCGGGCCCCCGGCCCCCTCCCCTGTTCTGCCTTCACTGAGCCCCCTGCTCTGCCCCCCGCTAGGCCCTGGAAGCTGAGGTCCACCGCCACCAGGCCGTGTGCGTAGATCTCGTGCGGAGGGGACGCGACCTCAGCGCCCGCAGGCCCCCAACGCAGCCGGATCCCGGGGAACGGGCAGAGGCCGTTCAGGGAGGGTGGCAGCTGCTCCAGACCCGGGTGGTGGGGCGGGGCGCACGGCTGCAGACAGCCCTGCTGGTCCTGCAGGTAGTGGGGAGGGGTGGAGGCGGGGTGGGGGCGGGGCCCGGCGAGGCGGGGGTGGGGGTGCCAGCACCTGCCCGCGCTCAGCCGCGCCCCTTCACCCACACCACCCCCGACCCCCTCCCACAGTACTTCGCGGACGCGGCGGAGGCGGCTTCGTGGCTGCGCGAGCGGCGATCCTCGCTGGAGAGAGCGTCCTGCGGTCAGGACCAGGCGGCCGCCGAGACCCTGCTGAGGCGCCACGTGCGGCTGGAGCGCGTCCTGCGCGCCTTCGCGGCCGAGCTGCGGCGGCTGGAGGAGCAGGGGCGGGCGGCCTCGGCCCGGGCGTCGTTATTCACGGTGAGGACGGGGACAGGGAAGGGCGCCTGGTCTCCCTTGCTCCACCGCGGCTGGGCCACACAGAGGACAAAAATGGGAGGGCCTTTGTGGCCTCTGGCCCAGGATTCGTGGCCTTCCCGTGGGTGTAGGTGTCCCTCACCCCAGTCCTCAGTGGCATCTCACTTGTTGACCTAGCCCAGAAGTAGTGGAATCCTGTCTGCCCACGTCAACCGAGGGCATCCAAATACAGCTTGGCCTGGCTCCTGTTGCCGGCAGTTTCAGACCGTTAAGCACTTTCCTCCAGGAAGGTCCCCTCCACTTTCACCCAGGCCAGTAGTGACTGTCTCTCCTGACTTAGCCCGCCTTGTTGGTTTGGGGTGGCCTCATCACTCACCCAGACTGCCTTCTGACACCCCTTGCTCAGTTCATTGAGCCCCCAAAGTTCTTTAAAACACGTATAGCTTGGCTCACAGCCCTCTTTCAAGAAGCTGTGTATGCAGCACACGATGTGGAAATCAAAGCCATCAGATCCTGTGCTCACGTTTGGCCCCTCGACCCTCAGCCCCAAGGAAGCTTCCTGTCCCCCAGACCCATGTCCCACACACCCTTTGAGCTACAGCTCAGCGCCTCCAGGTCTCAGGGCACGGAGGTAGGGGTGGCCTGGCCAAAGCCCCTGCTGCTTGATGGGGTCGCCTGTAGACGCGCTGCCCTTTGTCACACAGGTGAACTCTGCCCTGAGCCCTCCAGGAGAAAGCCTGAGGAACCCAGGGCCCTGGAGTGAGGCTTCCTGCCACCCTGGCCCTGGGGATGCCTGGAAGATGGCCCTCCCAGCTGAGCCTGACCCTGACTTTGATCCCAACACTATACTCCAGACACAGGACCACTTGAGTCAGGACTATGAGAGTCTGCGGGCCCTGGCACAGGTAACACTTCTTTTTCAAGAAATGCTCGAGTCCTTACTCTGTGCCAGCAGCTCCTGTGCAGTGATCCCAGGGGACAAGGCAGTGACTGACATGTTCCCTGTCCTCAAGGAGCTTTTATCATGGCTGAGAAGATGTCAGACAACTCATTAGATGCAGGTGTGATGGGATCACATGAGAAGGTAGCCCAGGTCAGGCTGGAGGTCAGGGAAGGCACCTTGGAGGGAAGGACTTTTAAGCTGAGGCTTGAATGAGAAACAGAAAGCAGGTAAACCCAGGGGTGCTGGCCAGGACCTGTGCAAAGGTAGGAAGGGGGCCCAGCGGAGGAAGCGAAGGCCCAGGTCCCTGCAGCACAGACGCTGGGGAGGCCATGGCCAGAGGAGAGACTAGAGAGGCAGGTGGGGGTGGAGCAGGCAGAGGGAGCGGCGTGGATTTCACCTTAGAGCAGGGCTGGCACTGAGAGGTTTCAGCAGGGCAAGACCAGACAGGAGCACACTGCCAGTGCCCTTTACCCTTCCCTAAGCCCTTGCCATCTCCCTCCAGGTGGTGCCAAGAGGGCTCTGAGAGAGGATGTGGGGCCCAGCAGTGAGGCAGGGACCCCCTCTGGCCCTGACCCTGGGCTCTGCTGGTGGGCTGGGATGGGGAGGAGCACCCCTTTGACCCGCTCTGAGAGCCCTGTCGGGGGCCCTGACCCTCACCCCAGCCTTGGGCCACCTCTCCCCAGCTCCGCAGGGCCCGGTTGGAGGAGGCCATGGCCCTGTTCGGTTTCTGCAGTTCCTGTGGGGAGCTCCAGTTGTGGCTGGAGAAGCAGACAGTGCTGCTCCAAAGGGTGCAGCCCCAGGCTGACACCCTGGAGGTCATGCAGCTCAAATATGAGGTACAGCCCTGGGAGCTTGGCACCTCCTCCTCGCCTTGCCCCTGCCTCCCTGTGGTCTGCTGCTGTGACTCAGTTTTCCAATTTAACTACCGTCCTGCCTGGGGGAGGGGAGCAGAGAGCTGGCCTGAATTTCGAGGGCCTCCTGGCCCTTAAGGACTCGGATGGCTGTCTTTCCAGGGGCAGGCAGCATGAGCATCCCTGTAGCAGAGAGCACCACTCAGGTCCGTCATAGGCTAGAGGGGAGTGTGGAAAGAGAAAAAGTCCCCCAAGAGGGCTGGGTCCTCCTTTTCCCTAGAACTTCCTCACTGCCCTGGCTGTGGGAAAGGGCCTCTGGGCTGAGGTCAGCAGCTCTGCTGAGCAACTGAGGCAGAGATATCCTGGGAACTCCACACAAATCCAACGACAGCAGGAGGAACTGAGCCAGAGGTGAGAATGAGGCAGGAGTGCAGGTGGTGAGGCAGGCAGACACAGTGCCCAGCCTGGGCCTGACTCACCTGCCTCCCGCCATGCCAGATGGAGAGGCTGGACGTGTCCGAGGCACAGGGAAGGGGCAAGGGACAGCCAGTCTGGCAGCTTCTGTCACGTGAGGCTCTGGCCAAGGCTCCCGGATGGATGGGGAGGTGTCCCTGTTGTGGAGACAACCTTGTACCCTCTGCCCAGGTGGGGGCAGCTGGAGGCCCTGAAGAGGGAGAAGGCCGTGCAGCTGGCACACAGTGTGGAAGTGTGCAGTTTTCTGCAGGAGTGTGGACCCACACAGGTCCAGCTGCGAGACGTGCTCCTCCAGCTGGAGGCCCTGCAGCCAGGGAGCTCAGAGGACACCTGCCACGCCCTGCAGCTGGCCCAGAAGAAGACCCTGGTGCTGGAGAGGAGGGTCCACTTCCTCCAAAGTGTGGTCGTAAAGTACGGCCAGCGCAGTGGTGGCATTGGGAGGCAGTGAGGACCATGGGAAGGCGTGGGCAGGGCAGTGGAATGAGGAAGGGACAGAAATTGGGATGGGGAGACAACAGGTAGGAGGGCTGTGGCAAAGATGGGGGGATGATCAGGAGAAAATGGTCCTGGGGACAGGAAGAGCCCTATGTTTTTTTATTTCTTTTTGAGACGGAGTCTTGCTCTGTCGCCCGGGCTGAGTGCAGTGGCGTGATCTCGGCTCACTGGAAGCTCAGCCTCCCGGGTTCACGCCATTCTCCTGCCTCAGCCTCCCAAGTAGCTGGGACTACAGGCGCCCACCACCATGCCTGGCTAATTTTTGTATTTTTAGTAGAGACGGGGTTTCACCGTTTTAGCCGGGATGGTCTCGATCTCCTGACCTCGTGATCTGCCTGCCTCGGCCTCCCAAAGTGCTGGGATTACAGGCTTGAGCCACTGCACCTGGCGAGCCCTATGTTCTTGCTGCCCCCAGGTCAAGGGTGGGGTGGGCATTGAGAGTCAGCACCACTCTCCCTGGGGGATGCAGGTTTGGAGAGAGGACATGTGCCTGGGGCACCAGGCCCAGGACAGGGCACTGACTGTGCAGCGCACCCTGTCTCCCAGGGTCGAGGAGCCAGGCTACGCAGAGAGCCAGCCTCTGCAAGGACAGGTGGAGACACTGCAGGGGCTGCTGAAGCAAGTACAGGAACAAGTGGCCCAACGGGCCCGGCGCCAGGCTGAGACTCAGGCCCGGCAGAGCTTCCTGCAAGAGAGCCAGCAACTGCTACTGTGGGCAGAGAGTGTCCAGGCTCAGCTGCGCAGCAAGGAGGTGTCAGTGGATGTGGCCTCGGCTCAGCGGCTGCTGAGGGAGCACCAAGACCTGCTGGAGGAGATCCACCTGTGGCAGGAGAGGTCAGGACAGGAGGGCAGAAGGGGTGCACTTTGGGCTGGGACCAGGGCTCTGGGCTCTGGGTTCAGGCCCAGAAAGAGCATGCGGGAAGTAGTGTGATTTCCCCAGGGAGGGGCCCAGACTGGTTGGTGTCTGGCATGCTGCTTGAGGCAAGTTTACACAGAGGAGGATATAATCTAGGACTGGGTCAGGCAGCCTGTACACTTCGAGGAGAGACCCAGGACACTGAGCTGCCTGGGAGGCTCTCTGCAGCCCAGGCCCGGCTGGCCCCCTCCAGGTGGGCCCGATGCATTGCTTTCAGTCAGGGCGTCTAGCCCCCCCTGCCGTCCTGGTAACACGGACCCCAGCGGCCCCTAAGTGGAATGGCTCAGGACCCACCCACGGGTCTGAGATCCCCACCTCCTTAGTAAGGTGGCGCCTCTCCTCCTGCAGGGATGACGTTATGGGCTGGCAGGCAGGCAAGGCCACCAGGGACAGTCCACAGGCTGTGCCCCTCCTGAAGGCACTTGACAGGTGGCCAAGTGGGCACTGAAATGCATCTGGCCCTCAGCTTGCCAGACTCCAGTACCTGGTTCTGCAGCGGCTCAGAGGAAGTGGAGCCTTGCTCTAATTCACACAAGGGTGTTACCTGTTCCCAAGCCACCTGCTGAAAGGAGCACCTTTTCTGATTGTTCAAAGCCTCCATGGGGGCTTGCAGTGGCCCTGCGGTCAGGTGCTTTTGTGGCTTGCGTGATTTTTCTCTCTCACACTGTGCTGCCTCCGCATGTCCTCTAGGCCGGGCATCGGCTGTTGGCAGTCCACACTTAAGGACGGCCGGCTGGAGCCGATGGGGGATTGGGAACCCCTGCACCCTAAGCACTCTGCTGGGCCTATCACATTCAGTGTCTCATTCATGATCCAAGATGCGTGAACCCTGGAGGTGAGAGGAGAAGGAGGCTGACGAGGGAGCCTGCTGGGGTTTGACTCTCTGCCTGTCATCCTGGTCAGGCTGCAGCAGCTGGACGCTCAGAGCCAGCCCATGGCAGCCTTGGACTGCCCAGACTCCCAAGAGGTGCCCAACACTCTGAGGGTCCTGGGGCAGCAGGGCCAGGAGCTGAAGGTTTTGTGGGAGCAGAGGCAGCAGTGGCTGCAAGAGGGGCTGGAGCTGCAGAAGTTTGGCCGAGAAGTGGATGGTTTCACTGCCACCTGTGCCAACCACCAGGCCTGGCTGCACCTGGACAACCTTGGGGTATGGAGCAGGAATGTGGAGCTAGGCTGTCACTCCCCATCACTGGAGGGAGCTCATCCCCTTGAGTCCAGAAGCCAGGCTGGGCAGGAGGCCCCTGGGGCAGTGGCGGGTGAGATGGTCCTGACCCCCATTCTCCCAGGCATGACCTCAGGTCTCTGCACTCCCAGGAGGACGTGAGGGAGGCCCTGAGCCTGCTGCAGCAGCACCGGGAGTTTGGGCGGCTCCTGAGCACCCTGGGGCCTCGGGCAGAGGCTCTGCGGGCACACGGCGAGAAGCTGGTTCAGAGCCAGCACCCAGCTGCACACACGTGAGCCTGGCCTCAGTCTGCAGCACCTGCAGATGACCCTTTCTCAGCCTGCACAGACGGCCGCCCTAGGGCTGGGAGAGTAGGGGGTGGGGGAGAGTGCACCTCGTGCTGGGGTGGGAGTCCTCTCCCATGCCCTCCTCCAACCCCCCCCCGCCCTCCAGGGTCAGAGAGCAGCTGCAGAGTATCCAGGCACAGTGGACCAGGCTCCAGGGGAGGAGTGAGCAGAGGAGGAGGCAGTTGCTGGCTTCCCTCCAGCTCCAGGTGAGGGTCTGGGCCCAGGTCGCATGACGCCTCCCTGAAAAGAAAGCCTGAGACCGTACAGAGCTCTGTGCAGCCTACAGAGCACTTTCCTCACGCGCTATGTCATTCATCCTCTCAACACCTTCTGTGAGGCAGGCAACACAGCTCAGGTTTTTCCTGAGGAGGAAAACAGGGGCTGTGGCCACACCACCCTCAGATGCAGGGCTAGGCACCAGCCCCCACCCACCGTGCTCTGAGACCCACTCTCGCCTGGTTCTTGGCAGGAGTGGAAGCAGGATGTGGCAGAGCTGATGCAGTGGATGGAAGAGAAGGGGCTGATGGCTGCGCATGAGCCCTCCGGAGCGCGCAGAAACATCCTGCAGACACTCAAGCGGCACGAAGCAGCTGAGAGCGAGCTACTCGCCACCCGCAGACACGTGGAGGCCCTGCAGCAGGTGGGGGACACGGGACAGAGGGTGCAGAGCCTCCTTGTCTTCAAATTCCCAACCCTACTGCACCACCTGTTTTCATGGAAGAGTCTTTGAAGGAAAAATCAGCCTCAGCGTGAACCTAGAACCTCCCCCTGCAAGCCTCCTTGATGCTGCTGGCATCCCCTTGGCACCCAAACCAGTCCCAAAGCTGCTGCCATCCATCCCTTCCCCTACAACTCTCCGTGGCAAGTCCCAGAGCCGGCCACCTCTACCAGAACACGGCTCTCCCCAGCCACCAACCTAATGCCGGCTCACCCCGCTCTATTTGCAGGGGTCAGAGGAAAGCCCCCCTACCTGCAGTTTTGGGGCCACATGAACTGCTTTCTTCCAGGCAGCCCGTGGAGTGCAGCTGTGGTCACCCCCTCACCTCCACTGCCACCCAGGTCCAGCCTGCTGCGGCCACTGGTGGTACCAGCAGCTCAGCCAAACTCCCTGGGCCTTTATCTCCACTCCAGGTTGGGAGAGAGCTGTTGAGTAGGAGGCCCTGTGGCCAGGAGGACATACAGACCAGGCTTCAAGGCCTGAGAAGCAAGTGGGAAGCTTTGAACCGCAAGATGACTGAGCGTGGGGACGAGCTCCAGCAGGCTGGACAGCAGGAGCAACTCCTGAGGCAGCTGCAGGTCCACTGGGAAGAGGGACAGGGCACAAGAGGGAGACGGAGGCCTGGCTGGGCTGGACAGAACGGGGAGGGAGAAGTCTGGGTGTTCTGCTGACCCTGGCTCTGCAGCCTCTGGAGGCTTCTGGCCTAGGACAAGCTGAGCGTGGCTTTCCGCTCAGTCGGCCAATGCAGGATTCTCTCCTGTGTGCCCAGCGGGTGGTCAGCACCACTTGAGTCCCCCAGGGAAGAAGAAGCGTGAGGGAACAGGGGAAGATTGGGCACTTCTGGCCGAGGGTTGGCAGTGGTGGGGACAGAGCTCCCTGGTGAATCTGGTCCTAAAAGTCCAACAGTCCCAGAGCCCGGGAAGGCCACTTGCTGTGCTGTACACAGAGAACCTAATGCAGCTCCATGCGTCCCTCCCAGGATGCAAAGGAGCAGCTGGAGCAGCTCGAAGGGGCCCTACAGAGCTCGGAAACAGGGCAGGACCTGCGCTCCAGCCAGAGGCTGCAGAAACGGCACCAACAGCTGGAGAGTGAGAGCCGGACCCTGGCTGCCAAGATGGCTGCCCTCGCCTCCATGGCCCATGGCATGGCCGCCTCCCCGGCCATCCTGGAAGAGACCCAGAAGCACCTCCGGAGGTGGGGTCTGTCCTCCCACCCACCTGTGTGTCACTCCTCCATGTGAATTTAAGGTCCCACAAGATGGCACCCACAGGACCGGGGTGTCCAGACCTCCTCCCTTATGAGTAGAGTCATTCTGGGATGGGAGGGTCGGAGACCCCATTATGCTTCCTTAGCAGGACCCCCACAGTGCAGTCACGCGAGTCATCTAGGCCATGAGGTGGGGCCCTGGCGCCCTTCCACTGCCTCCCTTTGTCAGATGAGGCTTTGCTCTATTCCCTGGTCTTGTTCTTCACGGGCCCTGGCTTGGCCAAGGAAAGAACCAGGAGCCTTGTGCTCACTCTGTTCCCAACCTCTCCAATCTCTTCCTCCTCCTCCTAGGCTGGAGCTTCTGCAGGGGCATCTGGCCATCCGGGGCCTGCAGCTGCAGGCCTCAGTGGAGCTGCACCAGTTCTGCCACCTGAGCAACATGGAGCTCTCTTGGGTAGCCGAGCACATGCCCCATGGCAGCCCCACCAGCTATACCGAGTGCTTGAATGGTGCCCAGAGCCTTCACCGCAAGCACAAGGTAATAGCCCTCTTCTTCCTACAGGATTACCGACATCCGCTTCCCAGACCTTAGAAACCCTCTGCCCCTACTCAGGTGTCCTGGCCTCTAAGCCCTCACCCCTGGGTATCCCAATTTCCAAATCTCTGCCCCAGCTATTTTGACCCTGGGGGTCTTGCCATGATTGGGGCCTGGAGCCACATCCATGGCTCTGCTCCGGACGCCCCTGGGTTAAGAGCAGCAGCCTCTCAAGCCACTCTGTGGCAGGAGCTCCAGGTGGAGGTAAAAGCTCACCAGGGGCAGGTGCAACGGGTGCTGAGTTCTGGGCGGAGCCTGGCAGCCTCAGGGCACCCCCAAGCCCAACACATCGTGGAGCAGTGCCAGGAGCTGGAAGGCCACTGGGCAGAGCTGGAGAGGGCATGTGAAGCGCGGGCCCAGTGTCTGCAGCAGGCTGTCACTTTCCAGCAGGTAGGATGCAGAGAGGTGGGGTTGGGGGAAGAGGCAGAAGTCAGGGCTCCTTGAGGGGCCACCTGTGGGACTCTCAGGGAGGCGGATCAGTGGTGGGGGCTCTGGGCTGGGAGCTGATGGGTGCCCCTATGGGCACAGAAGCCCCTTTGATGCTGGAGAGCAGGGGCAGATGTCTCCAGGGCTGACGGAGGGTCCTGTCTGAGATCCTCCAGGTGAGTTGGCCCCACTCTTGGCAGTACTTTCTGGATGTGTCAGAGCTGGAGGGCTGGGTGGAGGAGAAGCGGCCGCTGGTGAGCAGTCGGGACTATGGCAGAGACGAGGCAGCCACCCTCAGGCTCATTAACAAGCACCAGGTACCACGTCCTGAGCCTCCCCTGCAGTGTGGTCTGGGTGATGATGGACCACGGGGAGAGGGCTGTCACCCTCCCTCTCTCAGAGGCACGGAGCCCTGCTCTTGCTTCCTGGAGACACAGACAGCCCCATCCCCACTTCCCACCCAGATCCCACAGTGCCCCTTCTTCCAAGGCAACCTGGGCACTGTGATGTACACGCTTTCTCCCTTCATCTTCTTACGAGTCTTGCCTCTCCCTGTGGCCTTGGGGTTTCTCCGCCTCCTCTTGCTTCCTCTCTACCCCACCCCTGGCACCTTTCTCCTCTGTCAAGGTCACCTGCCCAGCCCGCTCCACATCTCCCACAGGTGTCTTCCTCCCAGGCTTTACCTGTCATCCTTTGAGTTAACCAAATGCCCTTCATGAAGCCGACCTCCTCCCACAAACATCCCCTGGCTGAAGGGAGGGAGGTCTCGAAGTCCCCTTCCTCACTCCTGAATTCGGACTCCCAGAACCACACAAGCTTCAAAGCCTGGAGCCCACGGCAGTCCCGGTTCCTGCTGTCACTGAACTGTCCTCCTGTCTGGGCATGTTTCCTGCACAGCCCCAGTTCCAGTGTGTTCTGCGACAGGACCTTCAGAGAAGGTCTTTCTAAAGGCCTGTAGCCTTGGCCTCACGGAGCACCCATCTCCCGGCTATACTGGACAGCTTGTTTAACTCTGCCTCTCTCTTACACATGGATGTTGGGGTCCAGTCTAATGCCTCCTGTGCCCTCCCTTCCTTGGCCCAGATTAGCCAGCATTCACCTTTCCCTGCTAAATAATGAGCCCTCAGTGGGCACAGACCAGGTGTTCACTTTATGGAACAATAAGTACTTACTCCATCAGTAATGGGTAGATGGATGCTGGGTGGGTGGATGAATGAGTTGAGGTAGATGGATGGGCGTGTGAGTGGTGGGTGAATGGATGAGGATTGGTGACTGGATGGGTGGGGGACGGACAGGTGGGTGGATGAGTCACCCAGGCTGAGCCTGGCATGGGTCCTCATGCATCATAGGCTCTACAGGAGGAACTAGCCATTTACTGGAGCTCCATGGAGGAGCTTGACCAGACGGCCCAAACCCTCACTGGCCCCGAAGTCCCTGAGCAGCAGCGTGTGGTGCAGGAGAGGCTCCGGGAGCAGCTGCGGGCACTGCAGGAGTTGGCGGCCACACGGTGAGGACACCATAACCCCTCTCATCAGTGGGTACAGGAGGCCTAGCCACAGCTGACTGTTCCCATGCCATGGCCCAAAGTCAATCAGAACCCATGACCCCAGGCTGTAGAGATGCATTGGGAAAAGGGTGTGTGTTGCTCACCTCTTTCCATAAATTCTTCAGTGAGGCCCCACAACTCCCTGCAGTCCATCTCCCCACGTCCACACCCTCCTCTGCCCCTACACCTGCACTGCTGTGTCTACTACTCCCTGAATCGTGAGCCGCAGGCTTGGACAGAGACCATGAGTAACCCCAGTTTTCAGATTGGCCCCTCTGGCTGGCCCGACTGGCCCCCAGGGGGGTGGGCAACTCACTTCTGGGGAACCACGGACTGTTACCACAGGGACCGGGAACTGGAGGGGACCCTGAGGCTGCATGAGTTCCTGAGGGAGGCTGAGGACCTGCAGGGCTGGCTGGCAAGCCAGAAGCAGGCAGCCAAAGGAGGGGAGAGCCTGGGAGAGGACCCCGAGCACGCCCTGGTGAGAAGAGGGCCAGGGTCAAGGAGGGTGCCCTGAGGCAGAGCCTATGGGGTGGGGAAGCTGGCTCTGGCGGGGCGGAGGAAGAAGGTGGCAGCAGAGCGGTGAGCCCTGGCTGAGGTGGGGCCTCCTCAGTGGAGCGGGCAGACGCCGTGGCTATCCAAGCCCACATCACCCAGTTGGGCACTGAGGTGCCTCGATTCCCAGGCTGCTTGACGCCTAACCAGCTGGGGGCTACCCTGTCACCCACTCCCCTCTTCTCAGCACCTCTGCACCAAGTTTGCAAAGTTTCAGCACCAAGTGGAGATGGGCAGCCAGCGGGTGGCCGCCTGCCGGCTGCTGGCGGAGAGCCTGCTAGAGCGTGGGCACAGTGCTGGCCCCATGGTCCGTCAGAGGCAGCAGGATCTGCAGTGAGTGCCCAACGGGCCAGGCCAGCATGGGGTTTGGGGGAAGGAGCTGGGCAGGCAGGGCCCAGAGTGGTAAGAGAGGATGGCATGCTGTGAGGGCCACACTGGCCCTGGCTGCCCACGGGGCTCTGCAGGGGGCCTAGCTCCAGAGAAGCTGAGCCCGCCACAGGCTCTGGTCTGTGAAGGAAGGTGAGGCTGGGTGTGCAGGTCAGAGTCCTGCCCCCAGGATTGAGAGCAGGAGCTGTGGGAAGATGGTGGGGCCAGACATCAGGGCCTTCCCCTGAGCTACCCCAGCTCCTGTGCTCACTCGGGACAGCCCATGCCTCGTGTGGTTCCTAGCTGTCCACTTGGCTGATTTGGATCCACTCCCAGCCTGTGAGCTTTGAGGCAAGGTCATGACTTGCTCATAACCCCTAGCCCAGAGCCTGGCCTGGCAGAAGCCTTAGGAGCTCAGCCAGTTGCAGAGTTAGCGAGGAACGGAGAGATGTGGCCTCTGCCCACAAAGCGTCTGTGATCATAACCTGGGTGACGCACTGTGAGTCAAAGCACAGGATGTAAAGAGTATCACAGCACAGATACCATGCAGTGCCGAGCATTACAGCAGCAAAGCACTGAATTCATGGTAAAGCTAGAAGACAGGCTCCCAGGAAGAAGGTGCGTAGGCAGGGCCACAGGCGGGAGAGGTTTTAAGAAGGAGGAGCTTTGGGCAAGTCCCGATACAACTCAGAGAGGAGCGGGCTGACCAGACCTAGCGGGAGGGAGGAATGACACGGCCCGGCAGCTGATCCCCGGCTGGTCTTCCACACGCCGTGGGCAGGACCGCCTGGTCGGAGCTGTGGGAGCTGACCCAGGCCCGAGGCCACGCGCTCCGAGACACCGAGACCACCCTCAGAGTTCACAGAGATCTCTTGGAAGTCCTCACCCAGGTCCAGGTGTGAGCCGGAGGGGTGGCTAGAAGTGGATACACTCCAGGCTCAGTGCCCACGCTCCATCCCTCATCTCCTCGGCATTCTCCCTTCCTCAGGAGAAAGCCACGAGCCTCCCCAACAATGTGGCACGGGACCTGTGTGGGCTGGAGGCGCAGCTGAGAAGCCACCAGGGGCTGGAGCGAGAACTCGTGGGCACCGAGCGGCAGGTGAGCCCAGCTGGCTGCCTCTCCGACCCAGGCCCCTGCAGCCCCCTCAGGCTGGCCTGCCTGTTCCTCTAGATTTTCCACTGTCCCTCAGGGCCTCCCATGGGCCTCCTGTGCATGGCAGGACGTGGCCCAAGGGGGCCAGAGTTCCCAGGCAAGGGATACATCTGTGGGATAATCAGGAGGACATGACCCTTGCCTCCCTATTCCCTGCCCCTCCCGCAGCTGCAGGAACTGCTGGAGACTGCAGGCAGGGTGCAGAAGCTGTGTCCGGGGCCTCAGGCCCATGCGGTGCAGCAGAGGCAGCAAGCTGTGACGCAGGCGTGGGCAGTGCTGCAGCGACGCATGGAGCAGCGCAGGGCCCAGCTGGAGCGGGCACGCCTCCTGGCCCGCTTCCGCACGGCGGTGAGGGCTCCTGCCCTTTGGGTGGTGTGTGTGTGCATGTGTGTGTGCTGCACCATGCATGGGCATGCACGCATGAGGCCCTCCAGCTCCGGAGGGAGAACAAGCATGGACTTGGGTGGGAGAGCACGAGCACACGGGATGTCAGTCTGGCTGGTCAGGGGCTGAGCACATGGGCATAGCAGTGACACCTTAGGGTCTGGGTCAGTGCCAGCAAGGTGAGTGGCAGGGCAGTCATGCAGGGTCCCAGACAGGGCTGGGAGTAAGAACTGCCCAGGAAAGCTCATAACTGGAGACCCAGATGTTAGACAGTGACCTCTGGATCAGTCAGTATCTATTTAATGTCTGTCTTCAGCTCCCTGCTGAAGCCACGGGTGGAGAGAGGAGGGCAATATAGAAGCTATGGAAAGTGGAACTGCTGCCCTCATGGAGCCCTGCTTCCTGGGGAGATGAGCCCGAAACCCAGAGAATCAGACTGGGACAGTAGGTCCTGGCCACGGGGTGTCCCCGGCATCCCACTGTCCTGGGACCTGGCAGACCAGGAGGCCCAAACTGACACTGCAAAAAGGCTTGAGTTTAGGGACCTAACTCTGCTGATTTGCTAGCAGTGTGAGCTTGAGCAAGGCACTTAACCCTGGGTTTGTCATGCACTTAGAGTTTACAAGACTCTTTCTGCCATTTACCCTTCCTTCCTCCATGCAATGAGACATTTGGACAAGGGCCTGAAGTCCCTCCAGCACCAATCTTGTATAGTTGTACACAAATCAGCAGAAGACTGTAAGGGTTAAATTAGTAATTCAGAGAACAAGGAGAGCAGTGCAATGTCAAATACCAGGGAAGGCTTTGCCAGGCAAATGCGGCCAAGGGGCCTTTGAAGAGCAGGTGAACTTTCTTTCCCCATCAAGCAGTCTTGATGGGGCTGATCTTGCTAGCCGCCAGTCCTCTCATGGCCTCATCCAGGTGAGCTCTGTAGAGATGGGAAGGCAGGAGGAACAAAGGGCAGAGATGTGTCGTGGTAAGGGTCTGGCTCATGTAGGGGGTTCGTGGTTCTGGGAGGATCGGGTTGGATGAGAACGGAGAAACCAAGTGACAAAGGGCCACATGTGCCTCACCCGAGGCCCTGACCCAGGTCGGCTCGGGCTGTGTGAGTGGACTCAGGTGGGCTGCAGTTGCCTCAGCACCTGGTTTCCTGCTGCCCAGCCCAGCCCTCACCCGGCTCTCCCTCCGTGTCCCCGGGATCAGGTGCGTGACTATGCCTCCTGGGCAGCCCGCGTGCGCCAGGACCTGCAGGTGGAGGAGAGTTCGCAAGAGCCTAGCAGTGGCCCGCTGAAGCTCAGTGCCCACCAGTGGCTCCGGGCGGAGCTGGAGGCCCGGGAGAAGCTGTGGCAGCAGGCCACCCAGCTGGGGCAGCAGGCACTTCTTGCTGCAGGGACACCCACCAAGGAGGTGGGCCCCCTCCCCTGGTGCCCCCACATACCCTAGCTGACCAAGCCTGTGCCTGGCCACCTGGTGCCCCGTCCTACTGTGCCATGCTGGCCTCTCCTCAGGAGCTTCCCTCAGGATCCAGTCCTCACCTCACCCACACCACCCTCCCCAGCTGAGGCTCCTCATGTGTCCATCCCCAGGTCCAGGAAGAGCTTCGAGCCCTGCAGGACCAGCGGGACCAGGTGTATCAGACCTGGGCACGGAAGCAAGAGAGGCTGCAGGCCGAGCAGCAGGAGCAGCTCTTCCTCAGAGAGTGCGGCCGCCTGGAGGAGATCCTCGCGGCCCAGGAGGCAGGTCCCCTCCCGCCCTCACACTCCGCTCAGCCTCCTGCTCCTCCTTTCTATTCTCCTCTCTGCTCAGTCCCTTTCCTCCTGCCTCTCTGGCTTTTTCTCTAATATGAGGCAGCTGTGCACAAGTCCTTCCAGGTGGCCATGGTGAAGTGCTGAGGCCCCTGAGCGTCCACTGACATCCCCAGCCCCTATCCCAGACTGAGCCCCGAGGAAGTTGGCCAGAGGCTGGTCATGCTCCCCACATGGTGCAGAGGTTGAGGTATCGCAGCCTCCCAACCTGGACTCCCACTCCTCACAGCTCCATGCCAAGCTCAGTGGGCACTCCTAAGGCCCTGCCATACCCAGAGTGCCCATGGGCACAGACTGCAGCTGGAGGGGCTGGCTGGCTGGAAGGCTTGGTGGCCTCTGACTTTTCTGTGGATCCAGGTCTCCCTGAAAACCAGTGCCTTGGGGAGCTCGGTGGAAGAGGTAGAGCAGTTGATTCGCAAGCACGAGGTCTTCCTGAAGGTTCTGACTGCCCAGGACAAGAAGGTAATGGAGTCAGGAGGCCTGGGCGTGGTCAGAGTGTGGTGGTTGGGAGAGAGTCCTGAAGGGGGTCACGGGGCGCTTGGTGTGTTCCTGGAGGCAGTGCTGATGAGCCTGCAAGGCTGGGGTCCTGGTTGGGGTTGACTGAGCAAGTTGTATGTGTGGCTCAAGAAGAGGGCCCAGGGGGAGATGGGCCACACTGCAGAGACCCACACGGGGCATTTGGCTCTGTCCACACCGTGTGGTCCTTGGGGAGCAGACTGGTCTGGCTTGTGGCTGGGAGGATCAGATACCCCTCAGCCATGTGGGGCTGAGGAAAGGGCTCCGGGGCCCTCAAAGAAAGGACTGTGAGCCCTGCAGGCCAGGCCCTGCCCCAGCCCAGGGTGGGAGAGCAGCAGCTGTGCCCCTGCCCCACAGGAGGCAGCCCTGCGTGAGCGGCTGAAGACGCTCCGGCGCCCCCGGGTGCGGGACCGGCTTCCCATCCTGCTGCAGCGCCGGATGAGAGTGAAGGAGCTGGCGGAGAGCCGGGGACACGCCCTGCATGCCTCCCTGCTGATGGCCAGCTTCACCCAGGCCGCAACCCAGGTCAGAGGGCACCCCCAGCCCAGGGCCTTCCACTGGAACCACACTCGACAGTTTTCAGCCGCCTTCACACCGCAACACTGTGAGGCGGAAACAGGTTCGGGGGTGGATGGCTTTCCCAGAGGCTGTGCTGGAGCCCAGAACATGGGATCTAAGCCCCTTTGTGTGGAGACCTCACCAGTGTCCCGAGCTCTAGCAGCGCCAGGGCAAGAGAGGTGGGGAAGGGAGCAGAGCAGCCCAGGGCCCCAGGAGTAGGGGCCACACCTCCAAAACGAGAGCCCACCCAAGGCCCTGCCCGGCTGCCTCCTGCAGCAACCTTCCGGAGCTGGAACCTTCAGGGCTCATTTACCAGGTGCTGCCCGCCCCACCCCTGAGGCCAGCCTCCTGGGAATGGCTGGGGGCTAGGCCTGTGGCGTCTGGGGCCTGAGGCTGCAGAACATTGCAGCATTCATGTCCCACCCCCACCAGGCTGAGGACTGGATCCAGGCGTGGGCCCAGCAGCTGAAGGAGCCGGTCCCTCCTGGGGACCTGAGAGATAAGCTGAAGCCCCTGCTGAAACACCAGGCCTTTGAGGCTGAAGTCCAGGCCCATGAGGAGGTCATGACCTCTGTTGCCAAGGTAACAACCGGGCCCTCAGCCCCATGCCTGCCCCAAAGTGTGGCCCAGGGGCAATGTCAGTCTTAGGAGGAAGTGCAGCAGGCAAGATGTCCTGTGTCCCCTCTCTCCCTCCAGAAGGGAGAGGCTCTCCTGGCACAGAGTCACCCTCGAGCCGGAGAGGTCTCCCAGCGGCTGCAGGGCCTGCGGAAGCACTGGGAGGACCTGAGGCAGGCAATGGCCCTCAGGGGCCAGGAGCTGGAGGACAGGCGGAACTTCCTGGAGTTCCTGCAGAGAGTGGACCTTGCAGAGGCCTGGATCCAGGAGAAGGTGTAGCCCCAGCTGGGTGGGGGCTGAGAGATGGGGGGAGGAGCCCTCCCTTGACAGGAGGGATCCCCAGCAGCAGGTGCCAGGAGCCTGGGCTGGTGCTCACAGCGCTCCCTCCCCACCCTCGGCCTTCACAGGAGGTGAAGATGAATGTTGGTGACCTGGGCCAGGACCTGGAGCACTGCCTGCAGCTCCGACGGCGGCTCCGCGAGTTCCGAGGAAACTCGGCCGGGGTAAGAGGGCCTTGCTGGGTAGAGGTTGGCCATGCATCCCGCACTGAAAATCCAACTGAGAGCAGGGAAAGAGTGTGGGCTGTAGAGCAGGGCGTGGGCGCCATGCCTGCTCCTCCTATGCCCTCGGGCAGGCTCCCTCCTCTCACCCGCCTTCACTCCTTCCTCTTTAGAATGGGGGTAGCACCCACCTCAGAGGTAAGAGAGCACGTGTGTGGTGGCAGGTACGTGAATCTCTAGCTGTGATAAAACTGCATAGACCTATCCCCCACTGCCCCGCACAGATGCATACTTGCAAAAACTAATAAAATCTGAATGAGGTCTGGTCTAGTTGGTAGTATTACACCAACGTCAGCTTTGTGGTTTTAATGTTATCATTATATAGGATGCTGCTGTAAGGGAAGCTGGGGAAGGGCACAGGGACCTCTCTGCAGGACTTTGGCAATTTCCTGGGCATCTATAATTATTTCAAAAAATCTTAAAAAGATAGGACATATGCCTGGATGTGGCAGATAATCAGCGCCCACCTTCAGTGTGACTATTTCAGCGTCTCAGCGTCTTCTCACCCCACACCCGCCCCCTCACACATACACACACCAAACATCTATTTCTCTTATGTGGTATACAGGGGAAAAAAATGGCAAATGTATTGACAATCAGGTGTTAAAGACCAAATGTGCTAACCTTGTCCCCCGGTACATGTATGTATTACTTTTTAAGAGGCGGCAGTGCTTAAACCTAAGACATCCCTTGTTAATGGTGGAATTTCACAGACGCTGTGCCAGATGCTGCAGTAGGAAGAGAGCTAGACTCCAAAGGAGCTGGGCTTGAATCCTGGCTCTGCCGCAAAGGAGCCAGGTTAGCCTCTGAGCTCTGCTCCGGCATCTATAAAAGGAGGGGAATGTCCTTCCCTGCCTACCTTGCAAATGAGGCACTTCATAGGAAAGTGCTTTGGAAATTTAAACAAGCTCTACAGAAGCCAGAGGCAGGAGATCTGCAATCACACCCTGCGGTGGACCCCCTCCCTGCGTACCTTTAAACCCCATCCAGTGTCCAAGCAGCACCAGCCTCAGCTCAGACGAGTCCTGGGGTGGGGACACCCAAACCCCAGGAAGCCAGAGCTCACTGTTCCATTCCACAACCTCCCTTTGCTTCTCTTCAACCAAGAAGCCGAATTTTCATTTTAAAAGTTTCTGTGGCTGGGCACAGTGGCTCACGCTTGTAATCCCAGCAGTTTGGGAGGCCAAGGCGGGCAGATCACTTGAGGTCAGTAGTTTGAGACAAGCCTGGCCAACATGGTGAAACCCCATCTCTACGAAAAATACAAAACTTAGCCAGGCTTGGTGGCAGGCACCTGTAGTGCCAGCTACTCGGGAGGCTGAGGTAGGAGAATCGCTTGAACCAGGGAGGTAGAGGTTGCAGTGAGCTGAGATTGTGCCACTACAACAACAGTGCAACAGAGGGAGACTCCGTCTCAAGAGTCTCTGTTAGTGAGCATGTGCCCACTCTCCCCCTCCTACATGGTACCCAGTGCAGGGATCCCATTTTCTGGCCTTAGAGATGACTCTGGGGCTGCAGGCTCCAAGCTGATCTTGCTCACTTCACCTGGACGGGGTGACCTCAGGGACCTGCCGCAGTAGAGGAGGCAGGAGGCAGTTCTTCCCACTGCCCAAATATGCAGTTCCTCATGCTCCGGGGCCCAGGCATGCTTTCAGTGCCTGCTGAGGTGGGAAGAAGGGGCTCTGCATGGGGGGTGCCAATGCCCTCACCCATACCTCCCCTGCAGGACACAGTGGGTGATGCCTGCATCAGGAGCATCAGTGACTTGTCACTGCAGCTCAAGAACCGGGACCCTGAGGAAGTCAAGATCATCTGCCAGCGGCGAAGCCAGCTCAACAACAGGCCAGTCCCAGGCTGGGGAGAACCAAAGGGCCGGGAAGAGGGGTGGAAGGCCACCTCAGGCTCCACATGACACCACCACCCCTTGGCCAGGTGGGCGAGTTTCCATGGCAACTTGCTCCGGTACCAGCAGCAGCTCGAAGGGGCCTTGGAGATACACGTGTTGTCCCGAGAGCTGGACAATGTCACCAAGAGGATTCAGGAGAAGGTACGTGGTGGAAAGAGGTCCCGGTGGGGGCTGTGAGCAAATGCAGTCAGGGGAGGGGGCACTGCCTAGAGTCTCCCATGCGTCTCCCCCCTCACTGGCCTCTCCTGTTCAGCTGGGTACTTGGAGGTGGGTCCCAGCAGTCTGCACCAGGGACATCTGATGGGCTGGCCCTCAGGATCAACTCAGGACCATAGAAGCATCCATTGCGAGCTCAGTGGGGGATTCCCTGTCTCCTTTCTCCCCCAGATCTGGTCCCCAGATACATGGCAGGTCCAGAGGCCAGAAAACACACTCTCTGTTTCCTCCCATCCCTGAGGAAGCCCAAACCCTCGGGAGGTTTGCCCTGGGACTGTGTACATAACCACAGAGCCCCGGGCTGGAATCTGGCAGAGTTAGAACCCGGTCTAGGAAGCCCTTGTGTGAAACAAGTGCTGCTGCCTGTGCTGGGCATGCCTGGCTGTTTCCTCCGCTGGCTTCTGCCCTCAAATGACGGCACAGGCCTGTCTGTCCATCCTTGCTCTATTTCCTTTCTCGCTCCTCAAGGGATGAGAGTTGAGTGAGACTGTACAGGGAAGCAGCACACACGTGAGGTTCTTCCCTCAGAGGAGACTCCAAATCCAGAGTTGCTCCTCAGAATCGTCCCCCTCACATAAGGAAGAGATCTCTGGCCCTCAAAGTCGGGGCCAGGAAATCACGCTGGGGACTTGCTGTGCACACAGAAGCCACTGGTTGGGCCCTTTGCCAGGAAGGAGGAGCCGAAGCAAAGGCCCAGCAGGTAACTGGCCGTGCCCCTCCTCCAGGAAGCCCTGATCCAGGCCCTGGACTGTGGGAAAGATCTGGAGAGCGTGCAGAGGCTGCTGCGGAAACACGAGGAGCTGGAGCGGGAAGTGCACCCCATCCAGGCCCAGGTGGAGGTGCGTAGCTGGCTGTAGAGCTGGGCCCAGGGCATCTCCTGAGTAGGACCCTGGGCACAAGTGGGGAGGAGGGGCTTGGGTGGCCCAGAGCTCCCCTGCCCCAGCCTCTGACCCCGGCTTCCCCCGCAGTCCCTAGAGCGTGAAGTGGGCCGCCTCTGCCAAAGAAGCCCCGAGGCAGCCCACGGCCTCAGGCACAGGCAGCAGGAGGTGGCTGAGAGCTGGTGGCAGCTCCGGAGCAGGGCCCAGAAGCGGTATGAACCCGCAGGCCTTGCCCTCGCCGACCCATCCTCCAGCATCTCAGTCCCCACACCTCCCCTCAGCCCCTGTGTTCCCCTAGGATTCCTTCTCCACCCTTCAAATAACTGTACTGTCCTCCCAGTAACTCCCAGCCCATGGGCCCTCCTGTGGTTGAGGGGATTAAGGGACAGAAGACACCAGTGGGCATGGGGGAGAGGGGTTTGAAGGCCTGACGACTAGCTGATGAGCGCTGTGGGCAGGAGGGAGGCGCTGGATGCCTTGCACCAAGCTCAGAAACTCCAGGCAATGCTGCAGGAATTGCTGGTCAGCGCCCAGAGGCTGCGGGCTCAGATGGACACGAGCCCCGCTCCTCGCAGCCCTGTGGAAGCCCGGCGTATGTTAGAAGAGCATCAGGAGTGCAAGGTGAATGGGCAGCTGGCCCAAGCCTTTCCCAGGCTCTCAGCTCCGCCCTGCCCTCCCCTTCCTCTCATCTCCTTGCTCTTGGGCCTCCTGAGTGTCCCGCCCTGCCTATCTCCTCCAGCCTCCCGCTCCTCAGCTGCTTCCCCACCTCTCTCCTGCCTGCTGGGCTGCTTCCAGCCCCCAGTGATCTGAGCCCAGTCCTGTTCCAGGCCGAGCTGGACTCCTGGACAGACAGCATCAGCCTGGCCCGAAGCACTGGGCAGCAACTGCTCACAGCGGGGCACCCCTTCAGCTCCGACATTCGCCAGGTGCTGGCTGGCTTAGAACAGGAGCTGAGCAGCCTGGAAGGGGCCTGGCAGGAGCATCAGCTACAGCTGCAGCAGGCCCTGGAGCTACAGGCAGGCACAGTCCCATCCCCAGCCTGCATCTTGCCCCCCCGAACAGGGCCTGCGCTGACCCCACAGCCTCTGGTCAAGGCTAAGACTGGAGGGGCTGCTGTGCCAGGGACTTCCCCACCACTCAGCACTCCTGCCTTCCAGGACCCTGGTTCCCTAACCTGTGCCACTGGAACAGTCACTCCAACTGCAGTGGCTGGACCCTCCACCGACTGTCTCTTGCCTTTTCCTTTGTTCTCAGCTGTTTCTGAGCTCAGTGGAGAAGATGGAACGTTGGCTTTGCAGCAAGGAAGACTCCCTAGCCAGTGAGGGTCTATGGGTAGGTGCCCAGCAGGAATGGGCAGGAGGGGGGAATTACCAGAGCAGCATTAGGGGTCAAACCAGCCAGTGCTGCCTGAGCTCCCTAGGCCAGGGATCCTCCCCTTCGGGGCCATCTCCCCACCCTGGGCCACATCCGTCACTGGGCAGTTACTTACCCGTCATCTAGAGCAGTTCCCATGCAGCTGTGGGCAGGCCCCACCGCGAACACCAAGGAGCTTCTAGAGTGCCTGTGTGGGCCTGACCCATTCTTGCCACCTCACCCCTGCCCTCCTCGCTTCCCAAATGCCTAGAGGTTGGCTTTTCCCGCCACTGCCCCAACCCTGAAGCAGACGAGTGTAACTTATAGGAGACCTCAGAGGATAACTGGGGACTAACATGGTCCTCCAGGGAGTGCAGAGGAGGGAGCTTTCACCTTAAATGAAAAAGCTCTGCTTGCCTCAGAGATTCTGGCTCTTGATCCCTAATCCAAATGCCTCCCCTGGCTGGGAATCACTGTCCTAAAGCTGGAAACAGCCTTGAGGGATGTGAGGGATGTGTTTGGGCGGAGCAGCCGCTCTGTGGATGAGCATTTGGTAGGATGGTTCTAGGTGGGAAGGCAGGTAGCCTGGGATGGGAGGGGGAGGCTCATGGACAGTATTGGGTTCCCCACTCCCACCAGGACCCCTTGGCCCCCATGGAGCCCCTTCTGTGGAAGCACAAGATGCTGGAGTGGGACCTGGAGGTGCAGGCGGGAAAGATCAGTGCTCTGGAGGCCACGGCCCGCGGCCTGCACCAGGGTGGGCACCCCGAGGCCCAGAGTGCCCTGGGCAGGTGCCAGGCCATGCTTCTGAGGTAGTGGTGGCTCTGGGGTGAGGGGTGCTGTGGGCAGGCTGGCACAGGCATCTGGCATCCCGGTTCTTCCCTTCCCACCCTTCCACTACTTGGCCCAGGCTCACCAGCCTTGTCCAAGGACTGAGGTCAGATGCCGGGGGTCCCCACCACCCCTGGCCCTGCAATGTGTCTGCCTGTTATGGACATCAAACACCACGTGGAAAATCCCACTTCCTTCTTCATTCAGTTGAGATCAAAGGGAGTTTAAAGAGAGGCTTATGCTAGGAGACCAAGAGGAAATCATCTCACGAAACGGAAGGTCGCAGGGCACAGAGGTCAAGCATCGGCCTTCCAGGGTCACAGTCCTGAGTCCCTGTGCTGCCCACTAATGGCAGGACTCAGACAAGTTCCTCCTCTCGGCAGCTGAGCCTCACATCCTGGGCTTTAACGGCTGTGATGAGGACGAAAGCACTGTGCTGGCCCCACAGGCAGGCTAGCAGAAGTCTTAGTTCATCTAACTGAAGTTCAGACACAGATGCATGTGACCTGCATGGCCCATGAGACCCCAGCTCTGCAGTTCTTTTTCCCTGTAAAAGCTCATCAGGTTTGGCTGCTTCATGCAGCTCCTCAGACTTTTAGATCAAGGCAGATACGGTCAAAAGCCAGATCCCAGACTGGTGGGGGCTTTTGTCCTTCTCAGAGAGCCGATCAGAGAGCCAACCAGCACCCACAAATGCCATGGCTCCTTGTGCTGGTGTCCTGGCAGTGGTCGCGGCCACCCCCTCTCCATTCTTGCAGGTGGACCACACCTGGGTACCTGTGGAGGTCTTTGAATTAACAGAATGCAAACTTTGCTTTGCTGGTCTTTGTCACCACCCCCTACCCCAGTCACCTTAGGTGGTTCCTGGCAGGCTCAGCTTCCCCCAGCACAGTGCCACCCTGACTTCTAGCCCCTGGCTTCTGCCCTCCTGCAGGAGGCAGATCGT
Source organism: Homo sapiens (assembly GCF_000001405.40). NCBI lineage: Eukaryota > Metazoa > Chordata > Mammalia > Primates > Hominidae > Homo > Homo sapiens. The sequence goes on along the minus strand of NC_000015.10, from coordinate 41,859,620 downwards.
CCCCCTGTGCTTGTGTCTGCCCCAGTTGCCTCCTCTCATAAGGTCACACTGGATTAGGACCCACCCATATGACCTCATTTTCACTTAATTACCTCTTTTAAAGACGCTGTCTCCAAAAACACTTCTGGAGTTAGGCCTTCAACATAAGAACTCAGTGGTACAGGCTGGGTGCAGTAGTTCACGCCTGTAAACCCAGCACTTTGGGAGGCCGAGGTAGGTGGATCATTTGAGGTCAGGAGTTCAAGACCAGTCTGGCCAACATGGGGAAACCCTGCCTCTACTAAAAATACAAAATTTAGCTGGGCCTGGAGGTGTGAGCCTATAGTCCTAGCTACTCGGGAGGCTGAGGCAGAAGAATTGCTTGAACCCGGGAGGTGGAGGTTGCAGTGAGCCGAGATTGTGCCACTGCACTCCAGCCTGGGTGACAGAGTGAGACTCTGTCTCAAAAACAAAAACAAACTTGGGGGTACAAAATCCGGCGCATAACAGACACAAATACAGAGGGGGAGTGCAATGTACCTTTATTCCAAAGGAAACTCCAGACTCAGAGTATATTCATACCCGAGAAAGCCTAGGCTGGACGGGCACCCCACCTGGCCCCGGGGGTGGCTCCAGGCCCATGAGCCTCTCCTCCTGGCAGGAAGGAGGCGCTCTTCAGGCAAGCCGGGACCCGCCGCCATCGCCTGGAGGAGCTCCGGCAGCTGCAGGCCTTCCTGCAGGACTCCCAGGAGGTTCGCCTCGCTTGGAGAGGGAGGCGGTCATGGTGGGGAAGGAGTCGACCCAGGGAAAGGCCACCCTTCCTCTGGGGTATCCCAGAGGTCAGGGGAAGGGGAAAGCCCTGGACAGCAGGCCTGTCCTCCCCATGTGCCCAGGTGGCTGCGTGGCTGAGGGAGAAGAACCTGGTGGCCTTGGAGGAGGGTTTGCTGGACACAGCCATGCTGCCAGCACAGTTACAGAAGCAGCAGAATTTCCAGGCGGAGCTGGACGCGAGCATGCACCAACAGCAGGAGCTGCAGCGGGTGAGGCCCTGCAGGCAGGAGGGTGGTGGGACAGCTCTCCAGGCAGAACACAGGACAGTGCCCCAGAGCTGGTGCTGAACCACAGTAACGGTGGCCAGCGTTATCCAGTACTTTCTGCATGCAGGCACCTGGCTAAGCGGTTGTTTAGGCAGAAGTGTAGTGAGAAGAAGTTGCTTTCCGGCGGGCAGGGGGGGCACCCTCTCCAAAAATGGCAGCTTTTCATTAATTTTAAAGATAACATTTTGATGTGAACAGGACATAGCCACCAGTCCTGTGAGCGAAGGAGTCAAAACATAGCCACTTTGAGACAGGGTCTTGCTCTGTCACCCAGGCTGGAGTGCAGTGGCAAGATCTCAGCTCACTGCAACCTCCGCCTCCCAGGCTCAAGTGATCTTCCCAGCTCAGCCTCCCAAGTAGCTGGGATCACAGGCCCACACCACTACATCCAGCTACTTTTTTGTATTTTTGGTAGAGATGGGGTTTTGCCATGTTGTCCAGGCTGGTGTTAAACTCCTGAGCTCAGGCGATCCACCTGCCTCAGCCTCCCAAAGTGCTGGGATTACAGGAATGAGCCACTGTGCCCAGCATAGCACTTTTTAAAACATTCTCTTTTCCACCTGCAAAGGCAGGTCCTGACCCCAGGCTGGCTCCCTCTGATATAAATCACCCTGCTAAGTATTTTATATGACTTATCTCATTTAAACAAAATAACCATTATTTTCTCTATGATACGGATGAGGAAAATGAGGCTTAGGTAAAGAAAGTTGCTCAAGATCATGCAGCTGGACCGCAGGGACTCTGCAGCTCTAGTGCTGGTGGTCAGAGTCAACACAAGTGCCCTGGTACCAGCAGTCCTGAGTCCACAAGGTGTGTTTCATGTTGTGGCTGCAGGAGGGACAGAGGCTGCTGCAGGGGGGCCACCCAGCCTCGGAGGCCATCCAGGAGCGACTGGAGGAGCTGGGAGCACTCTGGGGTGAGCTGCAAGACAACTCCCAGAAGAAGGTGGCCAAGCTCCAGAAGGCCTGTGAGGTGAGGTTGTGCAGGCCGAGGGGTGGCTGGCCGGGCTCCAGGACACTCCCCTCCTGCCTACCTCACTTTCTACCCTAGGCCCTGCGTCTGCGGCGGAGCATGGAGGAACTGGAGAACTGGCTGGAGCCCATCGAGGTTGAGCTGAGAGCCCCCACTGTGGGCCAGGCCCTGCCTGGGGTGGGCGAGCTCCTGGGCACACAGAGGGAGCTGGAGGCAGCAGTGGACAAGAAGGCCAGGCAGGCTGAGGCACTGCTGGGCCAGGCCCAGGCCTTTGTGAGGGAAGGCCACTGCCTTGCCCAAGATGTGGAAGAGCAGGCCCGGCGGCTGCTTCAGAGGTAGATCCACCCGTGCCCTCAGCTTCTCTTCCCTGCCTTCCTGGAGGGACCCCCACCCCTGCCCTCTTAACTGATGTCTTCTCACTTTCTCCCCTTGCCCATGGTGAGGGCCACAGCTGGGTGATCTGTGTCACCAGGTATCCCTAATACTGACACCCTGGTCCCTGCCTCCCTTGGTCCCACCCTCCACCGCTGCAGGTTCAAGAGCCTGAGGGAGCCCCTGCAGGAGCGCAGGACGGCCCTGGAGGCCCGGAGCCTCCTCTTGAAGTTCTTCAGGGACGCCGACGAGGAAATGGCCTGGGTGCAGGAGAAGCTGCCTCTGGCCGCTGCCCAGGACTATGGCCAGAGCCTGAGTGCGGTGCGGCACCTGCAGGAGCAGCACCAGGTGTGGGCCCACCCGGGGAGGGCTGGCCTCGCACATGAGCAGGGCTTCTCAGCCAAGGAAATGGCACTCTCTGTGGCCCAGCCAGGAACTCTCTGCCTGTGGGGGCTTTTGGGATGCCCTGGATTCTTTGGGAGTCATGGGGACAGGGAACTCCTTGGGGACAAGTTAGTGGGGTCCCGTGAAACTTCAAGCACAACTGTGGGAGTCCCCCAAGGGTCAGCAACATCCGCATCCTCCTGCCTCCTCCCCCGCAGAACCTGGAGAGTGAGATGAGCAGCCACGAGGCTCTGACCCGGGTGGTGCTGGGCACTGGGTACAAGCTGGTGCAGGCTGGGCACTTTGCCGCCCACGAGGTGGCCGCCCGGGTGCAGCAGCTGGAGAAGGCCATGGCCCACCTGCGGGCAGAGGCGGCGCGGAGGCGGCTTCTGCTGCAGCAGGCTCAGGAGGCCCAGCAGTTTCTGACTGAGGTGAGGGGAGTGATGGGCAGGGCACAGCAGGCAAGCCTGGAACACAGGGCGAGTGCGGCTGGGAGGTCACTCCGGGGCTCCTGGCCTGGGCACCTTTCGTCTCCTCCACTCAGTGGTCTCCTGCCCCCAAGGGCTTCCTTCCACATGTTTCCCAGAACACAGCTGCTGGCTGGGTTGGCTTTTGTCTTTTTTCCCTCTAGATCAGTGGGTCTCAACCAGGGCTTTACATGAGAATCACCTGGAACCTTCACTTGAACGATTATACCTCAATTACTTCACAATGGTGAATACAATTGTAAAGGAAGAAAAACTGAAGTAAAAAGGCTAATAAGTGAAAGGGAGAAACACTGCAAGGAATATTTGCTAAAACTTGGTTTTAAGTGACAAAATCTATGCCTATGAACCAAGAATAAAATGTCTATTTTGCATGGAAAAAAACAATCACCTGGACCCTTTACAAAACACTGCCGCTCTGGCTGTGTTCCGGACCAGATGAGGCTGCTTAGGAGTGGGGCCAGGCTGAGGGAGCGTGACAGCTCCCAGGTGATTCCCCTGTGCAGCCAGGCTGAGAATCGTGGCTGTAAATCCTGAGCCCTGGAGGGTGCCCCGGGAAAACGGATCTCCACTCTGTCACCCCCAGCTCCTGGAGGCGGGATCCTGGCTGGCTGAGCGGGGCCATGTCCTGGACAGCGAGGACATGGGCCACAGTGCTGAAGCCACACAGGCCCTTCTGCGGCGGCTGGAGGCCACCAAGAGAGACCTGGAAGCGTTCAGCCCACGCATCGAGCGGCTGCAGCAGACAGCAGCACTCCTGGAGAGCAGGAAGAACCCAGAAAGGTGGGCGGAAGCCACACCATCCGCGAAGGAGCAGAGAGAAGCCCCCTACAGAGATGGCAGGAGACTGCTCCAGCCTGGAAAGGCAGGGCTGCAGTCCAGACTGTCGCTCTCTTCCCACAGCCCCAAGGTGCTAGCCCAGCTGCAGGCAGTTCGGGAGGCCCACGCAGAGCTGCTGCGGAGGGCGGAGGCCAGGGGGCACGGCCTGCAGGAGCAGCTGCAGCTACACCAGCTGGAGCGAGAGACCCTGCTCCTCGACGCCTGGCTGACCACCAAGGCGGCCACCGCCGAGTCCCAGGACTACGGGCAGGACCTGGAGGGTGTCAAGGTGAGTTACTCCTGAGCAAACCTCACGGGGAGTGGGCAGAGGCTGAGGAAGGCCTGCCCTGGGATGAAAGGGTTGCTGGGGAGTCAGCAGAAAGGAGCCTGGAGAGGGTGTCCTAGGGAGGATCCCGATGGTTCCAGAACCTGGGCTGAGGGATTTCAGAGCCATCAGAGTCTGCTGAGCTCTTCATGAGCTTTGAGAGCTCATGATACCATCTCAAGTGACCCTGCTGGGCCTCATACCTTTGCAGGTGCTGGAAGAGAAGTTTGATGCTTTCAGAAAGGAAGTGCAGAGCCTGGGCCAGGCCAAGGTGTATGCCCTGAGGAAGTTGGCAGGCACCCTGGAGCGGGGTGCACCCAGGCGCTATCCCCACATCCAAGCCCAGAGGAGCCGCATTGAGGCTGCTTGGGAGAGGTTGGACCAAGCAATAAAAGCCCGCACAGAGGTAGGTGATCACAGGCCGGGCCAAGCTAAGGGGTGTCAGAGTCTTCAAAAAATCCCTCTAAGCCCTCCTTACCACAGGCTTTGGTTCCAACAAGACACACACCCTGCTGGCCTCAAGTGAATGTGCCTTTTCCCTCACCTGCTCAGCTTTCTTCCAGGAATTGGCTGCAGCCCAGGACATTCCATCTCTGTAGGTCCTGGGCTGGGGCTGCCTCCTGAGCTGACCCGGTCCCCCAGCCCCATGAGAGGCACTGCAGGTGGTACTGCCAGGGTCAGCCAGATCCCCGAGAACCGGCCTGCTCCCTCACGTGGACCCAACACCTCGCGTCTGCCTTTCCCTGAGATGCACGAGGCCCTCTCCTCTCCCCACCCTCCCCACCCCCTGGCCTGCCGCAGACCCATATCATCACGTTCACTGAGGGCTGCAGCATGGAGGATGGTTTCTGTACCTGGGGACACATCAAGCCCCATGATCCTCCTTGTTCAAAAGGAGGTGGCCCAGAAGGCCATGTCTCCAGGGAGAAAGGAATCCTGGGAGCAGAGAACAGCCCTGAGCAGGTCCTTTCTCCTCTCCCAGAACTTGGCTGCAGCCCATGAGGTCCACAGCTTTCAGCAGGCAGCAGCTGAGCTCCAGGGAAGGATGCAGGAGAAGACGGCCCTGATGAAGGGGGAGGACGGAGGCCACAGCCTGTCATCTGTGCGGACCCTGCAGCAACAGCACAGGCGCCTGGAGGTGAGGCCCACGCCCTGCAGCCTGCCTGTCTGAGCCCCTGCCCGAAGGCGGTGGCTGAGGGGACCTATCTCAGCCCTCCCACCCCAGCCTGCTTCAGCCTCTTCTCCAGAAACCCAGATCCTTCCCCGAGGGGCCCTAGGACTTGGCCCAGCTTGTGCAGCAGAGTGGAGGTGGTTCCTCAGAGAGGCCTGGTGCTCCTGAATGCAGAGCACGCATCGGCTCAGTGGGGGGACTGAGGCCTGATCTCATGCTCTGGTTGCAGAGAGAGCTGGAAGCTATGGAGAAGGAGGTGGCACGGCTACAGACGGAGGCCTGCCGACTGGGCCAGCTACATCCTGCAGCTCCGGGGGGCCTGGCCAAGGTGCAGGAGGCCTGGGCCACCCTGCAGGCGAAGGCCCAGGAGCGAGGCCAGTGGCTGGCGCAGGCTGCACAGGGCCATGCCTTCCTCGGGCGCTGCCAGGAACTGCTGTAGGTGTCCTACCTCAGCTGCCGGCTCAGCTCTACCCTGTGGGGTGGGGGTATCCTGGCTCTTGGGGGAGCTGGACCCTCCCTCCCCTGCTCCCCAGCCAGCCCTGACAACAGCTCCCTTCCCTGCCCCACAGAGCATGGGCACAGGAGAGGCAGGAGCTGGCGTCCTCCGAGGAGCTGGCTGAGGACGTGGCGGGGGCTGAGCAGCTCCTTGGGCAGCATGAAGAGCTGGGGCAAGAAATCAGGGAGTGCCGCCTTCAAGCCCAGGACCTGCGGCAGGAAGGACAGCAGCTGGTGGACAACAGCCACTTCATGTCTGCGGAGGTGTGAACTCAGAGGGTGGGCCTGGGGTTGGGCTGGGGATACAGCCTGATTGCCCAGGGCCTCAGGGCCCCTCACAGGCATGGAAACCAGCAGGAAAGGAAGGCTGGGCGCAGGCAGGGAGAGAGGCTGGGAAGGGGCAGGTGCGGGTCTCACAGCCTTCCCTCTGCACTTCCATTAACACTTGGCTCTCCAGCCCTGCCCTGCCCATGGTGGGAGCCCTACCCAAGCTGTCACCCATAGCAGCCCCTCCCCACCAGGTGACAGAGTGCCTGCAGGAGCTGGAAGGGCGGCTGCAGGAGCTGGAGGAGGCTTGGGCCCTGCGCTGGCAACGCTGTGCCGAGAGCTGGGGCCTGCAGAAGCTTCGGCAGAGGCTGGAGCAGGCTGAGGCCTGGCTGGCCTGCTGGGAGGGACTCCTGCTGAAGCCCGACTATGGGGTGAGTGGGGGTCCTGCCCCTTAGCTGGCTACCAGGCTCTGGGCCCCCCCCCCCAAGCTGGGCGTCACCTGAACATGCTTCTCCCCAGCACTCAGTGTCAGATGTGGAGTTGCTGCTGCACAGACACCAGGACTTAGAAAAGCTGCTGGCAGCCCAGGAAGAGAAGTTTGCCCAAATGCAAAAGACAGAGGTGACGACTGCCTCGGCTAGGGGCTGAGGGCTGGTGGGGGAACAGTCCCTCTCAGCCTGCAAGTCAGTGTCTCCCAGGGCACTGAGCCCTCACCCGGCCCTGCCTTACCTGCTCCTTTCCCTGGCCAGCTGCGGTGGTGGGAGAGGCACCATTGTGGACTGGGTGTGAGCCTCCAGAGCCAAAGCTGAAAGAGCTAGTGATGGGGAGGCAGGCCCCCTCTGACCGGGAGGGCTGGGGGAGGGGAGGTAGACGGGAACCTGAGGTGTGGCTGGTCTCCCTGACCTGGCTCACCTTGCCCACCTTGCCCACTCCCCAAGATGGAACAGGAGCTCCTGCTGCAGCCACAGGAGCTGAAGCCCGGGAGAGCTGGCAGCTCGCTGACATCCTTTCAGTGGAGGCCCTCTGGACACCAGGGGCTAGGAGCACAGCTGGCTGAGACGAGGGACCCCCAGGCAGGTGTCCCTATGGGGCTGCAGGCACCCCCGCCGTGGTCTCCCTGAAGCATGCAGTGGGGCTGGGGCTGTGGGGGTGAGGGCCCACACCCTGGAGCCAGTGCTGGGAGCCCGGGCACAGGAGCTGAAGGTCATTAGGAATAAAGATGGCTGTCTACAGCCATACCACCCTGAACATGCCCGATCTCATCTGATCTTAGAAGCTAAGCAGGGTCAGGCCTGGTTAGTACTTGGATGGGAGGAATAAAGAGAGCTGGGGGCAGTGGGTGCCTTGCCCACCTTCCTGAGGGTGCTGGTCCTGACATTTCTGGGCCCCATCTTGCATTTTCAGGATGCAAAGGGTACCCCCACCATGGAGGGGTCTTTGGAGTTCAAGCAGCACCTGCTGCCTGGCGGGAGGCAGGTGAGTGCCTGGAGATTCCTTCTCCAGGCAGCTCCCCACTTGCAGCAGCACTTGAGTGGCTCGAAGAGCCATCTGGGCCTGGCACCCTTGCACTGTGAACTTGGGCAGATGCCACCCCCCACCATGCTGTCCAGGCAGTTTGGCTCCTTGGGACCCTTCCCAGCTCCTGCCACCGCCCCCACCTACCCACCCCCACCAGGAGGTGCTGGGATTCCTCCTCCCCACCTGCTCTTCCCCTTCTGCTTGGTTTCCCGTCAGAGCCCCTCTGTGGCTTCCCTTTCCCCATTGGGACTTTGGTCCAATCCACCGCTTTTCCTGGGAAGCTCCACACACATGGTGAGGCGTGGACAGGCCCTAGCTCTGGCTTCCTGCGTGTGGCTCATGCGACCTTCCCGCCTCCTCTCCACAGCCTAGCTCGAGCTCCTGGGACAGCTGCCGCGGGAACTTGCAGGGCAGCTCTCTGAGCCTGTTCCTGGATGAGAGGATGGCAGCGGAGGTACCAGGCGGGGTAGGGGAGATGCAGACATCAGGGTGCTGGGAAGCAAGGCAGAGGGGCCCCAGGACAGAGGGACCCCACAGGGAAAAGCTGAGATGGCCGCAGTGACCCCTGCCTCTCATCTCTCCTCAGAAAGTAGCTTCCATAGCCCTCCTTGACCTCACGGGAGCCCGGTGTGAGAGGCTGCGGGGCCGCCACGGCAGGAAACACACATTCTCCTTAAGGTGAGCGGAGAGACATGGACTCCGGCATCACCCCCAGCAGCCACCTGGCTCAGCGGGGGCTGGAGGCGTGGGGGTCCCCAAAGGGACAGTGGAGTTTGACCTGTGACTGTGGGTGCCAGGCTGACCAGTGGGGCAGAGATCCTGTTTGCAGCACCGTCCGAAGAGCAGGCTGAGAGCTGGTGGCGAGCCCTGGGCAGCACTGCAGGTGGGCTTCAGGGGAAGGATGCGGGGAGGGCGGCCGACTCCCTGGGCCCCAAGCTCCTGGGCCCCTAGTGTTTTATGCATCCTAGGGAGGTTTCACAGTTAGCATCTCTAACCTCCAAGAAGTGGGACTTACTGTTTTTCCTCAAAGAATTTAGGTCCTGGAGAGGTTACGCAACTTGCCCAAGATCACACAGCTAATTAGCAGAGATGGGGCCAGTTTTGAACCCCCAGCTGTGTCCTGGTCCTGTTCTGCCCCTTTTGGAGTCTGCCACTCAGACTGCCCCAAGCCCTTCCTGCCAGAATCCTCATGGACTGTGTTCCTCCAAGGGCTTTCCAGGCTCTGTTCTGTCTGATCTGGGTGCTTCTCTAACCTTCTAGTCCTCAGACAACTTTGAATGTCACCACCCTTGAGTTGTTTTGCAGACAGTAAGCAAGCCAGGTTCTACTTGGAGGAATATATAGAGACAACCCTTTGGACTTTCTTCCGTGGTCAGCGTGCTCTGCTGAGGCTCCGTGTGGACCGTGTGTTCAGGGAATGTGTCTGGGATCCTAGCTCTGTCGCTGGTTCCCCTGGACTCTCCTCCCAAGAGTCTGTCTTCCCAGGAGCCCAAAGGGATCTTGAGTTGTTCGACATTCCAGAATTTCCCACCTCCTAAGAAAGGCTCAGCCTTTCTTAACTCACCTGTGAGGAGTTTCCTAAGAGGCAGGACGCATGGGGGAAAAACCTGCCCACAAGTGCTCAGCCCGCCCCACACCCCCACGTGGGAAGGGCCTGGCATAGCCAGGCTGCCTAAGGCTGTGCTGAGCCTCCAGAAGCTGGAGGAAGGAGCAGCCAGACCTGGCGCCTGCAGATGGTCTGGGCCGGGCTAACAGTGGTTATTCCCTTGCTCTGCAGCCCAGAGTCTGAGCCCAAAACTCAAAGCCAAACCTGTCAGCTCTCTGAATGAGTGCACGACCAAGGATGCCCGGCCTGGATGTCTACTCAGGTGGGACACCTGGGTGGGGGAAGCAGGGCGGGGAGCCCTGGGCTTCAGTGGCTGGCAGGCGCTGTCCTCTGAAGCCTGAGGTTCTGGGCCTCAGACTTACTCTGTTGGGCTGTAGGGAAATGCTATTGGAACCCTCAGCTGCCCCTGCCCACTCTCAGCTGAGAGGAATCCAGGCCACAAAGCCCAGATTTCCACAGACTCTACAGTGGTCCCCTCCCAGGGCTCACTCCAGGCTCTAGTGTGGGGACCCTGTAGACGAAGCTGCCCAGGCTCCCTGTGCCCTTCCTGCTCGGCTGCTTGTGGGAGGAGCAGCCAGGTTTCCCTCTGCCCAGTGCTGAGAGCCTGCCTGGGTTTGTTTCCCATGCACTCCTCACTTTCCTCCCTCCTCTCCCCTCTCCAAGGCACAGCACATTGGCAGGACGGCCAGACCCTGCCCCACCCTTGTTCCAACCCGTTCTCTACCTGGTCCTCCCCTGCTTTCCCCAATCCCCACTCCATGGCAATGGAGAGGTCCAGCATGTCCCGGCCTGCAGGCCAGGGAGGAGATGCGAAGGTGGATGTGCAGGGGCAGGAGGCTCTTACCTGGCTCCTCAGTCCCTCCTTGTAGATCCCAGCATCATTTCGATGCTCAACCCCCCTCACCCACATCTCCTTCCCTTCCAAACCAGAGGGCTTCAGGCTCTCCAGGGGGAGGGGACACCTGAGGTTAGGTGAAAGTGGAGGAGGGACTGGAGACAGGCAAATCCTCCGTGCATGGGCCCCATGCCAGGATGTGCCTAGATGTGCACACGCATATACAGCCGTGTGCCTGGAGGGCTCATACCATGAGGGGTGGCAGCCACGGCTGTGGTCTCCAGTGTAACCATCTGCTCCCAGTCCTGCAGAGCCCAATATATGATTTAGATGATGTGTTGCTGACGGGACAGGCCTTGTCCTGGACACAGTGGCTCCTGAGGCTACCAGGACAGCCATTTTTTCTGCTGTCTCTAACCCAGGGCTGGGGCTGCTAGGCCAGCTGACAGACGTAGAGTTGGGTTATGAAAGTCGAGGCAACTCCCACCCACTCACGCGTCACTGTGGTCGCTGCTGCAGCGCCTGTCAGTCAGCTCTGGAATCCACTCCCACGCTTATTCTAGGAGGCTGGCTGGTCCAGGGGAGGGCAGGGGCACCAGTGTGTGTTTGTTTGGAGAAGATTCTGGGGTGGCCATACCCTACTAAATTCATTCCGTTTTCCCAACAGGTCTGATCCCTGAGGTGAACCCCAGTGCAACACCAAACTTCAGGGGCACAAGCGAGGACACATCTAAGGGACCAGAATAAGACTCAGCTACAGGCAAAAGGGCTCCTTCCCGTGGCTGCTTCAACCCAGTTCCCCAGGCCCAGCTTCTGGAATAGACAGTTCCTTCTGGTTAGATGGGTCCTACCATGTGGCAGGAAACAGCCATTGCCTGGCCTCCCCCTGCATTCCTGTCTGGGTGAAGAGGAGACGTGTTACGGCAGAGCAGGTGGGCAAGGCCAGGGCTACCCCAGGCCCATGTGGCCTCCTCCTTGCTTGGAAGGGGTGACTCTGAGCACAGGTAGACGCAGACGTGTGCAGAGAATGTGCTCTTCGGAGGAAGAACACTGATGAGCGAGCTCTGTACCAGCCCTTGCCATGTACAGCCAAGAGCCTAGAATGACATGGCCCTTCTCAGCAGTAATAACAGATGGTCTCAGCGCCTCACATTTGTATGAGTCTGTGATGTATCAAGTGCTCCAACTACTCAAGGTAGCGCAGAAGGGAAAACAGGCACAGGCCGGGGGGTTTTGGGTGATTACACAAATGGGCTTGGCCTCCTTACCCCACTGCAAACTGCTGAGGCGCAAGGGAGCTCCCAGCCCTCAGCCTGGACCCTGGGACCGTGCCACCTGAGCCCGAGGCTCTGAAGCACTGCGTGATGACAGTTCCCACCTGCAACTCAGCAGCCAGGGAATGAATGAGAGTTAGGGGTGGCAGGGGCCCCGGCCATCAGTGGGGCCTGCGCTGCCGCCTCCGCTGCACTGCCTGGCGCAGAGCCTCCAGCAGCTGCTCCTGGTTGTTGCAGACATTGTAATGTGTCAGGTGCAGCAGCTTGTCCACGTCCTCCTGGCTGTAGGTCACCTTCGTGTAGTGGTAGGGAGAGTCCGATGAAGACAGGTTCACCTCCCCAGCTGCCGCCTCCTCGGGTGTCCGCCGGACCCCTGTGGAGAGAGTGCAGCCTGGCATGGGGAACACGTTGTGGGGAAGACAGGTTTGGAGAGGCACAGGGGACGGAGGAGGTGTGGGGGACTGGGGCAGCAGGATGGGGAGGTGAACAGCAGCTCACCAGGGGCCGAGTACTCCCGGAAGGAGTCGCTGACCAGAGGAAAGTGCAGCACCGCAGGGGCTCCGGGGCAGGTGGGGTCGGAGAAGGTGTGGCACTCCCGAGGCTGGAGCTGCTCTTCGGGGCTGGGCGAGATGGGTGGGAACGGGATCCCCTGCTCCTGGCAGAACCGGCCCAGGAGCTGCAACTGCTGCAGGGCAGGCAGAAGGGGCTTCAGAGGGACAGGGCCCCTGGCATCCTCAACACTGGGGCTGACGTAAGATGCACAGGACCTGGGGCTCAAATGCCAAAACGGTCTCCAGTGGGGCCTATGAAGCCAGTCGTTGGAAAAAAACTCTCCACACCTGACAGGCCTCGGTGGCAGCTCCTCTGGGGCTAGACGGAGCCGGGTTACTCCCAGCATTCCAGTTCTGACACTGGGAGCCAAAGCAGACTCAGCAGGTGGGCCCAGAGGCCCAGGACCACACCTCGCAGGTCAGTAAAGGGGACCCAGCTACAAGATACCAGGAGAACCTCGCCAGCCTCCCAACTTCCGGAAAAGAATGAGCTCCTCTGGTGGCAAATTAAGATTCCAGTGTCCCAATCACAGCTCCTAAAGGAAGCTGAACCAGACACTGGACTCCAAAGCCCCTCTCTTCAGGGGACAGGGGCCACCCACCGCCTCCCTGGTGGGCTGCCCACCCTTCCCAACCTGGAAGGCTCCGTGGAGGTTGTAGTCCAATGACAGGATGAGGTCCACGTCCCGAGTGGGCTGCAGGAGGGGCAGGCAGCTGGTATTGATGAGGTAGCCAACATCCAGCAGGCACAGGTGGGGCTCCGAGGGTGTCAGCTGGTTGGGGAGCCCATCCAGAGTGGTAGCTGGAAGGTTGGGGAGAGCAGCAATTGTCACAGATACCAAGGGTACCAGATTCCTGCTGGAAGGAGAGACTCTGGCCTCTGGTCCCTGCTCTCCTGCTGAACCAACACCCCCACAGCCCTGCAGGTGGGCCCTGGGTCCCCAAGACAAGGAGAAAAAGACCCCTGTTCCAAGTAGTCCAGGGAATCAAGCTCAAAGCAGGAGAATGGGAGTGGACTGTGAGGGGTATCTGGACTGGGGACTCAAGGCTCAGGTGGCCACAGGAGGACTTTGGAGAGAAGCAGGTACCTTTCCATGTGGAGAAGTGAGGATGCTGAAAGTAGTCTTTGTGGAAATGGAGGCCACGCAGGAAATTATGTGTGGCCTGGGCCAGTGGACGCCACGTCAGAAGATCGGTGAAAAACTCAGCTATCCTGCCGGCTGTTGAGGGTGGTTCTTCTATCTTCAGAAGGGGGACCTGCTCCTTGTCTACACAGGCAAGGTGGGGGAAATGGGGACTCCTGCACCTTTATCCCCACCTTGGTGGTGACCCTGGAGGGGGAAGAGGTGTGAACCCCCCGCCCCCTGGTGCAGCCCCAGCTGGCTGCCCCTTGGCACCCTTATGAAGGGCCCGGAGCACTTACCCAGGTTGGCCTGGTTCCTGACCCAGCGGTCCCAGAACTGGCTGGGCTCTGAGGCCCAGTATAAGCTGTCCTGGAGGTTGGCTGCATACAGGTTGCTCCAGATACCTGAAAGAGCGGCCGTGAGGGAAGAGGGCCCCCGACTCTTGTCCCAATCCTACCCTTCCCCATGGCCAGTCCTGGCCCAGGAAACTCTTCTGACCGAGGCTGCCCTCTCACCCAGGACCCATTTTCCCTGCTCGGCCCAGCTTCCCCAGCCTGCCAGTGCCCCTCACCTTCTAAGAAGCAGATGCGGGACTCAGGAAGCCTCTTCATCAGCTGCCCCATAAAGAACTCGGAGCCAAAGAGCTCAGAGGGGATGAAGGCCCCGTACTTGGGGAAGCCGACCTCGTAGGGAGAGAACTCGCACCACTCTGTGAGGAGTCCACGCCTCAGCCTCATGGTGCAGAGCCCTTAGGCACCCACACCCCCACCCCGACCCAGGGTTTTGCTTTAGGGCAGCTGAGGACCAGGAGGCCCAGGCCTTGTGGCCTGGGCTTCGTGCATAGGACCTAAGGCCCCTGCCTCCTTCCCAAAGGGCTGAGGGACCCTGGTAGGGTGCCGGTCTCCAGAAAGCACGGGACCTGGCTCAGGAGAGGTGGGTGTGACATCTGCAATCTGCACACAGTCCTCGTTCTCCCCTTATTCCACCAACTGCAAGGGCACAGGTCTCAGCTCTTGGGCCACTCACCCCCAAATTCAAAAGTGGTCAGGCTCTGCCCTTTGGTGTTGAGGGCACAGTAGATGGGCAGAGGGTTCTGGCCATGACTCAGGGCCTCCCGTTGATCTGAGAGCTTGTGATCATGGGGCTGGGGAAAGATGCGTAGAACCTAAACCCACAGCGGCCTGGGTGCCCAGGGCCTTTCCCACCCTGCTGTCCAGCACCGAGCCCCAGCTCCAGCCCTTGCCCTGGCTCTGCCCCCAGGCCGCAGCCCCCGCACCTCATCATGCAGCAGCGCCTCGTTGATGAGGGCCCACAGGTTGGTGAAGCAGCTTGGGTAGCCCAAGCGGGCACGCTCGGCCAGCTCCTGCCGGTACCGCTGCAGCTGGCTGGGGGCCAGCACACCCAGCTTGTTCTTGGTCACCTGGGTCTTCAGCAACTCAGTGGGCCCTGCCAGGTCCTTCTGAGACCACTCTGGGTCCTCATAAAGGTTGGCCAAGGCCCTGGGAAAAGCCAAAGCCAAAGCCAGAGGGCTGTCACTGAAGGACCCCGTCTAGACCCCACGTGCCCCGGGCTTTCTAGGACAATGGCCTGGCAGGGACCTTCCCAGGGTCCCCTTGAGCACGTTTCTCCCTGGCACATTCATTCTCCCAGCCCTTCTAGTTTTCTCAGAGGCCTAGGAGAACCCTGGCACCAGCACCCCCTGCCACACAGGGTCCAGCATCAGCCTGCCCCCAGCTCACCAGGTGGAGCCCGAGGCCCCGGTGATGTAGGAGACGCAATCCAAGAGGCCCAGCTCCTTCAGGCCAGCCAGCTGCCCATACAGGGAAGTCATTGCCCGGATCCCACCACCAGTGGCCATAATAGCTACCACTGGGATCTGGAAAAGAAGAGAGCCAGGCCTGTAGAGGCCCTAGGGATGGGGAAGGCCAAGTCACAGGAAGAAGAGGTAGCAGGTCAAGTGGCCACCCAGCCCACAGCTAAGGCCTGATCACAGGTCTTGGGACCAGTTCTCAGTCAGCCCTGGGGGCCAGAAACAGCCTTTTGAGTGCCCAGCTCCTCCAGTCCTAAGGGCTCCAGGAAAAAATGGCCCAGGCAAGTTCTGAGCCTCATCTCCTTGCCCTCAGCCCCCGAGCCTGACGCTCACTTTCTGGAAGCCCCAGGGCCCGCCTCAGAATTTTCCCAAATTGCCATCACTCCCCCAGGAGACGGCCCAGGCTAATATGAACCTCCTGAAGCACCCTGGGCCAACAGGCCTCATACCAGATATCTGTCTCCCTCCTCAGACAGGCTAGGCTGAGAACCAAGAAACAGAGTAGGAAAGCCAGCCCTATGAGGTAGCTCCCATGTGGGCTCCAGGTGCCTCAAGCAACACTCTGCCTGTACCAAGTCCCTGCTAACACCAGGTGAGAGGAAGCAGGGTGGGGACAGGCAGCTACGAGCTCTGGTCTAGATCGGGGACAAGCAGCTCCAGTGTTCAGCACCAGGAGCTAGGCCCAAGCAAGCCCGGGGACACCCCATCCAGCCCAGCCCCCAAACCTCATCCTCCTGCAGGTCTCCGTCCAGCTGCAGGGCCTGCCTCAAGGCCGCGGCCACCACCTGCTTCCTCCTGCTCAGGAAGGCCTGCTCCTCTGCACAGGGCCCGAAGCCCAGTCGCACGGCCAGCTCCCTCAGTCTGGCCGGGGAAGGAAGAGACTGTGAGACAGCTCTCAACCCTCCCCAGAGAATGGAAAGCTGGGTCTGCCTCACCTGTAATACCTACTGCCCTCCCTCTTCTCCCCAACCCTCAATGCCACTCCCGTGTCACAAGACTGAAGTTTGACACCTGGGGAGAGTGTGTCCATGTGGACATGCTTGGGAATGCAGCAAAGCAGACTGGCAGGACCCAGAATGCCGTGGCCGAAAGAGGCTGCTTGGGGTCCCAGGTGCAGACAGGCCCCCAGGCAGGCCCCATACCATAGATCCCCCCCCTCCAAGTCTCGTGTTCTGTCCCTTACCCACGGAGTTCAAAGCACTTTGGGAGGCTGAGGCAGGCATATAACTTGAGGCCAGGACCAGCCTGGCCAATGTGGGGAAACCCCATCTCCACTAAAAATACAAAAATTAGTTGGGTGTGGTGGTGGGCACCTGTAATCCCAGCTACTCGGGAGGCTGAGGCAGGAGAATCGCTTGAACCCCAGAGGCGGAGGTTGCAGTGAGCCAAGATCACGCCATTGCACTCCAGCCTGGGCGACAGAGAGAGACTCCATCTCAAAAAAAAAAAAAAAAAGGGCAGGGGGCGGGGCAGAAAAGGACCAATAATCCTGTGTCTGTGAGGTGAGAAGCCACTCTCTCAAGACAGAGGGCCAGGGTGGGCGACAACTCTACGAAGATCATTTAAGGTCCAGCCATAACAGCTTCCACCCAAAAGGGCGCAATTTCCCCTCTTCTCTCCCTTGGTTTTCCTGCCCTCTCTGCGCCCCAAACCATGTTACCATTTTCCATCCTTGCCTCCCTGCGTTTTCCAGCCAAACATTTATCAAGTGCTCCCCGGGTGCCTGGCACTGGGCCGGTCACTCGCCCCTCTGACCATAGGTGCTAAGACTCCTCCCAGTACTCCTCCCAGTACTTCGTGCCCCCTCGAGCGCAAGCCTGAGCCCCTTCAGAGAGCATGAGGATGAGGGGCGGCTGTTTCTCCCCCTCACTCCTCCAGGCCTCCTCCAGCCCCGCACCCTGGTTGTTTTCCAGGGCCTTGCCCAGTCCCCAGCCAGGCCTCTCACCCTGCTTCTTTTTTCAGCTCCACTCTCATCAGGGGCTCCTGAAAACCGTGAAGGCCCCAGTCACAAAAGGTCGGCCACCTCCACCCAGCTCTGGTCCTCTTACCCTGATCCCCGGCGCACCACCCCCGCCCCGCCACCGTCTCCACAGGCGCCAGGCCTGAAGCAGGGATGCTCAGAGGACACTCCCCAAAGAGCCTGGCCCCAGCACCTGCTCAGGGTGTGACCCACGGAGAAGCGGGAAGCAGGCCCCTCCCTTTGTGGCCTGGGTCCCAGCCCCATCCAGGCGCCTTGCTTCCTTCCCTGGGAGGCCAGTACCTGGGACGTGGGGAAGACAAGCCTCACCACTTGACCAGAGGGCAGGGCACTCAGTGGCGCCTTTAGTTGCTCCTCGGGGGCATCCTGCAGGGGACAAAGAATGCAGACCTAAGAATCTTTACGCTTCCACTCCTAGCAAAGACCTCACCAAACTCCCGCCGGCAGCCATAGAGTTATGGGAGGGACGGGAAGGGGAGGCCAGCATGGGCCCACACATGCTGCCAGGGTGCCCACTCTGCCAGGTGGAGCAGAGGTCAGACTGGGAGGAGGTGCAGAGGGAGGGAGGAAGTTCTGGGGGCCCCACCTCGAGGGAGCGAGGCACACTACCTGCAGGCGAATACTCAGCTCCTGCTCCCAGCAGGCTGGGCAGTGGAAGCGGAAGGTGCCAGTGCCCACAGAGGCCTCCTGCGGACCCTCACAGGACCCAGGAACCACAAGCTGAACTCTGTGCTCTGAGGCTGGAAACAGGAACCAGAGCAGAGAGGCTGGGGACGGTATCTCTGCCCACAGAACCCATCTTGCTGCGTGGCCTGGAGGGCACCTCCCTCTCCCCGCTGAAATGGTCTGGTGGAGATGGATCCCCCACCACAGTCCCCCGAGAAGGCCTAAGGGGAAAGCTCAGGCCCCAAGGAGAATTGTCCAATGCTTAAAGGGGGAAGACAAGAGCTGAGAGCCAGGGGCTGTCCCAGTGGGTTGGGGACTCACACTTCTGGTCTCCTGTCTCCTCCAGTTGAACGTGCAAGCAGGAGAGCTCCCGGGCCTGAGTCATGAAGACAGCCCCTCAGACACTAACCCCACCCCCCATTCAGGGACCCCACCCTCGCAGCACCCTGGCTGCTGCTGGTCTGCACTTCATTACCTGGGCCCTTGAGATTGTATTCCCTTAACAAACTGAAATCCCAGGGTCCCCAGGCTGAGGCAGCGGTGGGCCTGTACCTCAAGTCGCTGGCATGAGGGAGTCCCGGGGACCCCAGACCGCCTCCCAGAGCACTGGCACACTCACCACCAGAACGCCATTGCTGACGAGCCACTCGCCACGGTCAGCCCTGGAAAGAGCCCCCAGAGCCCCCTTAGCAGGAGTCCAGGTTCCCACCCCACAGAGACCTGGGCATCCCCCAGGCACTAGTGCTGTCCTTCCCACAAGGCACTCCCACCCAAACTGCCCCAGGCCCCTGACTCACAGACTCTGCAGGCGAAATTCAACTTCCAGGCGCCCCTCACCCTGGGAAGAGAGCCAGAAGTAAGTTAGAAAGGGTCAGAAGGAGTGCACATATGTCAGTGAGTATGAGAGACATGCGTGTGTGTGCATGTGTGCGCGTGGAGATTTCAACCCAGACACCAGCTAGGGCTGCCGTGGAAACACCGCCTTGCCTGAGGGCTCAGTGAGAAGCTCTCGCGCCGGAACTCCCCAGCCCGCAGAGTCCCCGCATCAAACAGTACTGACAACACAGGGTCATCTCCGGTCACCAGGTCCTGGTCAAAGACTTTCAGTTCCATGACATTCTGGAGGGGAAAAGAGTGACAGGGCTGCAGGAGGGAGGGGACAGAAAGGTGAGCAGGGCAGCGGCAGTGGCTGGCGAGGATGTGGGTAGAGTCAGCGCTGATGCCTGGCCCACCTTGAGCTGCCTGTGGATCCTGAAGTGAAAGCTCTGGTTCCAGACAGGGCTACTGCTGTTCTTGACCGTGCGTGTCTGGAGCCTGTGGCTGCAGGCCGTGGGCAGCCAGAGAGTCACGTAGCAGTCAGAGGGGGTCACTGCGGGAAGGAACAAGTGCCCAGCGGTGGACAAGAGCCCTTCCCAGCCGCCCAGACCCACTTCCTTCCATCACCTAGAGCCCCATGTGGGTTAAGACTGAGGGGGAGGGGAAGTGGGGGCCAGAGGCAGAGCCCCAGCTGCCACCTTCCACCCAGAAGCTCCTCTCAGCTCCCTCCTCTAGGCCCTGCCCACCGGCCCACCCGCCTCCACCAAATCCAGCCACAGCACCCTCCTCCTCAGCACCCTCCT
The DNA here is from genome assembly GCF_000001405.40 of Homo sapiens. Classification (NCBI taxonomy): domain Eukaryota; kingdom Metazoa; phylum Chordata; class Mammalia; order Primates; family Hominidae; genus Homo; species Homo sapiens. The sequence goes on along the minus strand of NC_000015.10, from coordinate 41,840,273 downwards.
CCTCCCTCAGCCCAGCACAGGGGCCAGGGCGGTGCGCACTCACCTAGGTCCTTAGAGGGTAGGCGATGGGCCTGCAGGACACGAACCGTGAGCAGGCAGGTCCTGGACACCTCTGCCTGCAGAGGTGGGAGAGGGGAGACCTGCTACGGGCCGATGAAGCCAAGGGTGACAGGGGCCACAAAGGAGGCTGGAGCAGTGCCTCAAGGCCTAATCCTGAACCCCAGGCCCATCCTCCATCTCATCAGAATCCTGAATCAACAAGAGGAGACATGATATCTCCATCATGACGCCTGCCAGCACTTACACAATGCTCTGCGCCGGCTCTGGGCCAAGGGCTTTGCATACATTAACTCATTTATCGCACAACCACCTTATGCACAGATACTATTTACGATGGCCCACTCCACAAGGAAACTGAGGCACAGAGAAGCAGTCACTTGCCTGAGGTCCACAATTGGGGTTGGAGCCCGGGCAGGCTGGCTCCAGATTTATGCCTCACACAGACCTGCTTCCACCTTCTCGGGCTAGTATCCTTTAGGCTCTCCACCCCACATCCCCAGCCCACACCCCAGCTAAGCAGCTTTCCGGCTGGTCTTGGGTGGCAGGGGACATAAGCTATCGAGGGAGGGGAAGTAGCACATCAGGGCCTTGGGCCCCAGGCTGAGCTGCTCTCGTACCCTCCCTCCACCCTGGTCAGAAGAGCATCCTGGAAATGGGCTCTCTCCTGGGCAGGGGAGGCGGCTCCTAGCTCAGACCCCTCACAGGCTGTCATGTCCTCCAGGTCCTGCCAGGTCAGGCTGAAGATGGTCCCCCGGTAGCTCCCTCCAAACCCATGCCCCTGGTTCTGGGAATGCAGCCTGGCAGGCGCACCGGGACCAGGGAAGCCTGTGCCAACTGCTTCCTTTCGGCCTTCCACCTGCCTCCACAAGGACCCTAACAGGTCAAGTCCAGGGAGCAACCAGGTCCAGGGCAGTGCTGGAGGGCCTCATCCACCAGGGTCAGCCCAGGGCCCTCACACTCCAGGCAACTGAGTCAGAGGAGCATGGAGGAGCCACTTGCTTCCAGGGCCTCAGGGCGGCAGCTGGGAGCCTCTGAGTCTCCAGGGCCCAAATCTGTGGTGCCAGGGAGCTCTGCCAGGAGCCCGTTCCCAGGACAGAAAACACTCAGGACGGATCCCTCATCCCCAAGCCTCCTCCTCCCCTGGCTTCTGCCCGCTACCCTGGTCTTGTGGTCAATAAACTCCCCTCCCTACCCCTGGAGAAGACCACAGCTCCCATAAGAAACATATTAACTAGGCCCCAGGTAGAGACCAGGGGTCCCAGTAGGGACCCAGGGCCCTGCCAGGCCTTACCACAGCCATGAGACTGAGTCCTCAGGAGCAGGAATGATGGGGCAGTGGCCACAGGATCAAGGACTGTCAGCTTTCTAACCCAGAGCCAGGGATGTGATGTCCCAATTGGTCCCAAGTCCCTCCTACCCGCCGCCTCTGCTCCACCTAAGCTCCACACCCACTCCTGAACCAGCCACCTGTCCAGGAAATGAGGCACCCTAAGCCTATACTAGAGCTCCTGATACCTCTGTGGCACTCGCCAGCCTTTACCAGCTGGGCCTGCCCCACCCAGCCCTGCAATCCCAGCCTGGAGAGCTTGCTGCCAGGGGCTGAGCAGAAGGAAAGCAGGGGTGAGTCCCAGAACAGCAGCCAAGGGAAGAGTGGAGTTCCCTGTCACAGGCCTTTCGCAACTCTGGCACCTGTTGGACAGGAATGCCCAGTCTTGATGGCAGGGATCCATCAATCTGAGATGAACACCCGGGCCCCCTCACGACAGGCAGGGGAGTGGCTGTCACATAAAACAGCCCTTCAAAGCTAGGTGCTGAGTGGCCAGGGATGAGGCCTGTGGGTTGGCACTCAGGGGCAGGGGGTTCTTCTGCCTCCAGGGCATGGTTTGTGGGGGGGTCAGCGTGTGGAGACCAACTCTTTCCTCAGAGGGACAGCCCCAGGAGAGGCGGGGGCTTCCGTCCCTTCCTGCCTGTGCCTGTTATGGGAGAAACAGGGGTTATCCCCAGGGCACCAGGTCCCACCTGCTGCCCCTGAACTGGGGGAGGACAGTAACCATAGGAGAGCTAGGAATAGCTCTCAAGGTCCTGGGCAAAGAGGTCCGGACCAGAGAGCTACAAGACTCAGGTCTGCTTGCTTGTCCCAGGGAGGGGCTGCGGTGACTCTCATGGACAGCGGGACTTGGGCAGCTGACGGCTCTTTGGGCCCAGGCTGGGATCCAGCCCTCACCCCCAGTGAAGGTCACCCTGAAGTTTTTACCTGAACCTTCAGGCCCTCCTTAGACCACAGAAGGCAACTTCAAGAGGGAGGATCAGAACATACGACTCATAAGCCAGGCGCAGCAGCTCACACCTGTAATCCCAGCACTTTTGGGAGGCCGAGGCAGGTGGATCACGAGGTCAGGAGATCAAGACCATACTGGCTAACACGGTGAAACCCCGTCTCTACTAAAAATACAAAAAAATTAGCCGGGCATGGTGGCACGCACCTGTAGTCCCAGCTACTTGGGAGGCTGAGGCAGAATAGTGTGAACCTGGGAGGCGGAGCTTGCAGTGAGCTGACATCACACCACTGCACTCCAGCCTGGGTGACAGAGCGAGACCCCATCTTAAAAAAAAAAAAAAAAGGACATACGACTCACAGCTACCTTTTATTCAACATGTCCTGTGTGCCAGCTCCATGCTGGTCCTCATAGACATCATCTCCAAGCCCACAACAGCCCCGCGAGGTACAGCCATTATTATCTCTTTACTGACAGGACACCAATGCCCGAGACGCAGTGACTCGCCCAACATCACAGCGCTGGGGAGAGGTGCCGCTGCACCTGATCCCCACTCTGCTCACCTGTGTGGCAACTTCCTGAGAACCCTCACCCAGACCTGCCTGGCACCTTGAGTCCTTATGACCACATTCCAAGATCCTCCAAAGCTGATCTCAAGCCATGCTGGACCCGGGGCCAGCAGCCAGCATGCACACTCCAGGCTCTCTCGAGAATTGACCTGGCCAGGGAGGGGCTGGCTCCGTCCCCCGAGGCGTGCTTGGTGGTGTTCACCAGTGCTCCATCAGTCAAGGCCTGAAGCCTTGGTGAGGGAGTCGAGCAGCTGGAAGTAACTATACTTGAGGTCGTATTCCATGTCATACCAGAAATTCACTGTGGGAAGAACGGGGATCTGAGCATGAAGATCCCTCTTCTGACCTAGAGCCTCCCAAGCCTCCCCCCAGAGGCCCTGCTGGACCTTGACAGGGCCTCTCCCCAGGCGGCCTGGGCAACTCTTCACCTGCGATGCAGCCCTGGGACTGCTGGACGTGGTGGAACCACAGAGCCGGCAGATAGAGCATCTCACCGGCCCGCACCGTGCAGCGAAGGGCCTGGGCCTGACTGTAACTAGGGTACCGTGCTAGGTCTGGCGCCAAGGGGTCCAGTGGGATCCAGGGCACCTGGGAACACATCAGATGCCAGGGAGCAGCCCCCCAGACCCCCCAGGACTTCAGGCTCTGTCCCTTCCAAAGGTCAACACCACAGGCCCTGCTTGGCTCAGCAGTGAAAGGCCTCAGACTTAGAGACTTTTCAGAGCAAGGTGCCACCTCCCCAGATCTTTTGTGCCTGTTCTTCAGAGCCAGGCTTCTGCCCTTCTCCCTCCCTAGAGCCCAAGAACAGGACAGACACCTTCTCCATGGCCTCTTCATCCACCACCTTAAAGGTGCCCTCTTCAGTTAGCTGGTAGGTTGCCGGCGTGTACAGCTCTGGAGCCCAAGGGAGAAGGGTGTGGGGGAATTGCAAACAGCCTGGAACTTGCCAGACCCTCCTCCACCCCAGCCAGCCCTGGGCAGGGGCAAGGGGATCAGGGGCCCTGGTGCACTGGGGATGCCACAGCCACACCTCAGGCCTGGGAACTGGCCTCCCAGGCTCTTGCTGCCTCCCTCCCCCTTGGGCCAGCTGTTCCCCAGCCCCTCCCTGCAGGCCACATCCCCTACCATAGGGGATGAAGGGCCGGTCGCTGGGCGGATGGAACAGGAAATGCTTCTCTCCTGAGACCACGCAGTAGAGGTTCTCATAGTGGTCCTTGTGCACTGCCAACAGAAAGAAGGCCCGGGGGCAGGGTATGGAGGGCAGGGGCACGGGAGGAGGCAAACCATCATGCTGAGAGCCCTGCACCCCAAGACGTCCTATGACAAAAGAGAAGCACGCACAGAGCCAGTGGGCTGGAGATGCCAGGGGCTCTGATGGGCATTCTGGAACTCTGCCTACCAGGGACCTGATGCTCACCAGGCCCTGGACTCCTCTTCAACAAGAGGGGAAGTTCTCCTACACTTACCCCCTGGCCCAGCGGGCCTTCAGGGAGGTTTCTTTGGGTCTAGAAGAAACAATGCACCCGCCCCCAATGCCATGGGTCCATTCCCCGACCTCAGCTGTCAGGGGAAACCCTCTGTGGTGCCCGAGTCCTAGAAGCCAAAAGAAATCTTAGAGAACAGCCCAACCTCCACCCAGGGCCATCCCTCCACTCCTGGCCTCGTCTTCCCTCCCTCTGCCCCAACCTGCTCCTTCCCCACCTTTGTATTCCCCTTACACCTACAAGAAGTCACTGCAGCCGCCTCCCCCAGCCAGAAGTTCACAGCATCGGGCATCTTTCCTGCAGGGCAGAAGGCAGAGAGCAAGTTAGGAAGGCCAGGCTGGGGAAAGCTGCCATCCAGTGATGCCAGAGCCAAAACCTGGGTGAGCACAGAAGAATCCCAAGAAAGGGGTCAGGGAGAAGAGGCAGAGGTTGGGAAATCTTGGGGAAGGGGTCCTCCCTCCCTGGGGCAGAAGGAAGGACAACAATCTTTGGCAATTCATCTATGATTAAGTCAAGGCCTGGGAATGTATTTAGTGAGCTGCACCAGATGCTGACAGGACCAAGCCCATAGGCCAGGTCATCACCTAAGGGCAAACAGGCTGACCCCCCTCCTTCCCATATCTTCCCTGTCCAGGGCCACGACCACCCCACCTCCACTCACCCAGGGCTTCGGAGGCCCAGGGCACATGGGATTCCAGATCAGGCAGCAGCTGGGGCAGCTCGCTGGGCAGGTTGGAGCACTGCTTCTGCACATAGAGGACTCCAGGGTGCTGGGCCCGGCCCTCCAGCACATCCAGCACGAAGCTCAGGGGCAGGCGGCGCTCAGCTGGCATCATGAAGCGATCCCCTCTCACGGCATCCGCGTAACCATCTGGGGTCACGGCCACACTCACCTCTGTGGAGCCCACTGTGGCTCTAGAGGAATGGACACTCAGCCCATGCCCAGATGCCAGTAATCACTGCTCACACCTGACCCCAGGGCAGCTCCCACCTGAAATAGGGGAGGGACCACTTCTGGAGGGCCGGCCAGTGCTGCAGAGCGTTGCGGATAATGCACGGCCTGTTGGGGCAGACCCAGTCCCGGTAGAAGTGGAGCGGAGTTGGGGGTTTGTCCAGGTAGGGCACAGCAAGAGGCACGCAGAGCTCTGAGAGAAAGAAGAAGACAGGGGATGGAAGGGCTGATGTCTGCAGCACCCAGTCCCTGCCCAAGAGATGCCCTCCCTGGAAAGGCCGCGCTGTGTCACTGGGAAATGCTCGTTGGTGACCAAAGGACCCTGGACAACCAGTAATAGAAAGATGAGGACGGAAAAATGAAAGCAGAAAGCATCACGCACACACACCAGCATGGGCCCTGACCGTCCACAGGGCCAGAGGCTGCTACCCAGCCCATAAGCCAAATCCCCTGTGGGGCTGTGTCTGCACAGTGGACCCTATGCCTTCCCACCCTGGAGAGGCCAGCCTCCTAGCATCTACCAGGAAAGGCCACCATGGAAGTGGCATTGGGAGCTCCAGAATGAGTAAGGCTGAGGCCCCATGGCCACGGGCTATTCTGGGTGTTGTGTGGCTCTGGGAAGCCCCCTTTAACAGTGACATTTACTGAGCACCAGGAATGTGCTCAGCACTTGGCTTGGCTAATCTGGGGCTATCAGGGATGACACAATCATCATCTTAAGAAATTTACAACCTTCTTACCCGGGAAGACAAACTACCAGATGACACCAATGGAGGAAAAGGAAGGGCTCGGCTATGGTTTGGGTCCTGCTGAACAGCATCACCATCTCCAGACACCCAGGGCCACCACGTACACTTCGGCAGGCTGCGTGGTGTGCCGCCTGCGCAGGGGTCTACAGTGGCCCTGTGTCACCTCTAATCAAAATCTTTTTGACTCAGCTTTCTCCTTCACTCCCGTCATCCTACTGATTGGCTCTGAGTCCTGTTGATTCTGTCTCCTATGTCTCTCAAACCCACCGTCTCCTCTCCTCCACTGGCATCCACATTCCAGCTACCTCCTTTGGGTCCTCACTCAAATATCACATTGATAAGACTTCCTTCTCTGACTATACTTTCTAAATTTATAATCTGTCCCCCTGCTGCAAATCTTTATATCCCTTTCCGTATTTTTTCTCGTTAGCATTCATCACCATCTGACATGCTATATATTTTAGGGCTAGACGTGGTGGCTCATGTCTGTAATCCCAGCACTTTGGGAGGCAGAGGCAGGAGGATTGCTGAGGCCGGGAGGTCAAGACCAGCCTTGGCAACGTAGGGAGACCCCATCTCTACAAAAAAATTAAAAATTAACTGGACATGGTGGCATGCACCTATACTCCTAGCTACGCTAGAGGCTGAAGCCAGAGGATCACTTGAGTCCAAGAGGTAGAGGCTGCAATGAGCTATCATCGTGCCACTGCACTCCAGCCTGGGTGACAGAGCAAGACTTTATCTCAAAAAAAAAAAAAAAAAAAAAAAATATATATATATATATATATATGTATTTCACCTACATAAACTGTTTATCATTCTTTCACCCTTGCTAGAATGTGAACTCCACAAGGGCAGAGACAGTTGTCTGTTCACTGATGCACCCCTGGGACCTAGAACAGTACCTAGCACATAGCATGTGCTCAGCAAGTATTTGCCTAATGTTGAATAAAAGTCTCCAGTATCCTGGCTGGATGGTTGCAGTAGTGAACTAGCTGGTTTCTCTGGCTTAATTCCACTCCCACCCAAAGCATTCATCATCATAGCCCCAGTCATCTTCTGAAAATACAATCTCATATTGTCACACCCCTAGTAACAAATGCCTTGATGGCTTACCACTGCTCCTTAGAGAATGCTGCCTGCCTTGGCACGCATGACCAGGCCCAACCTACTCTTCCAGTCTGATTTCCTGTCTCGTGCCTGCCCTTGCCACACACCCTCTATTCAGGTGGTACCTTTGTTCCAGCTGCTCACTCAGACTGGAGTGTCTTTCTACTGGTTTTTATAAAGTGTACAGGGCTTCGCTTTGCTACATTCATGCTCTAGGTCGAGCCAGAAGGCCGTGGTTCCCATTTGGTGGTTACCACATGCTGCTCCAAATGGTCCCAGCACTGATGTTCACCTCTGAGGTTACGCTGCACCTCTCACAGCAACACCATGCCAGTCACCTTTACTTTCTGATCAGTTGGAAAGTGAATGTTCTTAGATCAAATATTGTAACTGAGTGAGAAGACCCCACTGGGCCCAGGAATACTGGAAAGGAAAGAGTTGGTGTGCCTGCTTGCTTCCCTGGCTAGAGGCAAGATGGCACCCATCCAGTAGATATGGAATCCAGGAGACAGCAAAGTGGCAAAGGCCTTCCCAGTCACGCCAGCCCATCCAAGCAGTCACCTTGAGAGATGGGGTGGTCTGGGGCTCAGTACATCTTCCTGTTGTACTCGCTGAGATTAAGAGACAGAGTCTTGCTCTGTTGCCCAGGCTGAAGTGCAGTGACGCAATAATAGCTCACCGCAGCCATAAACTGTCACGGGATCTTTGGGGTGTTGCTTTACCAGCTGGAAACCTCTGTGGCCAGTGATGCCTTTGCCTGTTTTGCTCGGGCCCATTGGGCCCACTCGGCCCTGCAGGCTGTGCTCAGCTCATGCTACCGGCCTGGATCCCACACCTGCCAAGGGCGAGTGGGGCAGCGAGGGGTGTGTGAGCGAATGAGTGTGGGGTTTGGCCACTGCGCACAGCTAGGCATGTGGGCTGCGGTGGGGCAGGCAGCTTCAGGTGCCAACACAGGTGCTGGTTTCCTGCAAGGCTGCAGCTAGACCAGGTGTACCATAAGCAGCTTCCACAGCTGACACTGGGAAGCATGGTGGTGCCTGGAAGCTTGCAGATACCAGGAACCGCAGAGCCCTAAAGAGGGTGTCAGAACCCCAGCTTGGGAAGCTCCTGGGTCTGGACTCCCCAAAGGGCCGCAGTTCTTCTTTCCTTCTGGACACCCACAATGTGGCGAGCAAGACGCATGGTTCAGTCCTCTTCATGTTACAGCTCTTTTAGCCCCGCCACTCAGCAGGTCCCAATTCTTGTCCTGCATCCAGGAAGAATGAGGTACACACAGACAAGCAGAGGGTAAACAAGACAAAGAGGAGCTTTACTGAGCCATAGGATAGCTCAGAGGAGACCCACAGTGGGCAGCTCCTCTCCGCAGCCAGGGTGTCCCAACGAGTGTTCAGCTCTCAGCAAAGAGGATAGCTCCTCTCTCTGCAGGCAGGTAGTCCTGTTGAGTGTTCAGCTCAGCAGAGCTTTGTTCCAGCTGCTCACTCAGACTGGAGTGTCTTTCTGCTGGTTTTTATAAAGTGTACAGGGCTTCGCTTTGCTACATTCATGCTCTAGGTCGAGCCAAAAGGCCGTGGTTTCCATTTGGTGGTTACCACATCCTGCTCCAAATGGTCCCGGCACTGATGTTCACCTCTGAGGTCACACTGCATCTCTCACAGCCACACCATGCCAGTCACCTTTACTTTCTGATCAGTTGGAAAGTGAATGTTCTTAGATCAAATATTGTAACTGAGTGAGAAGACCCCACTGGGCCCAGGAATACTGGAAAAGAAAGAGCTGGCATGCCTGCTTGCTTCCCTGGCTAGAGTAGCTCCTCTCTGTGGGCAGGTTGTCCTGTCATCTCTCCAGCTCTCAGCAGAGAGGGTAGCTCCTCCCCGCAGCTGGTCGTCCCATCGTCTCTTCTGGTCTGGCTGAGTCAGGGGCTTTTTATGGGTCTCACAGGGGAGGAGGTACATGCCTATTGGTCCATGGGCAGCCATGGGTGGGCCGGAAAAAGCACCAAAAGTTCCCATTCCGGTCCATGGAACCGGCAGCCCAGCCCCCAGGCTTCAGGCCTTCCCTGGCTTGAAGGTCGGGCTTCACCGGGACCCGCCACCTTCCACCCAGGAACCTGTCTGCCTCTTGCCACCATTCACGGCACCCAAGCTGTTTGTGCCAAGGGGGTGCCTGCAGGCCAGCACTGAGCTGCCCTCAGCCCCTCTTGGCCTCCCTCCCATGCTCGTTGGCACCCAAAGGCCAGAGGGGGCCAAGGAGGCAGGGGGCTGGTGTGTCAGCACTGCAATAGCACCCAGGCTCGGCCTCAACTTTGCTCCATGATCTGATCAGGTGCTGACAGTGGGGAGAAGCCAGACAGCAGGATCAGGCACTTCCAAGCCTGCGGCAGCAGGAAGGGGCCTTCCTGGGTCCCCAAAAGTGCAGACATGCCTGGGTCCACAGCTGCAGCTTGGGAGGCTGCAGCTGCATCTAGGAGGGTGGGGCTCCTGCCTGCTCCTAGCTCCCAAGAGCACAGGGGTGCCTGAGTTGCAGTCCTGGCTTGGGTGGCTGTAATTGCGCCTAGGGAGCTCCCACTCCACCAACTTGGAAGGGGTGGGGCTCCCACTTGTCCCCAGTTCCCGCCAGCTCTGTGGAACATGTGGCCCCAGCTGCCTCTCCTCTTCACGTTTTCCCCACAGCGGCGGCGGGCAAGGTGCATATGGCATGGCAGCTCTGACCACCCCAAACAAATGAGCCTAGTAGTCCTGTGTTCCGGAAACAGTGAAGAAGCCAGTTTGCAGGAGCAGGGTCTTTGTGCACATGTGTGAGTATTTTTGTACTCACAAGTGCAAGTCCCTACAAGTCCCAGTTGCACCTTTGGCAGGGTGCTCGCAGGCTTCTGGGATGTGGCAGGGAGCGAGGTTCAGGCTGCAGCAGAGGGTCTGGGCTGAGGAGCAGGTCCTGCCCAGCCATGTGAGGGTGGGGGTGGTGCAGTCGGCTGCCTCGGGGATGCAGGGAACAGGGGACTCACTACCACCACTGCTGCTCCCAGAGCCACTTCTGCTGCCCGACTTGTGCCTCCCCACTGCAGCCAGCATGATGACAGCATCTGCTTCCAACTGCCCGCCACTGTCATCAAAACTGCTGGACTCAAACAATCCTCTTGCCTCAGGAGGTGGGACTACAGGCACATGCCACCACACGATGGTGTCTCACTATGTTGCCCACGCTGGTCTTGAACTCCTGGCCTCAAGAGATGCCTCCCACCTTGGTCTCCTGAAGTGCTAGGATTACAGGCGTGAGTACTGCACACAGCCTGGGATTCTGAAAATACATGGAAACTGCCATTTTTTCACCCTTTGGACTTCTGCAATTAGGGATTTGTTTTACTTGCTCACCATTTCCTTTAGAGAATGGCTGCTTTCCTCTCCTGGGGCTTCCAAGTGAGAAAATTTCAAAAGGGATCCAAACAATTGCTTTGACCCCATAACTCTGCTAAGAATTTAACAAGGCCGGGAGCAGTGGCTTATGTGTTCCATGGCGTTCCAAAACTTTGGAATGCTGAGGTGGAAGGATTGTTTGAGGAATCTGAGACCAGCCTTGTCTCTACTAAAATTCAAAAAAATTAGCCAGGCGTGGTGGCGCATGCCTGTAGTCTCAGCTACTCCCAGGTGCTGAAGCAGGAGGATCTCTTGAACCTGGGAGGTCGAGGTGCAGCGAGCTATGATCGTGCCACTGCACTCCAGCCTGTGTGACAGAGTAAGACCCTGTCTCAAAAAATATAAAGTATTTAACCAACAAACATACTCACACATGCGCAGAAGACGCTGCTCCTGCAGACTGGCTTCTTCACTGTTTCCTAAACACATCAGGCATACTCCCAAAGAGGGCTTTGCCTGCACTTACCTTCTAACCTACTTCTTCTACTCTACAATGTACTCATTCAGTACACCTGTGGTTGATTGTCCACGTTCTCACTTAGAATGTAACAGGACATAGACTGTAAAAGACAGATTTGTTTTGTTCAGTGATGTATCTCAAACACACTGAACAGAGCCTGGCACACAGAGATGCTGAATAAGTATTTGTTAAATCAATCCTCAAAGTATTCGTTGCAGCATTATTGAAAACAACGGATTGGACATGACCTAAATGACTAAGTGAATACAGCACTAGCACACAGACGTGAAAAAGACTGAGGTAGAGGAATGTGAAATGATCTCCAAGATACACGGTGCAGAAGAGTGTGTTTAGCAGGCTACTATTTGTACAAAAAAAGGGTAAAAAGTCGTGTGTGCACGGATATAAACAATCTTTCTGTAAGAATGCAAACTGGGGCTGGGAGGAAACCTTGCTTCATTTACATTGCGTACCACTGTATATTACATACCCATCACATACACATGAGCCTGTGTTGCTGTTCAGTGGTAAGAAATCATTTAAAAATAGAAAAAAGAAGGAAGGAGGGAAGAGAGAAAGAAAGAAAAGGAATAAAAACCAAGCAGGGGAAGAGCCAGGGACCATTTGGTCAGCCTGCAATCCTCCCAAAGTGCGACAAGGGAGTTGAGGTCGGAGGTGGGGCGCGTGGGGGAGGAATCCGACCACCAGCTGTGTGCCTTCGATGAGCTTTCAACAAGGGTAACAGCAAGCTGCTCAAGACTGTAGGAAACACAGGGCTTCGCCGCGACCACGGTCAAGACGGCACCGGGCCTTGGGAACAACGTGAACAGAATCACCCAGGAAGCCGCGGGAGCGCGCGAACACGGGAGAAGGGAAGCAGGTTGCCACAGAAGAGCAACCCGAGCGGGGCCTCAGGGCAGTCGCACACACGAGGTTCCGAGCCCCCGGTGTCAGCGGCATCCCAGGGCCCCTCCCGTGTTCGGAAATCGCCGCAGCCTGTGGGAGAGCCACTCACCCCTTGCAGCGGCCGGGAATTCTCGTAACTCGCTCCGCACGGCTTCCAAAGCCGCCTCCGCCATGGCTGCGTCAGCGCCGGCCGAGACCCCGCCTTTCCCCGACGCCCCGCCGCAGGCCACACCCCAAGCACTCGCCCCGCCCTCCCCAGAGTCCCCGCCGCAGGCCACACCCCCAGACCCTCGCCCCGCCCTTCCAGAGGCACCCGCCGCAGGCCACACCCCCAGCACCCCGCCCCGTCCTGCCCCTGGACACACACCGGGTTCTGCCACCGAAGCGGTGGAGCGACTGGCAGCGCCCGCTTCGGCCTGCCCCACTGGCCGGCATCCCAGGGTTAACAAACAATTGTGTTTATTGACAAGTTCATACATCAGTACAAACGGGCACGTTAAAAACAGCGCCCCCGCCCCATGCAGCCGAGGATGAGGCAGGAAGCGCCGCGACCTGCACAAAGTATAAAAGTTATAAATAAGGGGCTTTCAAAACAAGGCGGGGGCAAATCTGGAGTGGGGCGGCGGTTGCCGGTGGCCTCAGACATGCAGAAGGGGACGGGGCGCCGGCCGGGCCACGAGGCCCCCCACCCACATGGGGCAGAGGGCAGGAAAAGGGCGGCCACATTCTCACAAACTTCTGGCGAAGGGTAGCTCCCTCCTCGTGAAGGACCTGGCCCAGAGGGCGAACCTGAGTCCCACCTGCGGTGGGCGCGGCTGGTGTGGGAAGTCGGGGCACAGCAGGCACGGGCCCGCCCCCGCCGCCGCGGGAGTTCCAGGGCCATGCGGGTGGCGATGCTAGAGGAGTGGGGAAGGGCCAGGTTTGGAGCAGCTCAAGCGCACTCAGGCTGATGCCCCGGAGCTGGGAACCTTTTGTAACCCTTTTTCTTTTTTTTTTTTGAGATGGCGTGTAGCTTTGTCACCTAGGTTGGAGTGCAATGGCGCGATCTCGGCTCACTGCAACCTCCACCTCCACCTCCAGGGTTCAAGCGATTCTCCTGCCTAAACCTCCCGAGTAGCTGGGATTACAGGCGCCCACCACCACGCCCAGCTAATTTTTTTATTTTTAGTAGACAGGGTTTCACCATGTTGGCCAGGCTGATCTCGAACTCCTAACCTCAGGTGATCCACCCGCCTCGGCCTCCCAAAGTGCTGGGATTACAGGCTTGAGCCACCACACCTGGCCCAGAACCCATTTCTTTATAAGCCTCTGCCTATGGCGCAGCAGGGCGGGTGAAGGGGCTCTCGTGGCCTGAAGCTGTGGTAAAGCTGCTCTGACTTACCTGCAGCAGAGGGGAGCAGTAGGGCCCAGAAAAACCTTTCCTCAACTCTTCAACTGCCTCACGACATGGTCCCACTCTACCTCCTAGGGTCCCCTATCTCCTTTCCCTCACCCCTAATTACTGCCCTTTTACATTCTAACTTATCCCCTCACCTCTGCCACTTACCTGTCCCATCTACCACTTTTCTAGTGTCTCCTTTGGCCCCAGCACCTCCCTCCTCTCAAACTCCAGTATCCAGCACACCCGTGGGTGCCCAGCACTGCCTTTGAGGAGGCTCCTTCTACCTAAACCAGGTGTCCTATGGGCTATCTCGTATCAGCTAGGCTGTGGACACCAAGAATCCAGAATCTGGGTTCACTTAGTGTACTGCACCCCTTTTCTGCTCCCTGATAGGTGTTCCACATAAGCCAGGGTGGTGAAGCTGAGGCAGGATGTGAGGAAACCAGGCACACAGCAGCCAGCCAGATACTCTAGCAACCAACACTCAACAGCGTGCTGTGCAGGTAGGTGTGTGTGTGTACATGTGTGCACGTGCATGCGTGTGATCTCATCTGTGGCTGAGGTCCTCAGGAGGTAGGCCAGCGCCCCGTAAACGAGGGATGTTCCAACACAGGCTTCTGACTAAGCATCATTCAGGATGCAGGGAGAAGGTGGCCTCTGGGCTCCAGCAGCCGGCTGGGGTCCAGGGTGGAGGACAGGGAAGAACAAGGGGCTGAGGAAAGGAGGCCAGAGCTTCATGTTTGCCCAGGTGAGGGCTTACTGTCCTGCAGCAACATCCCACAGCTGGCTCAAGTTCTGGCCAGGAGAGTAAGGGGTCACAGGGAAATACAATGCTGGGCCCCTCTTGGAGGGAGAATGGGAGTGGAATGTGCGGGCTCAGGTCCAAATACCAACTCAAGTCTCCTGATGGCTGGGGACACCCTGGAGGGCCAGATGGCTCTGCCTTTCTGAGCTCCAGGTATTGGGGAAAACCACCCTGCTCTGGCAGCCACGGGAGTGCAGCTGGTGTGAGAGGGGAAGTGCAGGTAGAGGTGAAGGCCCACAGTTGGCTGACGGGCACTGAATACCACATCACCTCTCACCTCGACCCCAGAGTACCCTGTGTATGCTCCACCACAGGGAGCTAATCCCTGCAGTAATTTCAAATGGCTTCTAAGAGAGGGCCAGCCCTTCCCAGATTCCTAGATGGGGCAGGCTGCCCTCCTACCTCTCACAGCACCAAGATGACAAAGACCCAAGACCTGTCCCTGCCACTGGAGGGGCTGTGGAGGCAGGAGTTCCAAGGAAGTGAGGCAACAGTCAGGGAAATAAATTAATAAATACAGGCCCCCCACGAGGAGCGGCTGGGAAGGCTGCTTTGCCTCTGAACACTGCTCCCTGCTTTCCACTCCAAGCAGCCCCGCAGGTTTTGGTGAGGGGCAGAGGGGCTGCAGTTTGGAATCGCTGGAGCATTCATTCACTTGGGACAGGCTTCCAGAACTCAGAGTTTGCGTTCCATACGCCGTTCCACGGCTCGAAGCAACAGTTCTGAGTATTGCTCCAGCAGGGCCTGTGTCTGCTCGGCTCCCACAGCCCCAGGGCTGCTGCCTGGGCTGGACAGCACTGCCCCAGCCACAGCTTCCAGCTCCTGTCGCACTGAAGAGAAGGTGTCTCTGAGGAGCTGGGCAATCCGACTTTGCTCTGCTGAGGGCATCTTGCAGCCAGCCACCTGAAATAGCACCCCCAGAAGTGAGGTGGAGGAGCCTGTCAACAGACATATAAAAGGGAGGGGCCCCACCTGGGTCCAGCCTGCCTCAGAAGGGACTAGCTGGGAACTCTACCCGCCAAGATCAGCATGTATGGCCAGGGAACATGGGATGCAGGCAGACTCTGGGGGTGACGCCCAAGGAGGAACCCATTGGATTGCAGAACCGTCTACATCTTATAAGCAACTCCTTATGACAACTCCGGCAGAATCTGCTTTCTCTTTCAAAGTTTGGGCCTTCTTGGACTGTCCCCTATGTCTAAGGGGGCCAAATAATTCATGGATATGAAAAAGGATGCCATTAATAATTACACTGGGACAACGACATAAACTGGGATTGTCCTGAGCCAACTAGGAGGTGTGGTCTCTTCAGGCCTCACCTCCTGAGGGAAGTCTCCAGCTCTTAACCAGAAATGACCGCAGGTGCCCGGTACAAGAGGCTAGCCTGGCCTCTAACCCCCTCACCTATGCTGCCCAAGATGTTCTTGAGTGTGCCATCCTGTCAGCACAAGAGGCTTAGCATACTGTTCTGGACATGGTTATCCGAAACACCCAGCACTACTGACGTGCCCGCCTTCCTGCCGGGGGGCACCTAACACCCACCGAGTGGTAGAGCCGCACTGCCTGGCGCACGCTGCCGCGGAGCTCTGCCACCAGCTGCTCACACTGCTCCAGGCTCACCGCTGGCTCTGAAAGAGACGGATACAGCTCAGTGAGGCCCAGCATGTAGCCCTTTCAGGCCTCCGCACCCAAGACACTCAGAACAGGAGAGACCTAGCCCTCAGCATTGCACCCCCCACTTGCCCTCAGTCCCTTCCTCTTGGCTTCTCTTCCAACGGCCTCCCCAACACCACACAAACAAGGTCCAGAGGAGACGGCCAGCCCCAAGTTCAGAAGCCACTGAATGGGCAAGTGAGTCACAAGGAAATCATGAAGGTTAGCAGGAGGGTCTCACCATCAGGGGTGTGACTTACGGACCTGCGACAGGAGCAGACAGGACAAGAAACACCAGAAGCTGTACCCACAGAAATGGGATGGAGCCAGACAGCGGCCAACAGAGAGGGGAGAGTAAGGATGGGGCAGGAGATGAGAGCTGGGGAGCTGTGCACACCTGAGTCCTGGCTCAGGGCTGCCCCTGGCTTGGTGCATTCCATGGGGTTGGGAGTCTTCTCAGGGGGTGGGGGCTGCAAGTTTTCAGGGCCTTGGAAGAGGCTGCTGACTGGCAGTTGCTGGGCACAGGGGCTGCTGGGCCCAGGATGAGCCTGGCACTCTGTCCTAGGCTTGGGAGTGGTGCCCTCCCCCAAACAGGCCCATCTCTCAGTTGTACTGTGAGCTTTTCCTAGGCCCACCGGGAAGCCAGGCTTTTCTGCCTCGCCAGGGGCCCGGCCTTTGGTGACAGGAGAGAATGCAGCCAGGGTAGGACGGTCAGGCAGTGGTTTGGGGATGTCCAGGACCAGGTGAGCCCGGCTGGGCAGGGCCAGCTTGCTGAGTGGTGAGACTCGGATGGGGGCATGAGCTTGAGGTTCAGCCACCAGGCCCAGGTTCTCCCCAACAGAGATACTGCGGGATATCTTGGCCATGGAACTGGTGGTGGGGTTCTGATAGGAGTGAGGCCGAGACGGACGGCCATCAGCTGGGGGCAGGGAGCCCAGACCATCCTGAGCTTCGATCTCCCGAGACAGCAGTGCGCCTGGTGAAGGGGCCTGCAGACTGGCCTCATGTCTTTCTGCAAAGGAGACAGAGGTATACACAGGTCAGGTGTTGAGGAAGGCATCCCAGGTGCCAACACCCAATCCCGAAGAGCTGCTGTTCCCCTCCACATGCCCATTAAGGGACACCTAGTGGCCAGCACAGTGGCACATCAGGGCCACACCAGGCCCTCCCTCCTCCAGCATGTACATGTGTTCCATACACCCTGCACCCTGGCACTGAACCCATCAGGCTTCTCACCCTGTGGCACCAGACTGTGCACAGACTGGGCCTTCTGGAGTCCAGAAAAGGGGCTGGCTGTGGCCACTCTCTTGGGAGCCCAGCTGCTGTCAGGGTTGAGACGGCATCGTGGCAACAGCACAGAGGCTGCCTGCTGGGGGCTGGGGTTGCCAGAGGACGGTTCCACCTCCGGGGGTGCTCCAGGGGGATTGGCACCATTGCCTCTCGGCTGCTCACCAGATGCCTGTGGCACCTGGGCTGGTCTCGACATCAGTGCCAGGCTTGAGGAGGATGGGGATGGTTCCCTACAGGGAGAACATGTGGGAGAAGGCCCAGAGAAGGCTCAATGCTCCTCCCTGCCAAAATGGCGAGAAACTCATAGCACCAGGGCACTAGGAGAGAACAAGCACAAAGCCAGATAGGGCTGGGGAAAGGCCAGTTAGCCCAAAACTGGGAGTGCAAAACACCCCGCGCATGGAGAGACAGAACACTGGAGAGGAGAGGGCAGCAGCCCTGGGAGGCGAGGAGAGCCAGAGCTGCTGCTGGGGGGTAGGGGGCCTCTGTACCTGAGTGGGCGGGTCTGTACTTGCAACAGGAATCGTGAAGAGATACTCCGAGACTCTGACCTCTCTGGGACCTGCACTGGGGCCCCTACCAAGGTCAGAGAAATCATGAATTGGGGCAAAAACCAAGCCCTTGCCCCAGATTTTGCCTCCTTGAGACCCCCAGCCACAGCCTATACCCTGGGACCCTCCTCTCAGGTAGGCAAGGAGGGGAGAAGGGCAAATTGCAGGCACTAAATGCTGGCCCTCTGACCACACCTGGAGCAGCTCCACTGGCCAGAGTCTCAAAGTGCTGTTTTAGAAACTGCTCCTGGTCTGGAGTCTGGGGGCTGCCCTCCTGTAGCCCATAGGGGCCCATGCCTCCCTCCTCTTCTTCCTCTTCTTCATCACCCTCAGCTGGCTCTTCAAGGTCTGAGGAGATGCCATCCACACTGAGGGGCTCCGTGCTCTCAGAGTCTGGGTGTGGGGAGGGGAGAGAGGCATCGCACTGCACCCATCTGTTGCCAGAGCCTCCCCACCCACCTCCAGGCCCCACCCCCCATGGCCCCTCCCTCCAGGCTACAGCCTCACCTTCAGTGGGGTGCTCCGGGCTGGAAAGGCAGCTGCTGCTGTAATCCACAGAGCAGGCACTGTCAGGGCTGTGCTTTTCTGAGCTCCTGCTGCCTGGGTACACTCTTCCCAGAGTTCCCCGGGCTGGAGCCTGCACTTGGAACTCACTGTCAGGATTCCAGCAGGGAGAAGAAAAGGCAGTGAGCAGGGGTAGGCAGCAGCCCCGCTGGACTCCTGCCTGTGATCAGGGTGAGGGATGAGGCAGTGGTGAGCTGGAAGGAAAGCCCTGAGTATCCTGGGGGCCAACCCTCCCTCGACTAAAGAACACTCATAGGGAGGGGAAGACGGGGGCACGGGGTCTGGCTAGGGCAGGATCCTTGCCTGGTATCCATGGTGGGGTTGTCACTCGGCTCCGGGTAGACAATACCATCTTCAATGGGTGCAGGTTCCAGATCTTGGGCAAAGACCCCTTCCTCTTGTGACAATAATCGGATAATATGGGGATAGGAACAAGGTTGGGAAGCCTGAGGCCGAGGGGGCTTTTCATTCTGGGAACACACAAAGGGATGTTAACAGAGCAGAGGTGACAGATGAGGCAGTGGTAGCTGGGGGGTAAGCCCTGAGTATCCTGGGGGCCAACCCTCCCCTTGGAGAAGAGGTGGAGGTGAGTAAGGATGCGGTGTGCACTCATTCAAGGGGAAGCTGAAGGACAGACATCGAGAAGCCAGGCTGGGCTCCAGTTGCTGATGTGAGCTTCTGGATGAACTATATTAGCACTCTGGGCTGCCAACCTCCAGCTACCACTTAATACCAAGAGTCCTCCAAGAAACCCAGCCCAGGGCAAAGGCCACTTTTGCCTCTCTACCCCAACCCCTCCCCTGCCTATCCTGATGACCAAACCATACAGCCCAGCCACCCCCATCCTGGCTTTGCAGTTCAGGTTACCCATGTGCCACAGGGGCAGAGCAAGCATAGCTGGACCAGTGCTCAGGTCCCAGCTGGTGGCAAAGGCTGCCTAAGGCCCCTTGGAACTCTCTAGAGAGCTGGGAGAAAGCAGGCTCACCTGGCTAGTGAGTGAAGTCTCAAGGGCCTCCTGCCCATGCTTCCTGGGACCAGATGGGATGATGGCCAGCGAGTCCTGGCTAGGGTCCTGCAGGCTTGGGGCCAGTGTTTCCAGCTGCCGCAGATCCAGCATGGATCTAACGCTCAGTTCCACACCTGGCTGAACCCAGCGCCCTCTTCTTCTGGGTCCTGGGTTGGCTGCAGGAGCTGGGTCCAGGAACCCCACGGACTCCTGTGCCTGGTGGGAGGTAGGGGGTGGGGGAGGAGTAACAACAACCACACAGTAAGATCAACAAATATCCACATATCCCTTACTATGTGCCTGGCACACTACACATACTAGCTTACTTCATCCTCACAGCAACCTTTTGAAATGGGCACTAGTATAATCCTTGTTTTACAGATGAGGAGACTGAAGCACAGGGGGCTTAAGTGAGCAGTCTGCGTCCCACAGACAGTAAGTGGCCTGCAGATTAGTCTGGCTCCAGAGTTCATGCTCTTAGCTGCATTCCGCATCCTCTGGCACAGGAACCCCTAGTCTCAGCCTTCACCTGGTATCATGGATGCCTCAGAGCTGGGGGTCTCTAAAAGTCTCCTACTCTGAGGACAGCCCCAGCAGCAACCACTTACTACCAAGAGTCCCCCAAGAAATCCAGCCCAGGGCAAAGGCCACTTCTGCCTGTCTACCCCAACCACTCCTTTTGCCTCTCTACCCCAATCACTCCAATAGCTGGGGGCCCCAAAGTCCCCTCACAGCACCAAGGACAAACCTATAGCCCAGGCCTGAGACCCCTGGCCCGGTCAGGGTGCTCCAGAGACACCACAGCATCATCACTCTGTGAAACTGTTGCTGACAACGGAAGGTACTGGTGCTTGGGAACTTGCTCTGAACACCTTGATCCCCCTTTGGCCACCCCAGGGCAGTCGCTGAGTTATGGGTCCCCTCATGGCCTTTTCCCTCTAACTATTCTGGAAGTTCTCCGCTTACCTCCTAACCGGGATCTTTAGAACTGTTTCTCCAGATCTCCGCTCTTTGGATCCTTGATTTCCTGCATTTTAGTTCTAACTATCTGGCTTAGGGGTCCTTTGTCCTCTCCACCTTGAGCTCTTCTCTGATGATATTTACTTCCAGGCACCAGGCAGCTGAACAAGTGCCCCACCTCCCCAGTGCTGACTAACCCTGTGCTCCATCCACCCCAACTGGTCCACAGGAAGGAAATACCTGGGCTTTCTTCACCCCCGCACCCAGGACCAGCCCAGCTGCTTCAACTTCCCCGACAAGGCCTTCCTTGGACACACGAGTGCAGCATGTGGGCAGACCCCATGCCCCAGTACCCTACCAGGCCCAGAGAGCCCTGTTCTCACAGCTCCCTTTGCCTCCTCTAACCTTGGAAGAACATTTTAACAATGGCGACTCACCCGACTCATCTCCCAGTGGGACAGGCTTCGGGGCAAAGCTGGGCTGGGGACCGAGGCTAGACAGAAACAGGCAGTCAGAGGAAGTGTCTCCTGCCCCCCCCCCGCCACCCAACCCTGGAGCCCTGGCCCCATCAGCCCATACCCTGTGTGGCCACAGTGATGCCTCAGTTTCCTCAGCTCACACTGCTCTCACCCCACAGTCTCAGAAAAACCATATCTAGCCATTATACCAACTAGGGCCTGTCTGCCCCCACACCCAACTGCCACAGACCCAGTGCCTTCTTGGTACTCTTGGCAAGGACGGGCAGTGCTGGAAGTTCTTCTTCAGTCCCCTCATCTTCTCCCTCCTTGTCACTGTCTGATGAGAGAGCCGGTCCAGGAGACAGCATTGATGGGGCCTGGTGCCTGAGTCCGAGACAAGGAAGGGCATGGGGAGAGGAGACTCAATAGGGGGAGAGGAGGCTCAGTGGGGGAAGAAGGAAGAGGAGACTCAATGAGGGGAAGATGAGACTCAATAGGGGGAGAGGAGACTCAACAGGGGGAAGAGGCTGACATCATGGATCCTTGTGTGAGAGGTAAGGTCTTGGGAGACAGAGTTGCTGAATGGCAGGCCCAAAGCATGGAGGAAGTGCAGTGAGGTCCCAGCAAGCCATCTGCACACCCACCCATCACTTGCCCACATTCTGTTCTCACCGGTTGGGTCCAGAAGCCCTTTGGGGAGAGGATGGTCCTTGCTGCTTGCCGCCCCGCTGACGCTGGCGCAACTCGGCCAGACGCTGCCTCATGCTGATGGTCATCTCAGAGCTCAGGCGCCACACAAATATGCAGCTGGGGTAAAGCCACACAGTTGGCTGAAGGAGGGGCAGGTAGAATGGCTAGCGCCATTCGTTCCCCTTATCCATGGATGGCAAGGAGACCAGAGCCACCCTCCACTTCAGGTCAAGCACAGCCAAAAGCTATCCCTGTTAACCCCACTTCCCAGAGACATCACTGAAATGGAGAGAGGGGAGGGCAGGGTGCTGTGGCAGAGTAAGAATCTGCCTCTCAGGGAAGCTGGCTTCTGCTCACCTGTCCCCAGACACAGAGATGAGATGTTTACAATCATTACTAAATTTCATGCCAGTGACAATCTCTGTGAAGAACAAAGAATACGGTCTATAAGCCACCTTAAATTCCCAACCAAGTCCTCTCCATCCCAACAGTGGACACGGGGGTTGGCTGCAGGGTAGGGATAGGTAGCTCTGCGGGTCCCAAGAAACTAATAGAAGAGTGAAGTTCCAGGGGTGGAACTCACTCAGGTTTACGCAGGTATCAGCTTCTACTCGGGGATTCAGGCTACACTCACCTGAGTGGCCAAACATGGTGGCCACGCACTCGCCTGAGGAGAAGTCAAAAATGGAGAGATTCTTGTCAGAACAGCTGGTGGCAATGTAGATCCCTGAGGGGTCTGTCTGCACCTGAGGAGTAGCAGGGTGTGCAGCTGGAGGACATGGGAAGTACCAGTCCCTCCCACCCAGCACCACTCTGTCCCCGAGCCCCTGTCCAGTACCCCCTCTGGGTCCTTACCTTAATGAGTGTGCCGTCCTCACCCTGTGACCCTTTAAACAGCTTCTTCTGCTTTCCACTGCTGATGTTAAATATCCTGTAAGAAACATAGTCTCTTTCTCATGAGGAGGCGGTGAAGGTGGAACACGCCTGGGGGATGGAAATGCCAGCTTTCACTCCCAGTCTACACTCTCTGGGAGCTACCCCCAGCAGCAAACAGGCTACCACCTCTTGGGTGAAGCAAAGTACTGTAGGCTCAAGGGGGTACAAAGTCCTGTACAGAACGACAGATGTGGGAACTTAGCTGCACAGAGCTGACCCCGTAGGGAGATGAAGGAATGTGGGCAGAGTCTGAGGAGGGGACGCCCACCGAATATTTCGGTCCTGGCAGCCGATAGCCGTGTACTTCCAGCTGGGCTCCACATCCATGTCATAGAGGGTCGTCTTCCGCACCACGTGGTGTGTCCGTGTGAACTGCACTCCATCTCCAGACTGCAGGGGTGGAGCATGTGGGCAGGCCCACACCCAAATGCCTCACCAGGCCCCAAGAGCCCTACTTGCGCCTCCCTTCACCTCTTGTAACCTTAGGCAGGGAATGGCAGACCCCGCCCTGTCCCGCCCCTCTCAGGAAAGCCCAGCGCCCTCACCTTCTGCGCAGTGCGGAAGTAGATGCTCTTGTCTGCTCCACAGCTGATCATGCGGACTTGCCCATCACTGGCTATGAAGGAGGGAAGCCCAGCTGTTCCCACTGTTCTCACCACATGGGAGCAGCCTGCCTCCCACCTTCCCTCCATGAGATCCCCCATCAAGCTACTCTACATGCCAGGGAAAACCAACTAAATTAAACCTGGAAACCCAGGTTTTCCTGTCTCCTTATCCTCAGTCCAACCTGGTTGGCTCAAGTCCCAGCACTGAGAGTCTCTGTTCCACCTATCTTCCCAACCAGCTCCAGGCCTCCCAGCTGCTGTCCAACACTCCCCCACAATGGGCAGACCCTTCTCATGGAGGTGGGAGGCAGATGGCAGCAGGGGTGAGAGTGGCAGGATGTGTCTCATTCACCCTGCCCGCACCTGCAAACTTAACAGCAGTGATGGAGGATGAGTGTTCGTCCAGCGTCTGCTGTAGGCTGTACTCCCGCCCGGCATCCAGCACATGGATCAGCCGGTCCCGGCTCGCCGATGCTAGCAGTTTCAGACCTGGGGATGAAAGAACTCCATCAGCCCATGAGTGCCCTGAACAGCCCTTATCTGGGCCTGGCAAAGAGCCCCAAGGGAACTGAGCCCCATATCCCCAAGCCATGTGAACCATGGAGCAAGGACAGAGCTGTCTTCCTCTAAACCAGCAAAGACACCAATGATCCAAAGATTACCGACCCCACGTCCAAGAGCCGGGACAGATATAAGTGGCACCGGCAGGACTGGAGGAGCCCTGTGCCATTCCGGGCATTCTCCTAACCTGTGTCTGGCTTAGAATACTCCAGGCACAGAATCTCAGAGTCATGGGCCTCCACCTTCAGCATCTCACTCAGGGACTGAAGTTCGTGCACCCTGCAAAGATGAGGAGAGGTGGGAAGAGGCCATGGCCAGGCCGCAGGAAGGACTCACGCCCCCTCCTCTGCTACATTTTCTCCTCCTTTTTCCTTTTTTTGAACTTTTAGGCTTAGAGAAAAGTTGCTGAAAGAACAGAGAGCGTCTATATTTCCCTTACCCAGCTTTCCCTAATGTGAACATCTTACATAACGATAGTGCAATTATCAAAACTAGGAAATTTATGTTGGTATAATACTATTAATTAGAGACCTTATTCAAATTTCACCAGTTTTCCTACTATGTCCTTTTTCTTGACTCTAGATCCTATCCAGAATCCAAATTGCATTTAGTTACTTCTCCTTAGACTTCTGTGGTCTGTAACAGTTCTCTGGTCTTTCCTTACTTTTCATGATCTTGACGTTTTTGAAGAGTATTGATCAGTTACTCTGTGGTATGTACCTCAATGTGAGTTTGTCGGATGTTTTCTCACGCCTATATTGAGTTTATGCATTTTTGGTAAGAATACCACAGAAACATTGTCACATCCTTCTTAGTACATCCTATCATGGGCTTAATGATGTTGATATGAGGATGTTAACCTTGATCACTTGGTGAAGATGATTTCTGCTAGGTTTACTCATTGTGAAGTTATTATCTTTGCCTTGTAAATAAGTATCTTGTTGCCCAATCTTTTTGAGCCAAACCCTCCCTAAAGTTCTAAATACCCAACTCTGCACCATGAGAGGCAGTCAGTACCCACCCAGGGCCTGGCATTACCTAAGTGTGCCCATACGGTCCCCTGATGCTAGATGCTGTCCATTGGGGCTGACACACACCGAGCGGATGCCCACGCGGGGATCCAACAGGGATGCATCAGCTTTGTCTCCTCCAGGCAGCTCTGTGTCCAGCAGGGCCTGGGTGTTCCCATCCACATAGATGATTTTAATGAGGTCCTAGTGGAACAGGTTAGAAAAGGTGGATGAGGCAGGCCTGACCAGTACAGCTGCAAGGGGCAAGAAAGCTGAGCAAAACAAACCCTTGGACCACAGAGCACAGCCAAATGAAGGCTGGAAGGCCAAGGCCTAGGGACCAGTTCCCAGTAACAAGGTGCAATAGCTGTGGGGATGGGGGCACTGAGGGTGAAGCGGGGCCCCACAGCCTCAGGGCTCACACTGCTGAGGATGTTTCGGTGGAGGGTGGAGCCATGCACCCCGGAGCTCTCTGTGTTCCACAGGCGGATGGTGTTGTCTGAGGAGCAGGTAATAAAGGAACTGGGGGGCAGGCAGGCCTGGTTACTATCCTTCACCTCGGGGTAGACCTGAAGAGGCCGAGGGAACACAATCAGACCTCCATTCGGGAGCAGTCCTCTGCCTACCCAAGGAGATGGAAGGGAATGGGACGAAAAAGGGAATGGTGGCCAGGACTTAGCCCAGTGCCTGTCACAGGCCATACATAACTGGTATATACCCTTCAACATGACCAAGGGGAAGCACCCACTATATATCAGGCACTCTTCTATGTCTCCCACTTACATTATTTCATTTTATTCTTAGAACAATTAGGTGAATCAAGTACACCATTTTACAGGTGAGGAAACTGAGGCTTGGTCAAATTCAATAACTTGTCCAAGATGACCGAGGCAAAACTAAGGATGGGGCACACTGGGGAAGCCTGTAACATTCAAACTCAGTCCCCAGGATCTATCCCAGGGAAGTCACTGGAGAAACAGGGAGGCAGCAGGAATCTAAGATTATACTTGGGGATCCCTATTTTCTGTCCTCAAAATGGTATCCCAGCCAACCTGGCCAGTCTCCAGCCAGCCAGCCAGCCCACATACCTCCACACTCCAGACGCAGGAAGAATGATACAGAGCCGAGTACACCTTGCCCACTTTCTTGGGGTCCCTCACATCCCAAACATAAATGCTATGATCGTTGTACACACAAGACAGCCACTGATTAGTAGGATCAAAGGTCAAGGCAATGGTGTCTGGATACCTGGCATTCGCCACTCCAGAGAAGAGGCGACTGTAGGGAGAGGACAGGGCACACTGGTCAGACTGAAGGGAATGAAAAGAGAAGCCAATCCACAATGGAAGGAGCAGTGTGTGAGGAGCCCTCCCTGGACCTGCAGGTTTGGAAGTAGTTGCTTGAGAGAAGAAAGGAGCCCCTACTAGCCATCAGCAGGAACCTGACCCAGCACTAGCTGCTGGGCCATGGTGTTCGGATGAACACAGCTTCACAGAACACCAACGTTAGACAAGGTACTTCTATGGCTGTGATGGGGCAAAACAAAAACAAGACTACTCTGTGCACAGATAAAAACAAGATCACCATACAAACCACAACGAACCATGACAATGACCAAACACCGCCTTTCCCATCTACATGACTGCTGGCGGCTTCTTGACCAAATACAGCTTTAGCCCCATACCTTTCCTTCACCTCTTAGATAAATTAACAAGATGTTCCACTGTAGAATTGCCCCTAGTTCCGGACAGCATCCAACCAGAATACTTCAATCCCTTGAACGATTCCTAAAATCACCCAACGCAAACCCAAATCCCATATGTCCCTCCTAACACCCACTTACTGAGACTCTCCACAGTTCTCCATGGGGTGGGGTCTCCTTGGTTGCAACAAGTACCAATAAACCCAAATTCTTCTGTCTAAAGAGGTGTTCCCAATAATCTTTGGGGCATCAATACACTCTTCACCTGCTCCCTGAGGCACTGACAAGAAAGACTGGGCAGGGGTAAGGCTACAAATGGAGGAAGGGGGGCCCACATAGCTCACCTGGCCTCGGTGACGCTAGCAATGTCTGTCCCCAGAGCATGGGGTCGGGGCAAGGTGCTAAGGAAGTGCAGGTTAGAGGGGTTGAAAAGGCGCACGGTGCCATCAGCACAGCCACAGAAGATGTAGTCTTGGCTCACAGAGATGCAGTGGGCCACTGTGGTCTGTGGGCAGAGTGGCTCAGCTCAGCAAGGCCACCTGCCCACTCAGTCTTCTCTCCTCCCCACCCATCAACAGCCACCTGCCAAGAGGAGGGACCGGCCAAGGCAGGGGCAAGGGAAAAGCCGCCCAGCTGCCCTGTTCTGAGCCCCTCAGCCCTGTCCAGCCAGGGATTAGGAACCGAGGATTCTTCTAGGCACCAGAGGATCCAGTAGGAAAAGCCCAGTGAAGAGAAAGAAATAGCATGAGAAAGAGAGGAAGGTGCAGGCACCACTTACTGTGAAGCTGTCTATGTTCTGAGCGGAAGAGGAAAGCAGGGGAAAGAGACAGAAAGAGCAGAGAGGAGGCAGTTATACAGATCACCAAGGGCTGGAAATGGGCCAAGCTCTAGCTCCCCCAAGCTTCGTTCTCCTGGGATCTCCCGTATGCACAAGGGACCAGCCCCTAGTCTGAAGCCCTGGGCACTAGTTCTCCCCTGAGCTGAGACATGAGCAGACCCTACCCCTGGGGACGGAGGTACTTACCCTCAGCTCCACCCACTTGTCCAAAAGCCTTCGATCACTGAACTCGCACAGCAGCCCTGAGGACGTGATGCAGAAGGTACTGTCCGCCTTTTTTCCTCTGCCACAGGCCACATCAGTGAATAGGTTGTTCCGTAGCTCTCCCAGCAGCCCTGAGCGGCCCAGCAAGGGCACAGTGGCATTCACCTGTGGAGGCACACCACTGTTACACCCCCATCCACCCCAGAGCCTGCCCCTGGAAACTGGGCCCTAGGAGAGTACAGGGGACGCCTCCAGCACCTCCTTGCTCTTTGGGCCTACTCCTCAGCCCAGACAGCATCTGGCTCATCCAAAACTTCTGCATGACTGCTGGGAATGCAGAGAGAGGCCCAAGTGGGGCAGAGTCTCCTGGGTTGGGCTGGGCAGGCCCTGCCAGGGGCCTTGGTGGCTACTCCCAGCTTCAGCACCTCACCTTTGAGGTCTTGCTGTCATCGAGATACCAGAATTTGATGTGTCGGTTGCCTGCAGTGACAAAGTAGCTGCAATCCTCAGAGAAGGACACTGCTGTCACCCGACTGGACACCTTGTTGGAGGCCACCACAATGTTTTTCTGGAGGGGATGCCAAAGGAAGAATCAAGGCTCTGTCTCTTGGAGCTAAGAAGACAGTGACTCAGAGAATGGAGGAGAATTAGAATTTGTACTTGACAAAGTGTTTCTTTCCAGAATTTACTGGCCAGAAAAAGAGGGGTAGGGAAATAATCCCTTTCTAGAGGAGCTGAAAAGATTCGTTTCCTGCAGAAGTCTTTGAAGGCATAAAGCTAGCCCCTTCAACCAACATGCTTGGCCACACAGTTGCTCTTTTCTGCTTCAAATAACTTTCTAGAATGAGAATGGTTCAGTGGGGTGGAATGGAGCAGTGCAGGTCAGCAGTCTCTTGCCTCCCCAGCTGACACTTGACCCCTGTGAGGCTGCCAGGCCACCCCACCCAGCCACTCACCTTCCAGGCCCACACGTTGACGATCATGTCATGCTGGTAGCCCACAGAGACAATGTACTTGGCGCTAGGAGAGAAGGCCACACAAGCCACACCATACTTGTGCTCCTGCAGCTCGGCCACCTGGCTGTGCTCTGCCACGTCCCAAACCCGCACGGCAGGCATGTGCCCACTCTGCAGGGAGGCAAGAACTGGAAGTGAGTTCTTGACTTCTCCACAGGCATACAGCCCCACTTCGTCTTCCAGAGCGGGGCCCTCGCCTCCTCAGCTACTAGATACCATCACTTCCCCAGCCAAAAGTCAGGGCAGGGTATAGAGGAAATATGATAAAGATCTGAGGGCAACAGTGATTACCAGGAAGAAAGTGGCCCCGGATTTTAGTCAGCATCTCTGGGTGGCCGTCTGTACTTCAGGTTGTTCAAAGCTCCCTGAATGGTTCTGATGGGCAGCCGGCATTGAGAGCCACTACCACTCAGGTCTATTTCTGCCCCTAGTAAGACTACGCCGCCAGGACAGAAGCGTTCCTCCTGAGCCCAGCAGGGGGCCCCCGGGGGTAAGGAATAGTTAAGGCAGTGGTTTCCAAAGCACGCTTCCTTC
This sequence comes from Homo sapiens, assembly GCF_000001405.40. Classification (NCBI taxonomy): domain Eukaryota; kingdom Metazoa; phylum Chordata; class Mammalia; order Primates; family Hominidae; genus Homo; species Homo sapiens. The sequence goes on along the minus strand of NC_000015.10, from coordinate 41,811,533 downwards.
ACCAGCAGGATCAGCACTCTCTGGGAACTTGTTACAAATGCACATTTCAGACTCCCATCCCAGACCTACAGAATCAGAAACTCTGAGGACCAGGCTAGTGATGTGTGCTTTCACAAGCCCTCCAAGTGATTCTGATGTACACTAAAGCTTGAGAACCACTATTTTAAGGTATAGCGAAAACCAGGATTTGGTGTCTGTTTCAGAAGCCAAAGTGACAGCAGGCCTAGGACCGCAGCTCTCTGCGGAGGCCAGGACACCTGCCCTCTTTACAGTACTGCCAGCCCTCTTCCTCACTCACCTCTCCAGTGACCAAGTACTTGCCATCAGGGGAGAAGGCAAGGGCAGTGATGGTTTTCCTGCAAGAGATGGGGCAGGCTCAGAGGGGCACTGGCAGCCTGGCCTAAGCCTAGCCCCCTCCCAGCCTCTCAAAAGGTGAGACCAGCAGACACCAATGGCACATGTGGCACTTCCCCATCTGGCTTTAGGACCCAACCAGGTCCCAGCCCCCAGAGCCATAGAGACTCTAGACAGTGCCCTTCTCATAGCTCCCAGAAGGAAGAGGTATCCTGAGGACCCCAGCCCATTTACCTGGAACTGTTGAGGATGTGGTGCTGTTTGTGTTTCCGGGGATTGAACAACACAACCACACACCTGAGGAGATGAGCAGACAACAGGCTCAGCAGCAAACCACAGCTCCCCCAGGAGCCCTCCAGGCCACCCAGGACTTCCAGTCACCCGGCAGAGGGAGCTGGGTAGAAAGAGCTCAGAAGGGCTCCACTGTTTTTTTCCTTTTCTTTTTTTTTTTTTTTTTTTTTTGAGACAGGATCTTACTCTGTCATCCCAGCCAGAGTGCAGTGGTGCAAACATGGCTCAGTGCAGCCTCAACTTGCAGGTTCAAGCAATCCTCCCACCTTAGCCTCCCTAGTAGCTGGAACCACAGGCATGTGCCACCATGCAAGCTAATCTTTGTATTTTTTTTTTTTTTTTTTTGTAGACACGGGATCTTGCCACGTTGCCCAGGCTGGTCCCAAACTCTTGAACTCAAGTGATCTGCCTCCCAAAGTGCTGGGATTACAGGCATAAGCCACCGTGCCCAGCCTCCACTGCTTTCTCCTGGCAACCTGTTCTTGCTCCTTTTCCCCACCCAAGAGGAACTATCTCTGTAGCCCCATGAGGGTGAAAGGGTTCCCTGGAAGCCTGTCCCCCCAGCCAGGCCCCTAAATACCAGCTCTATCTCTGGCCATACCCACAAAGGGCAGCAGGGACACAGGCCATCCCGCAGCCCTTGTGCATACCCCAGGAAGGGGTGTAGGAGGGAAGAAGAAATGTGATTTGGGCAAAGCAGGCCTCGGGTGCACAGCCCGTTCACAGGCTTGGGGCCACACGTGTATCAAGCATGTGTGCCTTAAGATGTAAGGCCTCTCACGTGTGCACCCACGTGTGTACCTGGCAAGAGCTGGCCCCCCACACCATGTGTTGAATAAGGAAGGAAGTGGGAGGCGAGGCAGGGGCCACACAGCAGAGAGGCTCAGTAAGATGGGGTGGGGGATAGAGATAGCCTGAGAAGGCCTGGGAAAGCCTTACAGTGCCACAGAGGTCCCAAGCCCCACCCTGAGAATCTCTGGCCCCAAGAAACCTGAGAAGAACCCCCCGACTGCCAGAAGCAGAATCAGGGACTCTGCCTGCCTCACAGAGAAGGTGGGGGCAACCTCTCCCGTCAGGCAGCAAGGCTGCTGGATGGAATCAGGTCCTGCCTTTCCAGAGGCAGCTCCGGAGATGGAAGCTGGGTAGTAGGAATCGGGGGCAAGAAGCCAAAGGCCAATAGCCAGGCAGCTTCTCTTTAGGCTTCCTGGCTGTCAGCAGGCCCTGGCCCGTTGCCCCTTCTGCCTCAACTCTTCATTAGCACTGGAAATAGCAGACAAGAGCAAGCCTGGAGACTGCGAATAGGAAAGGCAGGGAGGAGAGAAAGAGGAGACAGCTACTTCCCCCAGACCTAATTTTCCCTAGTGGGACCCCACTGCAGCCCCCATATCTGAACGCCACTACTGGCTGGAAACTTGAAGGGAGGTAGGTGCAAGTTGCTAGTGAGGGCTAAGCATCTTGGGCTCAATAAACCACTTTGATATGCAAATTTGGGGACACTGGGACCTCCGATGTGACTAGATATGCCCAGAACTGCCAGGCTGACCAACAGCTGTGGAATTCCTGAGTCACATCATTTTCTCCTCTAACCCCTCAACTCTTCCTGTTTTTTTTTCCTCCTTCTTTCTCCATTTCCTACTCTTTCCTTGTTCCTGTTTCCTTTCTCTGTTTTTTTGAGACAAGGTCTCACTATGTTGCCCAAGCTGGTCTTGAACTCCTGGGCTCAAGTAATCCTCCTGCCTCATCCTCCCAAGTAGCTGGGATTACAGGCTCATGCCACCCTGGCTCAGCCCTTCCTTCATTTTTTTTTTTTTTTTTGAGGCAGGGTCTCGCTCTGTCACCCAGGCTGGACTGCAGTGGCACCATGGCACCATCACAGCTCCCTGCAGCCTCGACCTCCTGGGCTCAAGCAATCCTCCCACCTCAGCCTCCCAAGTAGCTGGGATTACAGGCACATGCCACCATACCCAGTTAATTTTTGTATTTTTTGTAGAGATGGGGTTTTGCCATGTTGCCCAGGCTGGTCTTGAACTCCTTTCTCTTTTTATACCACTTTCTAGTCTCCTGCTTCCCCTTCTAGAATGTCACAGTCAGGAGGGTTTTAAAAAGTATGACAGGCCGGGCACAGTGGCTTATGCCTATAATCCCAGCACTTCGGGAGGCTGAGACAGGCAGATCACCTGAGGTCAGGAGTTCGAGATCAGGCTGGCCAACATGGTAAAACCCCATCTCTACTAAAAATACAAAAATAAGCCAGGTGTGGTGGTGGGTACCTGTAATCCCAGCTACTTGGGAGGCTGAGGCAGGAGAATTGCTTGAACCCAGGAGGTGAAGGTTGCAATGAGTTGAGATCATGCCATTGCAGTCCAGCCTGGGCGACAAGAACTAGACTCTGTCTCAAAAAAAAAAAAAGTACGACAAAAGCAAGATGGCTCTGGAAACTCTGCACCCCATCGCTCTTGAGCAGGCAAACGAAAATTATAACAGAGCCGGGAGTGGTGGCTCACGCCTGTAATCCCAGCACTTTGGGAGGCTGAGGCTGGCAGATCACGAGGTCAGGAGATCGAGACCATCCTGGCCAACATGGTGAAACCCCATCTCTACTAAAAATACAAAAATTAGCCAGGCGTGGTGGCGGGCACCTGTAGTCCCAGCTACTGGGGAGGCTGAGGCAGGAGAATGGCGTGAACCCAGGAGGCGGAGCTTGCAGCAAGCCAAAATCACGCCATGGCACTCCAGCCTGGGTGACAGAGCGAGACTAGGTCTACAAAAAAAAAAAAAAAAAAGAAAGAAAGAAAGAAAATTATAAGAGTTCAAAGTGCACAGATTTAGATTTTTTTTTCTTTTTTTTTTGAGATGGAGTCTCACTCTATCACCCAGGCTGGAGTGCAGTGGCGTGATCTCGGCTCACTGCAACCTCCACCTCCCGCGTTCAAGCAATTCTTCTGTCTCAGCCTCCCCAGTAGCTGGGATTACAGGCACCCATCACCAAGCCTGGCTAATTTTTTTATATTTTTAGTAGAGATGTGATTTCACTATATTGGTCGGCTGGTCTCAAACTCCTGACCTCAGGTGATCCACCCACCTTGGCCTCCCAAAGTGTTGGGATTACAGGCGTGAGCCACTGTGCCCAGCCAAATTTAGATATTTAGGTTTTAATACTTTATGCAGTATATGAAAAGTAATAGCCCCAGGCCTGCCACTATCATGAATTCAGAGCCCAGAAAGTTCTCAGTGGTTAAACAACGTTTTCTGAACCTTCCTGCAATCTGTGCTGACCTGAGGCCCTCTACAGACTCCTCTCTCCAGCAAAGGCTCTAGTCTGAATGGGGACAGGTTCCCTAGCCTTCTGATTAGTTACACAGGAACCACAGTAAAGGGCTTCAGCTGAGAGTTGATCTAATTGAATTGACTCGATGCATAATCCAGCCAACCATATTCCAAATCCAGAAAAACTGGGATCTATTTGCAAGTTTATGAGTTTTCCCTTAATTCTCATCCCAAAGCAGCATTTCAGCCTTTAAAGGGTAGTGCATCAGACTGCTTAAAACACTTTCCAAGTCACTGCATACAAACTCAGTCTTCCTGGGACACAATATCCTCTGTTTCCTCCTTCTCCTATGTTCAGCTCCATGGTGGAAGAAGGGTGAATGATGCATGTGTGTGTGTGTAGGAACACTACGTAGATAGAAGGATGACTGGCTAGAGGCAATGAGGCAATTTCTCCCTCCTCTAACATCCCCTTGCCCCCAGTATAGCCTAAGAAATTCTCAGGTGTGCCATGGAAGAGCTAAGCAAGAAAAGGAAACACACAGAGGTCATCCCTTAAGCAACTATTTTTATTTCTAATTATTGATATTTGGAAGCCATCCAACAAGAGAAAGACAGCATGCAACCACGGTCGCAGCTACACATGCAGGGACGATAACGCAGATGCTGAAGTGAGAGCAGCATAGCCAGGGCTCCTTGTGTGCTTGACTTGAGGCCCTCCTGACCTGTTCTCAAAAGCACCAAGGAGCCCTCTCAGCCTTCTTGGTGAACTCTGAGCAAGCTCCTAGGTCAGCTGGGGAGAGGAGTGCGGGGCACAGTTTGTATCAATCTTTCTCTCCACATCCCCTGACCCTGCCCAGCAGGGTGAGCCCTTGCTCAGTGCTGGCTGGGATCCACCACATGCCAAGGGCTGGGTTGGACCAATCAGCTGAGTCCTGCAACTCAGCACCTGAGGGTGCAGGGCGGCTGCTCACTCTCACAGAAGGACGTAAGGCCTCAGCCTGGGGGAGTCACGCTGTGGAGTACCAGTGCCAGGTGCTGGGCCCACTGCCCAGGAAGGGCCAAGCCTTCAACATCCCCCTTCCCTACACAGGTCCAGGCCTGCTGCTACCACAAAGAGCCCAGGATTCCCATAGGATCCACCTCCTACCACTCTCCATCCCCCAGATGGGATGAGCTATGCATGGGGCAGCACAGACACAGGGAGCAGGACACACAAGGTCAACCAGGGACCCTGGGCCTTTGAATTGTTTTCTTTCAGACCAGGTAAAATCTGAGAATGACTCACAGAAGCATGCCAAAGGGGCTTCTGGCCTCGCTCAAATGTCGCCCTCCAGCCCTATTTATCATTACAACCCTACCTCCGTCACTGCTACCGCTTCTACTGTTTCCAAAGCACACATCAATTTGTAATCACGCTTATAACTTACACTGGGGGTGGGGATCCATCTTCACACACCAGACTGCCAGTTCTGTGAGGATGGTATTTTTGGTCTGTTTTACTTACTGTTAATTTCCCAGGGCCTAGACGATAGGCCCTCAGTAATTATTTGTAAACAAGTGAATATGTCTTCAAGTCACTAGGGGCAAGATCTCAAAGCCCTGGCTGCCAAGGAACCTCCTGGGTAGCAGAGTGTGAATGAGGGCCCTGGGGAGAGGTCCATGGTTCTCCTGTACCTCAGGCATTTAGGACTCCTTGATGCTCAAGGGCAGTGTAGAGGTGGAAAGAGCAGAACACTGAGGTCACAGGCCTGTCTGCTAACACACTGCATGATCCTGGGCACCAAGTCCCAACCTTTTCTTCTCTCAGGCCCACCTGGTCTCTCTACTGTCCCTGGCGAATACCCTACAGCAAGTAAGAAGGTAGCTCTGTGTTCCTTCAGCTCAGGTGTCACGAGAACACAGTTCAGGAGGAGAATTCTGTCACACCCAGTGCAATGCTTCAAAGCTGAGGATCTCAGAATCAATTTTAACATGGGCTGAGGAAATGGAGGGCCTCCTCAGGAGAGCAGGGGTTCCCTCTTCTCCTCCCCACTTAAATCAACCAAGAGGTCTCTTCTTAGCTGCCAGATACACCCCGTCACCTTGCTGGGACACTTCCCATCCCAGCGGGAGAGGAGCAGCTGTGCGCAGGGCACTCACCCAGGCCATTCTGGCATAGGAGCCAGGAGAAACCCATTCTCAGGACTGGGCACAGGGGCACAGGGGCACAGGGGCTGTGCTGGGCTTGAAGGCCCATCAACCTTCCACCAGCTGGCTGAGGAAAAGGCCCAACTCAATTAAGGGTGTTCAACTCAATTAAGTCTCTCAAAGGGGCTGTCTGGCATCCTCTAGTAGGGGGGCTTCCCGTGGGGAAACAACGGCCAAGGGATGTAGGAGCCACTAGGACAGGCTCCATGCTCAGCCTGGAGCTCCTACCCACCTCTGCCTGACACACTGCCCACCCTCCTTTCCTGTGCTGTTCCATTTCCTTTCAGAAAACTTTGTTTTGGTTTGATATTCGCCTCCGGGCCTCAGAGAATTTTCTGAGTTTTGTTTCTCTCCTTGTTTCTAGGATACCTGAGCTGGCTCCCAAAGCAACAGGCACAGGAGGAACAAGAGCGTGGGGGCTGGGGGCAGTGTAAGGATGATCAGATAAGAAAAGCAGGGAGACAAGGAGGGAGGTGAAGAACCTGCTTGTGCTCACACAGAATCTGGTGGCCCCCAACATCACAGCAGCACATCAGGGAGTTCTAGAACACAGCAAAACTCAAACACCCAGAAAAGAAGCCATTTGCACAGACAACTTCAAGTTCTAAGAAATCAAAAGGTCAGGGAACAGATTAGGGGCACTGCCCAGGGATGGCCTAAGCCAAGCATACACGCTTAGGAAACCTACTAGAGGTTCCATCAGGAAAGCCTGTACACCATCTGGAAGGATCATGACTCCCAGGCACATGCACTGGGCTGAGACCTGCTCATAAACATGCATAAGCACATGCCCTTAAAGGCCAGGCCTGGAGTCCAGGGGTGTGTGAGGAAGAAAGCGGGCAGGACTCCACACTCTCCAGGGCAGGGACACAGGTCTCAGCATGCACCAAGCAGCACCCCAAGGCCTTTTTTGCCTGTGCTACATCCAGCCCCAGCCCCACCTCCAACAAGAGGGAACCTGGCTTTCCCAGGCAGAGGCAAGAACAAGTGGAATTCCCCTGAGGCAGGCTGCACAAACTTATCCAGTAGAGAGGTCTTTCCATCAGCTTGCTTCTCTAGGGGAAAATGGAGCCTAGCCCAGCCTTTGCCAGGCAGAGCCCGTGTGGCTCCCACAGCACCCTTACTGCAGCCATTAAACACCAGAGGACCACTTGGGAGAGACACTGACCCCAAACCCAGGGGCAGAAGTCTCCCTTGCACAGACTGAGCTGCCCATAAATGGGGCTCTTCTCATTCAAAGGGCAGGTAGGCAGCTTAGAGGAAAAGCAATTTGTTAAAAATAAGCAGAAAGTGGCCGGGCACAGTGGCTCACACCTGTAATCCCAGCACTTTGGGAGGCCAATGTGGGCAGATCACCTAAGGTCGGGAGTTTGAGACCAGCCTGACCAACATGGAGAAACCCCATCTCTACTAAAAATACAAAATTAGCTGGGCATGATGGCGCATGCCTGTAATCCCAGCTACTCTGGAGGCTGAGGCAGGAGAATTGCTTGAACCCAGGAGGCGGAGGTTGCGGTGAGCTGAGATCGTGCCATTGCACTCCAGCCTGGGCAAGAAGAATGAAACTCTGTCTCAAAAAAAAACAGTGTGGTCTCCCCCTACTCTGTGCCATTTTAACAATCAGAGCTCTACAGTCATACTACTTGGGTTAGAACCCCATTACACACACTAGCTATGTTACCTCAAGCAAACTCCTTAACCCTTTTGGTTTTTTTAAGAGGCAGGGTTTCACTGTGTCACCCAAGCTGGAGTGCAATGGCACGATCATAGTTCACTGCAGCCTTCACCTCCTGGGCTCAAGCAATCCTCCTGCCTCAGCCTCCCCAGTTGCTAGGACTACAGGCACATGCCACCATACCCAGCTAATTTTTTTTATTTTTACTTTTTGGTAGAGACAGGGTTCTCACTATGTTGCCCAGGCTGGTTTCAAATTCTTGGTCTCAAGCAATCCTCCCACCTTGGCTTCCCAAAGCCACTGCACCCTGCCTGCTTAACCTTTTTTTTTTTTTTTTTTTTTTGAGATGGAGTCTTGCTCAGCCGCTCAGGCTGGAGTGCAGTGGCACGATCTCGGCTCACTGCAACCACCGTCTCCCAGGTTCAAGCGATTCTCCCAGCTCAGCCTCCCGAGTAACTGGGACTACCAGCACCCGCCATCACGCCAGGCTAATTTTTGTATTTTGCTAGAGACAAGATTTCACCATGTTGGCCAGGCTGGTCTTGAACTCCTGACCTCAGGTGATCCGCCCACCTTGCCCTCCCAAAGTGCTAGGATTATAGGCGTGAGCCACTGCACTTGGCCTGCTTGACCTCTTTGGATCTCAATTTCCTCCTCTAAAATATGAGGGTGATAATAGTTGCTCAGAGTATTAAATAATTCATATAAAGTGCTTAAAAAGTACCTGGCATAGAATAAGTACAGTCATACGTCACATAATAACATTTTGGTCAACAGCGAAGGGCATGTATGACAGTAGTCCCGTAAGATTATAATGGAGCTAAAATATTCCTGTCACTTAGTGACATCTTGATGATCCTGACCCTATGTAGTTCTATGCGCTAGGCTAATGTGTGTGTTTGTGTCTTTGTTTTTAACAAAAAAGTTTAAAAAGTTAAAAACAACATTTAAAGCTTATAGAAGATAAAAAGAAAATACTTTTGGGTCAGGCACAGTAGCTCATGCCTGTAATGCCAGCACTTTGGGAGGCCAAGGAGGGCTGATCACTTGAGGTCATTAGTTCAAGACCAGCCTGGCCAACATGGCGAAACCCCATCTCTACTAAAAATACAAAAATTAGCCAGGCGTGGTGGCAGGAGCCTGTAATCCCAACTACTCAGGAGGCTGAGGCAGGAGAATCACTTGAACCCAGGAGGCAGAGGTTGCAGTGAGCTAAGATCGTGCCACTGCATTCCAGCCTGGGTGACAGAGGGAGACTCCATCTCGGAAAAAAGATAAAAGAAAGATATTTTTGTATAGCTGTACTGTGTTTGTGTTTTAAGCTAAGTGTTACTACAAGAGTCAAGAAGTTAAAAAAAAAAGTTTATAAAATGTAAGAAAGTTACAGTAAGTTAGGTTAATCTATTATTGAATGTATGTTTTTAAAATAAATTTAGTATGGCCAAGTGTACAGTGTTTGTAAAGTGTACAGTAATGTTTCTGGCACTCACACTCACTCACCACTCACTCACTGACTCACCCAGAACAACTTCCAGTCCTGGAAACTCCATTCATGGTAAGTGCCTTATACAGGTGTGCCTTTTTAAAATATATTTTATATGATATTTTAACCATACTTTTTCTATGTTTAAATATACAAATACCATTGTCTTAGGATTATGTACAGTATTCAGTACAGTAACCTGCTGTGCAGGTTTGTAGCCCAGGCGCAACCGGCTACACCATGTAGCCTAGGTATGTAGTAGGCTATACCATCTAGGGTTTGTGTAAGTATACTCTGTAATGTTCACTCAACAACGAAACTGCCAAATGACACATTTCTCAGAACATATCCCCATCATTAAGTGACACATGACTGTACTTGATTGATAAAGGTAGCTTTTTTTGGTGGTGGCTTGTTTTTTTTTAAGACAGAGTCTCTCTTTGTCGCCCAGGCTGGAGTGCAGTGGCGAAATCTGCACTCACTGCAACCTCCACCTCCTGGGTTCAAGTGATTCTCATGCTTCAGCCTCCCAAGCAGCTGGGACTACCAGCACCCGCCATCACACCCAGCAAATTTTTTTATGTTTTTAGTAGAGACAGGGTTTCAACATGTTGGCCAGGCTGGTCTCCAACTCCTGACCTCAAGTGATCCGCCCACCTTGGCCTCCCAAGGTACTGGGATTATAGGCGTGAGCCACCGGGCCCAGCCTGATAAAGGAAGCTTTTTTGATGAGGTGATAAAACTAAGCAAATCATGTATCTAGTATAAAAACTATAAAAGTTGCTATGAAAATTACATTGGGGAATGAACTAGGCATTAACAAGTTAATGGTAGAGTAAGAAAGGTACAGCAGTAGCGCTACTCATTTTCACATTCCTGTGCCTATCAGCATGGAACAGAGTGAGCCAGAAGCAGGAGGGGTTCCAAGCTTTCTCCAGAAGCCTGAAGAAACTATGGTTGGAGGTTTCCCACTTGTAGGAGCAGAGGAGTGAAAAGGCAGCAAGAGAAAGAATAGTAGCCCCACTCCCCTACTTCTCTTCTATGGCACTGATCTCTCTCAAAGTGACTAGAACAGGCGAATATTCATAATAGCTAAGAAGTAGAAACAACCCAAATGTCCATCAACTGAAGAATAGATAAAATGTGCTACATCCATCCAGTGGAATATTATTCAGCCACAAAAAGGAATAAGGTAGCGATACATGCTGTGACATAGATTAACCCTGAAAACATTATGCTGGCCAGGCGTGGTGGCTCACGCCTGTAATCCCAGCACTTTGGGAAGCTGAAGCGGGAGGACTGCTTGAGCCCAGGAGTTCGAAACTAGCCTAGGCAATAGAGTTAGACCCTGTCTCTACAAAAAAATGGAAAAATTAGCTGGGCATGGTGGCACACACCCATAGCTCCAGCTATTCAGGAGGCTAAGGCAGGAGGCTGAGGCTGCAGTCAGCCATGATCATACCACTGCACTCCAGGCTGGGCAACAAAAAGAAGCCAGTTACAAAAGGCCAAATACAGTGTTACCTGATTCCGTTTATATGAAATATCCAGAATAGGCAAATTAATGGAGACAGTGGTTGCCTAGGGATGAAGGTCTGGTAAGGTGGGGGTGGGAATGAAAAGTGACTGATAGGAATGGGGCCAGGCACAGTGGCTCACGCCTGTAATCCCAGCACTTTGGGTGGCTGAGGCAGGTGGATGGCTTGAGCTCAGGAGTTCAACACCAGCCTGGGCAATGTGGTGAAACCCCATCTCTACAAAAAATTAGCCAGGCATGGGGCAGTGCGCCTGTAGTCCCAGCTACTCGGGAGACTGAGGTGGGAGGATTGCTTGAGTGTCGGAGGCGGAGGTGCAGTGAGCCAACATCGAGCCACTGCACTCCAGCCTAGGCAACAGAGCCAGAACCTGTCTCAAAAAAAAAAGGGAACAAGGTCATGAAAATGTCCTAAATTTGATTGTGGTGATGGGTGCACAACTCTGTGAATATACTAAAAAACTACTGAATTGGGTATTTTAAATAGTGAGTTATATGGTATGTGAATTACATCTCAATAAAGCTGTTTTTTAAATGACTGGAAGGTAGTTACTGAAGATGGTGCTGGGAACTGTGTGTAACATAAAGTGTAAATCTGTGTGTGGGAGGTGGGGTAGATAACTGAAAAGCAGCACAGGATGGCAACAATGACAGCACCCGACAAAGAACCTTTACCTGGTCCTGCGTCTCTTTACAAAAATGACAACAAAACATTAACCTGTATCTATCTTCCAGAAGATACCAGAAAATCCCTGCCCATCCCAACTGCTCTAGCGTGGCTATAAATTCCCATGCATCAAGATCTCTTCCAAGGCGCTTACTTACCCTGCTGGGTAAGCAACTAAACCTGATCGGGGGTCACAGGCAAGTCCTCTGCCTCCAGACACTGTAATTCCCAGCACCTTCTCCAAGGTCACCTGTTAGAGGAAGAGAGAAGTGACATGTTACAGACAGAGTGTGTTTGGGAAGAAGGTGCTGAAGGTACTTGGGACCATCCTGAGGCACTGGCTACTTTCCAGACACCCATGTTTTCAGGAGAATGGAGCTATGACTTCTGCAGCTTCTTCTGTTCTGCCCACCGGGCTTCTTGATCACACGGGAAAAACCCAGCGTGCATCACCTATTTTCGGCAGGGCTCAGTCTGCTGGTACCACAGGAAAGAACACCAACTCGTTAAAGCATAACTCATGGCCACAGAGGAACAAGCATTCCCCAAAACCAGGAAGGTACCATGTATAAGCTAGAGCCTGGGATCCCCAGACTAGACTCTTGGGTCTGTGAGACTTGGGTGAGGCCACTGATCTTTGTGCTTTGGCAGGCATGAAGGAAAGGCCACTCTGACCTACCAAGAGCCAAAAGAATGTTAGGTATCAATTAGGTGACTCAGAATATCCCTGACCTTTGCATTCTATCATGTTCTTCCCCTCTGTCAGAGGGCTCCACCTCCCAAATGTCTGCCAGTTCATACAGACTACACTCCAAGGAGGCAGAAACAGGGCTTAATGCTGTGTTCTACAAAGCACCGATGCTCAGGGTACTCTAATTATTATTACTAAGCCGCAACTCCCACAGAGATGAAAGATAAAATGCTCAGAGATTCAGAGAGGACACGGCCACGGGAGACACTCATCACTCTCATCATTAGTATTGTTACCCCACACTGTCTGCAGGCCTCAGGACCCACACGAACTAACCTCAAATTAATTCATTGGTCTTTCTGCTAGATGATGCCAAGTGAGATTGAGACTTCCCTCTAACCTCTTGCTGTCACTCCATGTCATCCTCTGCTCTGGGTCTTTCACTTGCTGCTCCAGGTCTTTACCTGCTCCAGGACTGTGCACTCCCTGCACTGGCTCTGCTCAAGAATGTCCCTGATCTCCCCTGGCTCAGAGAGTGGGGCTTCAGAATGCAGGACGGACATGTGAACAGGCTAGACAGCACTCTGCTATGAAAACACCGAACCTGAGGAGAGTCTCAGAGGCCCTAAGAGGGCAATGTAAACCAGAAACACTTAGGGTGGATGCTTGTGGCAGGGCGGTCTATTCTTAGTCCAGGCCAGTTTCTAGAGAGGGGAGGCTCAGAATCAATTAGGACAGTTTTGGAGTTTCTCCTTCTCTCTTATTGCTCCAACCGCAGAATTAAAAGTACTCCTAGAGGGGCCAGGTACAATTGCTCACGCCTGTAATCCCAGCACTTTGGGAGGCCAAGGTGGGCAGATCACTTGAGGTCAGAAGTTTGAGACCAGCCTGGCCAACATAGTGAAACCTCATCTCTACTAAAAATACAAAAATTAGCCAGGCATGGTGGTTGGTGCCTGTAATCCCAGCTAATCAGGAGGCTGAGGCATGAGATTCATTTGAACCTGGGAGGTGGAGGTTGCAGTGAGCCGAGATCACGCCATTGCACTCCAGCCTGGGTGACACAGCGAGACGCCATCTCAAAAAGTACTCCTAGAGAACCTGTTTAGATTTTTTTTTTTTTTTTTTTTTTGAGACAGAGTCTCACTCTGTCACCCAGGCTGGAGTGCAGTGGCACCATCTCGGCTCACTGCAAGCTCCACCTCCCGGGTTCACGCCATTCTCCTGCCTCAGCCTCCTGAGTAGCTGGGACTACAGGCACCCGCCACCACACCCTGCTAGTTTTTTGTATTTTCAGTAGAGACAGGGTTTCACCATGTTAGCCAGGATGGTCTCGATCTCCTGACCTCGTGATCCGCCCGCCTCGGCCTCCCAAAGTACTGGGATTACAGGCATGAGCCACCGCACCCGGCTGAACCTGTTTAAATTCTTATCTCTGAAGATCGTTTTAGCTTGAATTAGGTTGGAAGGAAATGCCCTGTGGTGGCCGAAGACCAAAATAAGTCTCCTGAGATGTTACATTTAATACCTATTCCCCAGAAAGGTCCCCAAGGTTATCTGTGTATCTTGGGGATGCAGATGAGGAATTCTAACATGTGTCTGCTCACTGGTAGATGTGGTTTCAATACAGAGCAGCAACCCACAGCCACCTGGCAAGCACCAAACTTGCCAATTACCCTTGCGCCGATCTGAGGCACTAAACCTAGTGTGGAACAAAGTAACTTTGGCCTTCTCTATACATTCTTGATAGGTTCCCCTAACTTATGCCTCCTCTACTTTTTCTCAGCTTAATGAACCACTGGGATCTAGTCACCTATTACTGACTGGAGAGCAACAAAATCATCCTGGGGAAGTCTGGGGGATACTCAGTTTAAGTCACCAGTCATCCTGGCACTGAACCTTCAACTCTCCCAGAGGAGGGGATATTTAGGGACATTCCTGCCACACCCACCGCCTTCTGCAGACAGGAAAGAGAACGGCCCCAGGCTGGCATTACCCACACAGCTGGGAGAGGCCACAAAATCAAGTGTAGTAAGCTAAAGGGCTGCTCAACTCTTATTTTCTCCTGGTAATCTGATTAAAGGTAAATCCTTTGGATTTAAATTTGCATTGATCCCTTCCGTCCCTCATGCTTCAGTGTTGGTGCCGAAGAATTACACCAAGTCAGTTGGTTCTCAGCTGATCTTCTTTCTAACAGGAATTTGGGTAGGTGTTTTGTGGGTAGATGATCCAATTCCAAAGAGAATTAATTCTCTAAAGCAAGAAGGAGACGTGGGCTACTAACACTCTAAAGACCAGTGTTTATCAAAGTTTTTTGGCCATGACCCACAGTAAGAAACACATTTTATATCATGAGCCAGTATATAGAGACGTGTGTGCATATGCATAAAACTGAAAGTTTCACAAAACAATATACTATTGTTAATCCTAGAGTACAATATACTCTATTTTCTATTATATTCCATTTCATTAAAAAGAATTCTGGTCATGGCCCACTTTACTGATTTCATGACCTACAAATGGGCTGGAAGCTCTAGTTTGGGAAACCCTGCTACGGACCATCTCTTTCTGCCAGGCCTGGGAGACAGGCTCTGATCACCGGCACCTTTGTGTTCCTTAGTCATTTTCCTCCTAGGACTCTCAGCAGTGGAACATACTTCCGCACTAGGAAAACCCCACAGGCAGGAGTTTGCCTGGGCTCAAAACTTGGCTTATTTTCAAAGGATTTATGTTTTTGGCTTTTTCTGGCTTTCTAAGCAGCTATCCAAGGGGGGGGAAAAGCAGTTTCCTTTGGCTCTGTGGAAGGGGAGGAGCAGGGGAAAACATTCAGGGGCATCAGCTGGTTTTTATTTTATGTTCTTAACTCAAACCAGCTTCCTGTTTGCAGGGAGGTTTTGCGTTGAGCTCCACTTTCAAAGGATCTAAGAGTCCAGAGTTCCTGCAAGGCCTCCAACATCTATGCTTATTTTGCAAGGCTTCAACATGATGGACTTCATAAACTGACTCTCCCTCTGATAACCTTCTTCCTCGCCTCCTTTCCAAGAAGGTGGTAGAGCTTCCACCTGCCCTAGAAGATGGAGACAAATTTGAACATCCCCTGCAAACACACCCCAGGTTCAATGCATTCAAGTTCAATCGGTGGTGTGCTGGAGCTGGCTTGCACCAACTCAAGAATGCTGACTGGGCACAACTTTTCCCACATTCGGTGCTAGCAAACGAGTGGCCCTGAAATCACCACCGCAGGACGACTTACACCATGGAAATCAGCAAAGGCTCACAAATCTTCCAAATCACAGTTTGTTCCCCTCTCAGAGAGCCTGTAACTATTTACCACCATGCCACTTAGTTTCAAGTCACTATTATCTCTCACTTGGACTGTAACACCCACATGCTCTCCCTGCTTCAGGCCTTACCCCCTATAGTCTTTTCTCCACATGGTAGGTCACAGGGATTCTTTTAAAATATAAATGAGAGGCCGGGTGTGGTGGCTCACGCCTGTAATCCCAGCACTTTGGGAGGCCGAGACGGGCGGATCACGAGGTCAGGAGATCGAGACCATGCTGGCTAACAGGGTGAAACCCCGTCTCTAATAAAAATACAAAAAAAAATTAGCCGGGCGTGACGCCGTGCACCTGTAGTCCCAGCTGCTGGGGAGGCTGAGGCAGGACAATGGTGTGAACCCGGGAGGCAGAGCTTACAGTGAACCGAGATTGCACCACTGCACTCCAGCCTGGGCGACAGAGCGAGACTCTGTCTCAAAAATAAATAAATAAGTAAATAAATAAAAATAAAATATAATATAAATGAAATCATGTCATCATTTTGCCCAAAACCCTCCAAATGGCTTCCCATCTCCCTCAAGTTCAAATCCAAATACTCTACCCCGGCTTACAAGGCCCCAAATCATCAGGCCTCTGGCTACCTACCTCTCTGACCTCATTTCCTACACCCTCCCCTTCACTCACTCACTCCACCCCAGCCACCTTACCAACTTTAAGCACCTTAAGCCAATTGTAGCCTCAGGTCCTTTACATATGCCATTCCTTGGACTAAAAAGTTCTTCTCTCAGCTATGCACAAAGCTAATTTCCTGAAGTCTTTGCTCAAAGGTCTCTTCCTCAGAGAGGGCCTTCCAGACTAGCTTTACTGCCATAATCTTATACCCAATTTACCCAGCCTTAGTTTTTCTTTTTTCTTTTTCTTTTTTTTTTTTTTTTTTGAGACAGGGTTTCACTTGTCACCCAGGCTGGAGTGCAGTGGTATGATCTCGGCTCACTGCAACCTCTGCCTCCCAGGTTAAAGCAATTATCCTGCCTCAGCCTCCCAGGCAGCTGAGATTACAGGTGCCCACCATCATGCCCGGCTAATTTTTGTATTTTTGGTAGAGACAGGGTTTCACCATATTGACCAGGCTGGTCTTGAACCCCTGACCTCAAGTGATCTGCCCGCCTCGGCCTCCCAAAGTGCTGGGATCACAGGCATGAGCCATCACGCCCGGCCACCCAGCCTTACTTTTCTTCATAGCTCAGAGGCAGGTAACAACCCAACATTGATTACATCTCTGTCCATGTACTTACTACTGCCTGTCTGTCCCATCAGAATGTGAGCTCTTTGAGGACAGGACCTAGGTTGCTGTCCCCCATGGATGTATTCCCAGCACTTTAAACAGTCTCTGGCATACAATGGGCACTTGATACATATTTAAGGAATAAATGAATGCCTTACAGAGGCTTCAGAAACAGTGAAAGCCCAGGAAAACTGGGGTATTTCAGACCAATAAAGTTGTTCTCCACAAAGTATCTAAAACTGGTTGTGACAGAAAGGCTATGACCGACCGAGGACAAGCAGAAAGGGCACTTAATGGTACAGGTAACATTTTGTTTCTTAAGCTGATGGTAGGCACACATTGCCTATTATTCCACGTCTTTATTGTATGTCTTAAATATTGCATAGCAAATATTAAAAAGAGAGAAAAAATATAGTGGAAGATGTGGTGTGGGGCTCAGGACCTTATGAGCAACATCCTTCTATAACTCACATCCCCACTTCTCTCTCTAGCCTCAAGGCATTTGGTTGACACTCACTGATCTGGCAATGTGGAGGGAAAGAGTATGAAGAACTCAAACATCTGGTTTGTTGTTGTTGCTGTTTTGAGACAAGTCTTGCTCTGTCACCCAGGCTGGAGTGCAGTGGGGTGATCTCAGCTCACTGCAATCTCTGCCTCCAGGGTTCAAGCGATTCTGCTGCCTCAGCCTCCCGAGTAGCTAGGATTACAGGCACCCACCATCGTGTCTGGCTAATTTTTGTATTTTTAGTGGGGAGATGAGGTTTCACCATGTTGCCCAGGCTGGTCTTAAACTCCTGACCTCAAGCAATCCACCCACCTTGGCCTCCCAAAGTGCTGATTACAGGAGTGAGCCACCGCGCCCGGCCAAATATCTGTGTTTGTATTTAAGTTTCTCATGTCTGTCCTTATGCAGCTACATATTTGTATAATTCTTTGACATGTCACAGAACCACCATCGTGAGTACCCCTCTTTCTGACTGCTAAGCACGGCAGCAGGCGATGAGATGGGCCCCTTGACCTGGGTCCCCATGCTGACCTTCACTGAATATGTAGCATGAGCAAGAAATAAACTGTTGCTTAAGCCAGGGGGATTTTTGAGGTGGTTTGTTATCAAGCAGGACCTAGCCCAGAGATTCTCAGACCTTTTGGTCTTGGGAACTCTTCACAGTCTTAGAGCTTATCAAGGACAACAGAGAGCTTCTGTTTATGCGGGTTATGTCTATCAATATTTACTATATTTGAAATCACAATCTGAAACATTAAAAATATTTACTAAATCATTTAGAAATAACAATAAACCCATTACATATTAACATTCTTTTTTTATTTTTATTTATTTTTTTGAGACGGAGTCTCACTGTGTTACCCAGACTGGAGTGCAGTGGCACAATCTTGCCTCACTGCAAGCTCACACTATTCTCCTGCCTCAGCCTCCCGAGTAGCTGGTACTACAGGCACATGCCACCACGTCCGGCTAATTTTTTGTATTTTTAGTAGAGACGGGGTTTCACCGTGTTAGCCAGTATGGTCTCGATCTCCTGACCTCATGATCCACCCATCTCGGCCTCCCAAAGTGCTGGGATTACAGGCGTGAGCGACTGCACCCAGCCCACATATTAGCGTTCTTATTAAATATAACTTTATTTTCCAAAACAAAAATAATTAGTGAGAAGAATGGCACTGTTTTACATTTTTGCAAACCTTTTTCATATCTGGCTTAACAGAAGGGAGCTGGGTTCTCATATCTGCATCTGCATTCAATCTGTCCTGACATTATCTAGTGGAAGTATGCGAAGAAAACCTAGCCTCATTTGGATATGTAGTTGGAAACAGGACATCATGGACCCCCTAAAGGGGTTTTGGGGACTCCAGGCTTCTCAGACCACACTCTGAGAACCAATGACCCACCCCTCTAAATACTACAGCATCTTTCCACATGAGGAAGCAAGCCCACAAGTGAGAGTTCTGGCCTCAAGGATCGCTTGAAGAAAGTGAGTTAGGAAAGAGGCCCTGCGAGAAAATTACTGTCCATAAAGTCTGGGATTCAGCCCAAAGTTCTGACAGGAACTTCAGCTCCAAACCTTCAAGGCCCAAATGCCGATGAAATACAGCCCAGGAGACACACCAGTCCAGGCAACTGTGTCTGGGCAGTGACTTGGGACACAACTGCTGCAGGCAGCTGGCACCCTGACCCATCCATCTACAGCTCTAGGAACACTGCTTCATGCACAAGTGGAAACTCAGAAGGAAGAAGAGAGGACCCACTTGGTTCTCTACAGTGAGCTCCTCCACACCCAGAATGCAGCCTTGAAGCATGGAGAATACCCAAACTGTGACCCAGCTTTTGCTTTGGCAGGTGGACAGTGTTGAGATGGAAGAAAGCGTATACCAACCTGACAGAGGTGTCATCTTTCCCCTGAAGCAAGGCTACTGGAGGCAGAATTACTACAAGTATAATGTGAGGGAGGGCTTGAATACCCACCACTCCCAGTAGGAACTAGGCAGAGCACTATCATATCCTCCAGAGAGAAAGAGGGCCAGCAAAATCATCTCTCACTTTAATAAGATAAAGGGGTAACTTCATACTAGCCTATTCCCAGGAGAGAAAGAAAGAATAAAGCCACGTGTTTAAGTGCTCTTCTGGCTCTCATTAAAGTAGATGGAAAAAACAGGTGGCGTAGAGGCAAGAGACAGGACTGCTCATTCATACTAGATAGAACAGTAGTTTCCAGCCTGCAGATTGCAGTCTTTTTTTTTTTTGAGATGGAGTTTTACTCTTGTTACCCAGGCTAGACTGCAATGGCACGATCTCGGCTGACAGCAACCTCCACCTCCCGGGTTCAAGTGATTCTACTGCCTCAGCCTCCCAAGTAGCTGGGATTACAGGCATGCGCCACCACACCTGGCTAATTTTATATTTTTAGTAGAGACGGGGTTTCTCCATGTTGGTCAGGCTGGTCTCAAACTCCCAACCTCAGACAACACCTATTTTTAGAGCATGGAGAAGATGAGGTACAGGCAGTGAGAAAGAGAGGAGGAGAACCAGGAAGCCAGTGAAGTGGAGAGCTCCCAGAAGGGAGGGGTGATTAATAGTGAGTGCTGAAAGAAATGAAGGAGGCAAGGACAGAACTCTCCAGAGTCCAGAGCCATCCTCAACAGAGGTGGCACAGCATAAGATCCCAAGCGGTCCCAGAGCCCTAAACATACAATCCTAGACACTGGGCAGGGCCTTCGAAGCTTTTCTGCTCTCTCAAGTCCCTGGATCTGATCAGTTCACGAGCTAGAGGACAGGCACTAGCCAATGGAAGCGAGTCCAGGTGGAGCCAAGACAGTGGCACTGTTAGGAAGGGCTTCCTGCTTGGACCCACAACAGAAGTTGGCAGGAAATGCTTTCCCTTTTAGTGTGAGGGACCACTACAGGAAGTCTGCAATGGCACGGGAGTGGCTGCTCCCTTGAGATAGAGAACTAAGAGGCCAGAGTCACAAAAGGCCAGGGTCCCCTAGGATTTGGCTGACCTCATACTGGTAAAGAAACCCCAGCAACTGTGAGGAAAAAGATCTGTTTTTGTTGCTATGTTTTGTTGCCACCAGCTACTTTCTTCCCCCTTTTCCCTTCCCCCACTTCTCAATCCCACTCAATTCAAGTTATAAATACCTGAGTTGTAAGTCATTCCAGCCAAACCATGGACTTGCTGTTTCTATAAACAAGCATGTCAGAGACCTGTCCAAGGCAGAGCACTCTTCGCCTTCCCCTCCCTTCCTGCAGGTTAAGAACTATATTTGTCTCTTGCCCACACACTACACTCTAATCTCACAAAGCAGATTCTCTACCAGATTCTGAGAACTGCCACTTAACGCAAAAGCCACAGAAGAAGCCAAGGCCAGGAGGCTTTGTGCAGAGACTTAGACAGTAGGGCAGGGACCCAGTGACCAGACCTGGGAATGGGGAGGAAGGGCAGGTATCATGCCCAGGCTAACTCATTCCTGTTGCTTCAAAGTTCAAAGTGCCATCTGGTCAGAGGTAGGCAGGGGCACAATGGCCAGCTGAAGAAGAGAGCAGACCTTGGGTCTAGTCTCTGCTCCTGGTCTCTACCCAGTTTGGCTGATGTAGAGTTCCATCTATACCACAAAGACTCCCAGAAACAAATAACTTCCAATGTGACAAACAAACAAAAAAAGGGTATCCTGCTTAACGGTTTAGAATTAGTTGGAGCTGAGTCAATTCTCCAGACTAAGATTAAAACAGCCTTAGTTTCTAAGGAAGGTGCATTTGCCACTGCTTGGAAAGGGTAACCTGACAAAGCCGCTAGCCACAGCCCCTGGGGACAAGAAGACTGGAACAAAAGTTCCCAAACCTGGCCAGTCAACAAAGTACCCAAAGAACTTAAGGTTTTTTTCATGTAACAACAGTCCCTACTCTATCCCCACCCTATCCACTTCCCCTGACTGCAAGATTCTGAATGAAAAGATAAGGAGTAGGGTTTGAGAATCTGCATATTAAAGCTCTCCAGGTGGTTCTAATGATTACCAGATTGGGAACTACTAAACTAAGGCATTTGCCCTTCTATTTCCCAATTTTAGCCTCTCTTGGGTTAGTCCCAGTGTTCCAAGTATTTTACAAGAACGCACCGGGGGTACAAAAGGTCTGGGGCAGAGAGAGGATCTACAGCTGCCATTTACTGAATGTATACTTTGTAGCAATAACTGTTCTAACCACTTCACACAGATCATCTCATTTAATACTCTTGACAACTTCATGAAGGACTAGTATTATCTCCATTTTACACATGAAAGAGTAAGTAGTGAGTGGAAGAACCAGGATTTAGACCTGGGGCTGTCTGGTTCCAGAAACCATGGTGCTTTGAGGAGAGAGTTCAAATTCTCTAGCACCAACAGAATGCTACAGTTTCTGAAACAGCACACAGGGAAGTCACTATGCCTTTGTGCAGGCATCAGGGACAGGTCTGAGAGCCAAGATAGAAGGCAGAGGGCCACAAGTCAGACAATAGAGACCTTTCATGCTATATTTAACATTAACAAAAAAATTTAGCAGAACTTATCAGTAGCTAAAGTGGGTCTAAAAAATGGGTTCTGACCTCTCCTCACTGAGATGGTTCCAAGAAAGAGGGAGGGTCTTCCTAATGCCAGAGTATCCCATGTGGTCAGAGCTTGCCCATGTCCAGCCTATGCTATAGCCAAATATAGACAGCAGACACCCATTTCCAAGCCAACTGGCACTGCAGGGTCAGAAGCAGGAGAAGCTGATTTCGTATGCAGATGGAGGAAGAGGTAAGGAAGGCGTCAGACTAGAGGGAGAGGGAATGAAGGACCCAGTTATATTAATAGTACAGTCATCAGCACGTGCCCAAGTCCAGAGAGCAGATTTAACAGCTTTTACAGTGCCTGGTACAGCCCTTCTGCCCTCTCTTTCTCTTCCACAGTTATCAGAAAGGCAAGAAAAGGAGTTATCTCAATGTAAGCATGCAGAATTCGGGTGGGGGTGGAGTTGTAGTTTTTTTTTTTCCTCTAAAGTCAGTCCTCTCTACAGTACTACAGCAAAACCAGAACCACAAACAAAGCTTTATGAGCTAAAAATCTGGTCATCAAAAGGATCTAATTCCTCTACACACCTGATTTTCTTAAACTCTTGCTTTTCTATTTTGTAACCAGTGAGAATATTAACTGTTCCTTATCTGGACTAAGTGTGCAAAGTGAATGTGTCTCCTGGAACAAAAAGGGGAGTGTGGAGGGCTCTCAGTGCCCCTACAATCACACAACTTATGCCATGAAACTCTCCAGGGAAGAAGGAAGGTTTCCTCAACCTATTCTCTACAAAATGCTCACTTCATGCCAACACCCCAGTTTAGGCCTTCAACACATTCCTGGATATAGCAATGGATTTCTAATCAATTTCCTTACTATAGACTCTTTCCTCCCCTCCTCCAACCCATCAGCGTGTAATTTTTCCACAGCATAGCTTTGATCCATGTTTCTCCCCTGCCCAAAAACTTTTTCAGTCACTCCTTCCTGTCAACTAAATAAAATATAAATGTTTTAGCCTAGCATTAATGAACTCTGCCCTTCTCATAATTCTATTTCCTACTACTCACCTATTTGAATCATGTGCATCTGTCAATCTGGACTATTCATTTTTCTGGAAAGAAGCCTTGGGGCTTTATAGCTCATATGCTTCTTCTAACCTTCCCTTCCACTACCCTATACTGAAATCCTACCTTTCCTTCGAGGACCAGCTCAAATGTCACATCCCCTCTGATTCTTTCTGTGATCGCCTGGCCAGAAATGATTCCTTCCTCCTCCGTACTCTTACAGCAGCACCTAATTTGCATCATTCACATGGCATGCACTGCTTAGAACCTTGTAAAGAACTTCTATTCTTTATGGATTTGTCTTATCTCTCCTACCAGTCTACACACTCCTGGAGGGCAGAAGTTGTATCTCATATAACTGTATGCTTATAGCACAGGGCACAGTGTTTAATATATATTTGTTGAATCAATTTTTTAAATACTCAAAAACATTTTTAAAAAACTTAAAATCATGGCCGGGTGCGGTGGCTGACCCCTGTAATCCCAGCACTCTGGGAGGCCGAGGCGGGTGCATCACGAGGTCAAAAGTTCAAGACAAGCCTGGCCAACATGGTGAAACCCCATCTCTAATAAGAATACAAAAATTAGCCGGGCATGGTGGTACGTGCCTGTAATCGCAGCTACTTGGGAGGCTGAGGCAAAAGAATTGCTTGAACCTGGGAGGCGGAGGTTGCAGTGAGCTGAGATAGTGCCACTGCACTCCAGCCTGGGCAACAGAGCAAGACTCTGTCTTGGGAAATAATTAATTAATTAATTAAAATAAAAAACTTAAAATTTTTATGAATACTCTTTGGTTAATCTTATTAAGTTTTTTTTACCTCCTAGGGAA
Organism: Homo sapiens; assembly: GCF_000001405.40. Classification (NCBI taxonomy): domain Eukaryota; kingdom Metazoa; phylum Chordata; class Mammalia; order Primates; family Hominidae; genus Homo; species Homo sapiens. Next base: position 41,787,879 of record NC_000015.10, on the reverse strand, counting down.
TTCTTCAACTATTTATCAATGCCACCCCTAGAAGTTGTGGCAGGAAGTAAGATTCTGATGCCTTTCCAGAAAGACAGAGGAAGGCCTGAATAACATAATCCATGTGCCATACATGATTACAAACAGAACACTCTTATCCCTGACTTTAGTAAAGACATGCATGGCATGGCTCTTCACAAATCTGACCTAAGTTATAATTAAAGAATGTGTTCGCGGCCGGGCGTGGTGGTTCATGCCTGTAATCCCAGCACTTTGGGAGGCTGAGGTGGGTGGATCACAAGGTCAGGAGTTCAAGACCATTCTGGCCAACATGGTGAAACCCCATCTCTACTAAAAATACAAAAATTAGCTGGGCATGGTGGCGGGTGCCTGTAGTCCCAGTTACTCGGGAGGCGGAGGCAGGAGAATTGCTTGAACTTGGGAGGCAGAGGCTGCAATGAGCCGCGATCACACCACTGCACTCTAGCCTGGGCGACAGAGCGAGACTCTGTCCCTGCCCCCCACCCAAAAATAAATAAAATAAAATAAAAGCGACTATGTTGATCAAAAAGAGCTTTAAATGCCCTTGATAATCAGAACAGTGTTATCTCTAGGTGCTGGAATTATGGATAATTTTTCTTCTTCTTTATGCTTTTCTGTATTAGTTGTAACAAATCTTTTCAGAAAGCACATGTACTTCAAAAAGTATCAAAAAATATTTATCAAAGCTAACCAAGGAGATATTTTTGAAGATATTAGAAACTGGCCAGGCACAGTGGCTCACACCTGTAATCCCAACAGGAAAAAAATCTACTTTGAGAGGCCTAGGCAGATGGATCACCTGAGGTCAGGATTACGCCTGTAATCCCAGCTACTCGGGAGGCTGAGGCAGGATAATCGCTTGAACCTGGGAGGCAGAGGTTGTACTGAGCGGAGATACTGCCACTGCACTCCAGCCTGGGCGACAGAGCAAGACTCAATGTCAAAGAAAAAAGGAAATGAATTGTCTCAAATTCAACAAGCTAATCATTAATCTTCAAGAAAATATTTTTATGTCCTATTACTTCTTTAAAAAACAAAAAAAGCTTATTATACCTATATATATATATATATATATATATATTTTTTTTTTTTTTTAGACGGAGTCTGGCTCTGTCGCCCATGCTGGAGTGCAGTGGCGCAATCTTGGCTCACTGCAAGCTCTGCCTTCCGGGTTCATGTCATTCTCTTGCCTCAGCCTCCTGAGTAGCTGGGACTACGGGCACCCGCCACCACGCCCAGCTAATTTTTTTGTATTTTTAGTAGAGACGGGGTTTCACCGTGTTAGCCACAATGGTCTCTATCTCCTGACCTTGTGATCCGCCCGCCTTGGCCTCCCAAAGTGCTGGGATTACAGGTGTGAGCCACCACGCCCGGCTATACCAGATATATTTTTCAATAGCATTTGTGCATAACTGCTTTAATAAAATGAGCATACGGATTTTAAATTTTAAACATCTTAGATTTACATATGAAATACACATGTTTAAATTGGAGAGACTTCCATCTTTATTTTTTTTCTACTTACAAAAATAATGCAGGCTCTTTGTGAAAAATTTAAACATTACAGAAATATATAATGGAGACAGTGAAAGTCCATCATAATCTACTATCCCTCCCTGAGATAACCAATATTAACAAGTTTGGTATTTATAGCCTCATTTTTTAGTATGCATATACTAACATATATATATGTTTTAACAAAAATATAAATAATCATTAACATAAAAAAGTATTATACAATTTGCTTTTTTCCCCCATTCAAGATATCTTGTATACTCTTCCACATCAGTACATATAGATTAACCTCATTCTTTCTGGCAGGTACAAGGAATTTCATCTTATTGATGTACACCAATCCCCTACTCATAGGTACCTGGATAACTTCAAAATTTCACTCTTATGAATAACACCAAAAAATTCAATTAGATACACCTTCGTGCAGTATGAGTGTCTGCACAGAATAAGATGCCAGAATTATAACTGCTGAATCAAAAGGTATGAATATGCAAAATTTTCTAATAGATATTACCAAATTGTCCTCTAAGAAAGTTGGATTAATGTATGTTTTCACCAGTAGTGTAAGGGTATGATTGCACCTATATCTTCACATCTTCATGTATCTTTATTTTTTTAAGCAAAAAAAAATTTTTTAATAGATTATTTTACTCTGGTCACAACATTAGAAACTTAAATAACGGGTTATTTAATTAACACACGTCACATTTTCACTTGGCCTGTAAATTCTTAGACAAAAGGCTAATTCATTTCTCAAATTATTTGTCAATATAAATTAGACCCAAAAGAAAAAAAATTATTTCTACATCTAGAGAAGCTTTTGCTGTTAAAAAGCATGCTCATCACCCCGGTGGTTTCTAAACAGATAAAGAAAAAATTAGGACTCCCCTCTACTCCTGGAGTTCACTGGTTTGACATTTTAAAAAAATTCCCCCCAAAATCATAGTCATAGTCCTGAAATACATTACACACAAGTTAGTATCAAAAAGAATTTCTGCTAAGCCTTCCTTTTGGTCAGTATTATCGATACAAGTTAGAATATTGGCAAGAAAAAGGTACTGAAGATAGTTCACAATAAAAAGCCATGCAGAAAGGCTGATTAAAAATGTTGGAACAGAAGAGGCGAGCCTACAAAAAAGGACCTCTCACAAATGGAAACTTGAAGGAATAAAATCTTGCTAACAAATTAGAAGAAAATTCCTTGGTATTCTAGATATCTCAGACACTGATAGTATTAGCAACCCCTTATAGCTGTGAAGTTATTTAAAACTTACAATGTGTTTTCAAATTCATTAAATCTCATTTAAATCTCACAATGGCCCTGGGAGGGAGTCTAGACCTAGAACTCCTAGCCTCAAGCAATTCTCCCACGTCATGCCTCCTAAGTAGCTGGGACTACAGACATGCACAACCATGCCCAACTAATTTTTTTTTTTTTTTTTTTTTTTTTACAGATAGGGTTTCGCCATGTTGCCCAGGCTGGTCTTGAACTCTGGGACTCAAACGATCTGCTCGCCTTGGTCTCCCAAAGTCCCAGCTAATTTTTTTTTTTTTTTTTTTTTTGAGACGGAGTCTCGCTCTATTGCCAGGCTGGAGTGTAGTGGCGCCATCTCGGCTCACTGCAACCTCTGCCTTGTGGATTCAAGCAATTCTCCTCCCTCAGCCTCCCGAGTAGCTGGGACTACAGGTGTGCGCCACCACGCCCAGCTAATTTTTGTACTTTTAGTAGAGACGGGGTTTCAGCATGTTGGCCAGGATGGTCTAGATCTCTTGACCTTGTGATCCACCCGCCTCGGCCTCCCAAAGTGCTGGGATTACAGGTGTGAGCCACCACGCCCGGCCCAGCTAATTTTTTTAAAAAAGCTTTTAGAGATGGGATCTTGCTATGTTGCCCAGGCCAGTCTTGAACTCCTGGCCTCAAGTGATCCTCCCGCCTCAGCCTCCAGAGTAGCTGGGGTTACAGGCCCAAGCCACTGTGTCCAGCTCATATTAACTCTTGAGAAGCTCTTTTCACTAGCCAGTTCTAGGTTTGTCATGAGGCAGTATCTCAGTGACAGCTGCTGTACGGGCCTTACAAGAGAACCCAAAGCAGCCTGGAGAAAGAACATCATAAGCAGAAAGGACATGTTGAGAAAAGTCAGCAGCAGGTTATTATGTTATATGAAAACAATCATGGCATACAAAGATACTGTGCCCTCTCAAACAGAAGCCAACCAATGAATGTCAGGGTAATGGAGGTAGGCCTGCATGTTACAAGTTTAGTCCTGACAAGCAGCTGCTTGCTTTTCTCCAAAGCAGTAGCGTAGAGGTGCAAGAATCAGAGTTTCTTTTTTTTGAGACGGAGTTTTGCTCTGTCACCCAGGCTGGAGTGCAGTGGCGCGATCTCGGCTCACTGTAAGCTCTGCCTCCCGGGTTCACGCCATTCTCCTGCCTCAGCCTCCTGAGTAGCTGGGGCTACAGGCACCCGCGACCACGCCCAGCTGATTTTTTGTGTTTTTAGTAGAGACGGGGTTTCACCATGTTAGCCAGGATGGTCTTGATCTCCTGATCTCGTGATCCACCCGCCTCGGCCTCCCAAAGTGCTGGGATTATAGGCGTGAGGCCAAGAATCAGTTTCTGAGCATGCTCCCAGCTACGCGCCCACAACTGCAAACTGCCTATGGGCTGTTCTCCATCCAATCCATCTGGCTTGGGGCTCCCTCTGCTCAGGACAAACTGAGGGAGTACAGGGAAGCAGAGGCCTTTAGACCTCATACTTTTGCACCTATAATGTTATCACAATGCCTATTTGAGATAAGAAATAAAAAGAACAGACATTCGAGATTAGGCAAGACAAGGTACTTGCTCAAAGAACTTTGCAACCTGGAGCCAGCATGGCCACATGGAGTCAGGCAGGCAAGTGACCTCATTTCTGCTCATGTTCAAATTAACTCATCAACCAACTGTCATCATCCAGGTCAGCCTGGACATGGGACATTTTAAGTCCATTTTTTCCCAACTGGAAGAGGTATTTCCACCAGCTACTCTCCACAGCTTCAAAAACAAGGTCAGTTGTATGCTAACAAGAGATAACAAAACAGTGGAATTCAGAGGAAAACAGGGAGAGACCTGAAAGAGCACCTCAAGAGCATGAGCTACAAAATCAACCAGCCAACAAAGAGCACAACAGTTTGAAGCCCCATGATACCCACACACAAAAACAACCAAGGCATCCGTCGGTCTGCCCTTCACTCCCCAACCAATCCCAAGAGAGAAGCAGCAACCGCTTGTGGCTTCTGGTCATCTGGAACCACACAGCTGCACCCTGCCAACCTGACATTCACATACCCACAGAACCAAGGTTGCACAGTTTCTGACAAGAACAGGCAGCAGAAACAAAAGTTCAGGAAATCTGGAGCTGGAGGTGGGAAGAGGAGTAAGGATATAGATGGACAAGGGTTACTGAGTGATGGATCTAAAATAATAGTCTGAGAAATTCATTAAATTGACTTTTATAAGGAATGTTGGGGACAAAGTATTTTTTTTTTAAGGAACTGTCCCTTTTTTTTCCCCCTCTTTGGGAACTGTCCCTTTTTCTAAGCTGAGTGCATGATGTGCCCTTTGACTATGGCAATACTAGGCACACTTCTGCAGTCAGTGCCATGCTGTGCACATGAAGGCTCCCTGGGAGGAATGCAGAATAAAGATTAAGTGTGGGCCCTGGAGTTCAGAAAGCCTCTATTTGAATTCTTGCTTAGCCACTCACTGGCTATGTAACTACCAGCTACTCACCTGACCTCTCTTATCATTAGTTTTCTTAACTACAAAATGGGGTGGTAATAGTATTTATGGTAGACTTCTGTAAAACTTGAATAAGATAGTATATGTAAAATGCTTAGCACAGTGCCTAGTACATCCTCACCCACCCTGATGACAACATTCGCATCACGTCCCTCAGAAACTGCCAATACCTTACCATTGTTCTATTTTTTCACTTGGGCAGTGGTTACACGGGGAAATCATTTATCATTATTTATAATACAATATTATATTTGTACACTCTCTTAATGTCTGTTGTATTTCATAATTTTTTTTTTTTTTTTTTGAGACAGAGCCTCGCTATCTCCCAGGCTGGAGGGCAGTGGCGCGATCTCAGCTCACTGCAAGCTCCGCATCCCGAGTTCACACCATTCTCCTGCCTCAGCCTCGCGAGTAGCTGGGCCTACAGGCGCCCGCCACCACGCCCAGCTAATTTTTTTTTTTTTTTTTTTTGTATTTTTAGTAGAGACAGGGTTTCACCGTGTTAGCCAGGATGGTCTCGATCTCCTGACCTCATGATCCGCCCGCCTCGGCCTCCCAAAATGCTAGGATTACAGGCATGAGCCACTGCGCCCGGCCTGTATTTCATAATTTTTTAAAGTCTTGTTTTCTTAAGTGCTAGCATCTGTAACAGCATCAGCCAAACTTATGAAGAAAAGACCAGAAGAGCCACTAAAGGAAGATGGGTCTCAAAGGCTGATGAGAACTGTGATAAATAAGGAGCAACACTCAAATCCTGAACCACCAAATAAACTTTCTTCTCAGGATTTCTCCAAAAGAACATTTGACAAAGTGGAAAAAAAAAAATCAGCCATATGGTTTCACAAAGGGTTGTTCTAAGATCTTCAAGTAAATTAAAATCTCAATTATAAACAGAGGGGCAGACAGTTTTTGTTTGTTTTTAAGATGGGGTCTCACTCTGTTGCCCAGGCTGGAATACAGTGGTGCCATCATAGCTCACTGCAGCCTCAAACTCCTGGGCTCGAGCAATCATCCCGCCTCAGCCTCCTAAGATGCTGGGGCTATAGGTGTGCACCACCATGCCCGGCATAGCAGGGAAAGGAAAATATCTTTAGCTTCATTACAGTTTTAGGAGGAGAGATAAGGCATATAAACTTTAAAATCCCAGCAAGAAAAAAAAAAAAACAAAAAAACCCACAGCATTGTTTTACCAAATAGGGAAGCAACCAAAAAAAGCATTGCACACTTTTGGAGGCCGAGGCAGGCAGATCACTTGAGGTCAGGAGTTCGAGACCAGCCTGGCCAACATGTTGAAATCCTGTCTCTACTGAAAAAACAAAAAGTAGCCAGGCATGGTGGCACATGCCTGTAATCCCAGCTACTCGGGAGGCTGAGGCAAGAGAATCACTTGAACCCGGGAGGTGGAGGTTGCAGTGAGCTGAGATCACGCCACTGCACTTCAGCCTAGGTGACAGAGTGAGACTCTGTCTCAAAAAAGAAAAAAGGAAAAAAAAAAAAGCAAAAAAAAAGCATTGCAAACATTGTGACAAAATGAGAGGGGGGAATTTACTCCCTTGAAATCTAGGAGGAGCTATCCATACTGTAAACTCATTCTTCTGTTAAGTGTCCTTCAAAACCAGAGGAAAATAATGTGACCAATGAAGAAGCACTGGACCTGTTGCTATAACTGTTGAAAGGAAGGAAGGAAGGATTTGGAAAATCTGGACATTCAAAAATACCAACGCTAAAAATCCACACTACCCAGTCTGGCTGTCATACTCACTTTTATTTCTTGCCTTCCTCACCAACTTTTTTTTTTTTTTTTAAGGTAACAGAAGTTAAAGTAAAATCCACAAATGGGGTAATAAACACCCAAGAAGGTAGGCAGGTCTCATTCTATACCTCTACTGAGAATTGCTATGAAAAGGAAGCTGCCAGAAAACCTGGCTTTGTCCTGCATTAAACAATGGAGCCCAGAGGAGACGCTTAGCCTGGAGCAGTGGGAACATGAAGTATAATATAACAAATCCTTCTGAAAACACTGTAGCTTTATTTCTTTAACAACACTGCAGTCTGAACATGAAGTAAAACCAACGGATACTCTGAGGATGAGTGGGACAGACCATGTGCTCAGAGAAGCTTAGTTTGAATAAACATAGCCCCAATTTCAAACCTTGGACTGTTTTCTCCAAACAAAGGGTCAGTGATAACAGCATCAAGCCCAACTTCAGACTCAGAGGGTTGGTGGGGAGGTTACAGATGTCAGGCTGAAGCCTCATTTCTACCTGTTTTTTCATCAGTCAAGAAATGAAAATACACAGGTGACAAATGAAAGACATTCAAAATACCAGCAGGAAATAAGACATTGACTCAAATCCAAGAAGGGAACCTGCCCTAAATTGCAAACTGAAAGAGAGAAAAACTTGGAAAGCAGTAGTGCTCTTCCACTTTGAAATGAGTGAGGCCAAGTAGGTGAGAGGAGGTTTCGAAAGACAACTCCCAGCCTGAAGAGGCTGGGCTATTTTTAGACAGTAAATGAAGAGGTGTTGGGTCCAGGGAGAGAAGCATCCTCTCTCTCCAGTGAGAATCACTTTGAAGGCTGAGGGCAGCTGCAGGCACCGGAAGGAGGGATGAAATGGTGATCAAAGAAACAAAACTAGGAGAACATTGACATTTTTCATTGTATACCACCTGTTGTGAGGATCTCAAGACACTTCACAAGCCTTATTTCAAGAGACCTCAGAGACAGAAAATTCAACAAGAGCTTTGAAGGTCATTCACAAAGGCTGGTGAGGGGCATAGCTGCTGGCCACAGGGACATCCACTCTTAGTCATCTATTCTATGTGGAGAACTCAGAGCGTGTGTATTGAACACTAAGAAATGACTGGAGCCTGGCGCAGAGGCAAGCACCACTAGTCCCAGCTACTCAGAAAGGCAGGGGCTGGGCATGGTGGCTCATGCCTGTAATCCCAGCACTTTGGGAGGCTGTGGCAGGAGGAGCCCTTGAGGCCAGAAGTTTGAGACCAGCCTGAGCAACATCGTAAGACTCTGTCTCTACAAAAAACAAAAATAACTGGCCGGGCGTGGTGGCTCATACCTGTAATCCCAGCACTTTGGGAGGCTGAGGCAGGCAGATCACGAGGTCAGGAGTTTGAGACCAGCCTGACCAACATGGTGAAACACCGTTTCTACTAAAAATAAAAAAATTAGCCCGGCGTGGTGGCACGCGCCTGTAATCCCAGCTACTCAGGAGGCTGAGGCAGGAGAATCGCTTGAACCCGGGAGGCAGAGTTTGCAGTGAGCCGAGATCACGCCACTGTACTCCAGCCTGGGCAACAGAGCAAGACTCCGTCTCGAAAAAAATGAGTATGTTTCCCCAATACCAAATCATATATGCGTTCAAACACTGAGCAAAAGCTGAAATTAGAGTATTGCCACTTTTTCTCCTTCATGAAACCCACCCAACCAAACTCTTCTTAGAGTCACTTCTCAAAAGGCTCGAAGTACCACCACACAACTATACAGGAAAAAAACTTGGGGAAACAAATAGAGAAAGAAGAATTAGATTTACAATTAAAAAAACACAACTAGAAGAAAGTCATCTTACCCATTGTTTCCAGAAGGAATAATATAACCTAGATCAGATTAATGGCTCTTAAGGAGGAGGACGATCTCAATACCTCCTTCAGTTACTTTTTAAAAATCTAGCAACCCTCCAGCACAGACAATCCTTTTGTAACCCTAACTTAAATCTTGCCTGCTGGGCTTTGGTCCATTTCTATCCTTTGTCCTTGAAAACAAGCCCAGCTCCCTCCACATAAAAATCTTTCAGAAACTTTCAGAGGAGGAGGGTTAGCTATCAAGAACACATACATTTGCTTCTTAAGGAAAACACAGCCCAACTTAGAGATGAGAGGCAGGAAATGACAAGTCTACAGGATTTGAACTTGGGTATTTACTGATAACTTCAAGTCACACTTCACCAAGACTAAGCTGATTTAGCATAAAACTTTAAATCAGTCTTTTCCAATGTACTCCACTGAAGAGACTCCCCTCCCTCTGAAAAAGCTTAATAAAAATCTCAGCACTCATCTACTCTTTGATGTAACTTAAATCTCCACCTCCACTGGCTCTCTCACACCAGCTTTTAGCCATATTTTTAACTAGGTCTCCCCTGAATTAAGAACCCTTTACTGAGCACTGCTTTCTGCATACGTGGACTTCTTCTCTCTTATGTTCTTCACACCTAATTAGGCTGCATCTCTACTTCTTTGTCACCATTTTATTAATCGTAGTTTTGATCTCTCTTCTAAAGAGGTCATAAATTCCTCCTGATTATTTTATTCACCTGGATGTCCAAGTTTATCCCGCACTATATTTGACATCTTTAAATTAGTCTCATTTATTTTTTTTAGTACTTACTGCCTATCTTACACTGTCCTAAACGGTGTGATGTAAAGGAAATAAAGAGCATGACCCCGATCCTTAGGAAATGAAGACATACATAAAATAACAATAAGATATTGGTTTCAAGGTGGGGGACTAGTCACAGAAAGCCCTGTGGCTCTGATAAATACAGAATTGGACCTAAAAATAAGTGTACAATTTGGTGTAAAGGAGAAGGCTACTTTAGATAGAAAGAACAGTATAATTCAAAGCAGGAGGCCATCTGAAGTAAGAGCTGCATAAAAGCTTTCTGACATTTCCTTCTTTGCCCCCCAAAAGGGGCATGTACCTTTTTGTCTTCAAATTTTATTTGAGAATTAGCTATCCATGAATCACAAATTTCCTGTTATCATGATTACTCACAGCCACCACATGTTAGAGCAACTCACAGAGCTTAATACACTAGAGTAATCACAAGGCAGGCTTTTAGAATAATCTCAGGTAGAGACCTTTTACTAAGGAGTGTGGGGAGTCTGGCATCTCTAGGGTCCTGGGCGCACAAAGACAGCTACTCCTCTTGGGTGCTAAAGATATGCACCAGTCATTTTGCTGCCAGACCATTCAAGGGTCATTCAACTTCAGCTAAGTATTTCTTTCATACACAGCTTCAGGACAGACAAAGCCATCTAAAGCAGTCTGAAGCACTGAATTCCTATTTTAAACAGGGAATGGTAAATGGTCTTGCCAGGGATGCCCCTTTTCCACTGTTTTCCTGGAGAGCTCTTCTCCACCTGCCTTAGGACTCACAGTTCAAGCATCCCTTCCTCTGTGAAGCCTTTCCTTTTTTTTTTTTTTTTGAGACGGAGTCTTGCTCTGTTACCCAGGCTAGAGTGCACTGGCAGGATCTGAGCTCACTGCAACCTCAGCCTCCCGGGTTCAGGCGAGTCTCCTGCCTCAGCCTCCCGAGTAGCTGGGATTACAGACATGCACCACCACGCCCGGCTAATTTTTGTATTTTTAGTAGAGATGAGGTTTCACCATCTTGACCAGGCTGGTTTCGAACTCCTGACCTAGTGATCCATCCGCCTTGGCCTCCCAAAGTGCTGGGATTACAGGGGTGAGCCACCATGCCTGGCCTGTGAAGCCTTTCCTAATTCCTCTGAACTGACTTAGGTCGCCTCCCCTGTGCTTCCATTAACAACGTACACATACTTCTACAGCAGCACTTACCACACCGTGTTTTAATTGTTTACATGTCTGACTAGCCATAAGCTCTTTGATGGCAAGGGTAATGTTTTACCCATCACTGATTGCACACTTCATAGGCACTCAATAAACACTTGTTAAATGCATTAATAATGGATGATATTGGAAGTCTTAAAGAATGGCAACTATACTTTCTGGATTCCAGACCAAAATTACAGTAAGAATTAACAATGAAGGCTAAACTCTCATTATATGTTTCTACTACATATATCATTCCTGGCCAGAAAAAGAGGCCAAAGATTGGAGAAGATTGCTCTAACAGTGCTGGTCACTGCCAAGCTACCAGCCAAGAATAAGAGCACTTGCAGTATTAAGAATGAACAGAGTCATATCTAAGGCAATTTCTACATTTCAGGCTTCTTTGCCTGCCTCAGGAGAATAGAAACAATGATGAATAAGAGACCTTGGAAGGGTCACAATGTCCACCATCACAAAACCTTGTAGCAAACTGTGATTCAACACAACTTCTGCTGAAATATACAGGAAAGCTCTTCACCTTCTTACCAAATCTACTCAAAGTTCTGCTAAGGAACACAGGGCTGAACTAAGTCCTCCCAGAACCCTGCCATTTGTACAGTGGCATTCTAAATCATTCCTCATGGGATTTACTCATCACTGAAGAGATACAGGCAAAGCAATACAATGCTGTGGTCTCAAATGCCTCTCCCTGTAACAACCTTGTACCTCACAACCCTATTGGGTTTACAGGCTACTAATAAGACACAAAATCTGATCTGATCCTGTGGGAGTAAAGCCCTGGATTCCCTCAAGGGATTAAATAAATGTCGACTACTTCTGGATTCCCAAAGTTGTGGGGTTTATTTAGTTGAAAAAGCATAAGGACCAAAACACAGACAAGTGAAGCGATGGAAAGGAACTTTGCCTCTGAGGATCATCTGCAGCTGAGTGGGATGTGGCTCTTGGCATATAGTGAATGAGATAAGCAATGCTCAAGGGCCATCCAGAACTGTTTTGCTGACAGATATCTGGCTTCTTGCATGTTATTCCTAAGAAGCCAAAAGGCTCCAGTTAGCCTCTTGAAGAGACAAAAAAAATTTGTTTTCACCGTAGGCAAGAGCAATTACCAAGCCAGTAACTCTGACTAGGTGTTTTAGCATATTTCTTTCTGCCACTACAGTCTTACATAACCCCAGCTGTTACGTTAACACCTGCAGCTACATTAGTCACAGCTTAGCCCTTCACAAGGTATGTGTTCCTACTGTCCTCTCCCAAGAAGGGAAACTGAGTCATAGCATATCAACTGGCTTCCCAAGCACATGCTTAGTGTATAGTGAGGCCACAATTGAACCCAGGTGGTCTTCCTACTATTCACCTTTTCTCATGGATGAATCTCAGCATGCCCACCCCTGCTGCTCTTTTTCCTTCAACCTAAAACCAAATCATTGCCTGCAGAGATCATATGTGATCCTTTAGAGTCAACAAGGGCTTCTAGTTATCTTTCCCAAGAAACAGGAAGGTTAACGAGGAACATGGAGCAGGAGAGGGTGGGTTTGGAAAGAGGTGGATCCCAACAGGACTCACCTTGGAGCTGAGGTCCTCTCGTCGGTTTCCTGCCTTACTCCTGCGCAGTTTGATGGATGGAGATCTCAACAGATTCTTGATCCGGCTGGTAATGGTTGACCCTTCCACAGCCATTATGACGAGAAACCCTTTGGGACAGTCCCCGGCCCAGTCCTGGGTCTTGTCTCAACAGCGGCACTGTCTTCCCACTCCAGAGGGCTTCCCAGTATGCCCTCTCACTGACCTGAGATGGCAGAAGCCACCTTAGTATCACAGTGTCTTACCTTCTGCCTAGCGAAGTCTGCAGCTTTTACCTCTGGGTATTGCTCTCACCATTTCCCTCATCCCCACCTTCTAGCCCTGCACAGTTTCTTACAACGTCGGAAGGAAAGGCTCACGAAAAAGGGGGGGAAAATCCTAAGCCACGAAGAAATGCCAGGCCCACGCCCGCCAGAGGCGTTTAACTGGCGAGATGGATGGGATGGGCCCCAGTTGGTCTCGTGGACGATCTGGTTCCCGTTAATGCCCAACTGTTCCCATGGCAACTGTAGTGTCCAAGGGAGGAGGCCGCCGAGACCACCAGGGATTTCCGCAGGCCTGGACACCTGCGCTAGCGCCGGCGGGGACGCGGCGGGGCTCGCCGTAGCCCACAACTCGTTCTGCCACGGGAGCCTCCCTCCCCCACTCCCTATCCTCCAGAGCTCGCTCTCCGCCCTCCACAGCGGCTCTGGACCTTTATCTTTCACCCGCCTCTGAGGCCCCTGCTACTCGTCAGCGCCCCCGTTCGGGCCCAGCCTCACCAGCCTCGGCGAGCTAAGGCCACCCCGCTCACAGCGCCCTCGGGCATCGCGTTCGGCAATTTCAGCTCCGCCGCGGTAGCCGCAGCGGTAGAGGCAGCAGCAGGAGCTATGGTGGCACGATCGGCTCAAAACGCGAACTACCGCCTGGGCCAAGCCGCGGGCTGGGTGGGCGGAGCCGACGCGAGGGGCGCGGCCTGTAGTCAGGAGAGCGCTTCCAGAGTGGACGAGCAAGGTTTACGGGGGCGGAGCCAATGAAAGGGCCCAGGAAGCAGACGGCTTGGGACTAGGGAACCACGGAATCCGCACAATTGCGGGTACCGCTTTTAGAGGAAGGTCAACAGAACATGGCTTCAGAATTGAGAGAACCAAGCCTTTTATGGTATTATCAGGCCTGGTCCCCCATGGAACTGCACTTCCCAGAGCCCCAAGACGATAACCACGCCTCCAGGGTGTTAAGGTTGTCATCTGATAGGCCCGAGGGACCGTAGCTGAAACTCCTAGCTCAGAATTACAAGACTGAGCTACAGCCTAAAAGCTCTGCTCCCAGCGACCACAAGTGTTGAGATTTAAAGCGACTGAAGTAGTTTCTGCTCGCAGCCAGTCCGGCACGTAGACTCAACGTGGAAAGGATTATTCTGAGTAATGCAATTTAATAGCTAAGAACAGTATTTTTGCACTGGGCAACCTGGTCATCATGAAAGGGGAAAGGGTGGCCTTGAACAGAGCTTTGGGCGTGCGGGGGAAAGAGAAGTGAATATGCTATGTTATAATACTTTAGGTTTCATGGCTTCTTTAGCCTCCAACATCCCATTGTGCTTCCTCACCTAAAGCTGACCAGGACTTTGTTGCTCCAGATCTTTTCCTCATTCCATTTACTTATGAATCCTTTTATCTAGGGCTGTTCCTTGCTGAGGTCACTGTCGAGCTTGCTGATACTAGATCGAGGGGTAGTTTTCTAACTCATGTCGGGGGAGGCAGAGGGAATACACGGAAATGTTACATGAAATAGTATTTCCTGAGTATTCTCCACTTGACTACTACCACAAGAAATCACCTTATGAAAAAGCCTAAGCCAGAGACTTGGGTCCCAAGGGAATAGTACACTGGTGTGTCCGTCTCACCCTATCCAGATCTTTTGAATCCCTGTGGAGATGACATGTGTCTGCAAGAGGGAAGAACCTCTAACAAATTATTATACCTTATGAAAAAGCCTAAGCCAAAGACAAGGGACCCAAGGGAGTACTACACTGGTGTGTCTGTCTCACCCTATCCAGATCTTTTGAAACCCTGTGGAGATGACATGTGATAACAAGAGGGAAGAACCCCTAAACTCATTGCTTGTGTACAACGGTGAGCCTTTAGAGCCAAGTGGCAAAGCACATATTTTCTTGTGTATACTGTAGCCACGTACTGAAAATTAGATTTGTAAAGCTCACAAGTTGACATGGAGATGATGGATGTCACCTCCTGGAGACCAACTGGCAATAGCACGTGGCCTTCTTCCCTTCAACCATGCACTGCAAATATTATGAAACAGAAAATACGATTTTCAAATTTATTTCCCAAGTCTGGAAGAAGAAGGCAAGAACCATTAGCTACAATATGCAAGAGGTAGTTGGTTCCTTCAACCTCTTGGTAGTTACATGATGGGACCTCTCCATGGGATTGAAAGCTAATAAATGGTGCCACCTGGTGTCTTTACTTGCATGCTGCAGACCACGGCAGATGCCATCTCCACCCATGAAACTAGAGTAAAAATGTGCCCACAAGAGCCGTCCCTAATCCTCTCCAGATCATTCTGGTGTCCGCTAACGGTTTTCTCACCTGATCACTCATGGCCAGATAAATGGTTTACAAAGTATCACTGGTCATTTCTTTCATGAAAAACAACTGAAAGCATTTTAATGAGGATTTCTTAAGTCTGGAATCTGGGTACTTCCAGTCTTAGGCCAAAGCCACGCTTTTTTTTTTTTTTTTTTTTTTTTTTTAAACAGAGTCTTGCTCTGTCCCCAGACTGGACTGCAGTGGCGATCTCAGCTCACTGCAACCTCCGACTCCTGGTTTCAAGCCATTCTCTTGCCTCAGCCTCCCGAGTAGCTGGGATTACAGGCACGCGCCACCACACCCAGTTAATTTTTGTATTTTTAGTAAAGATGGGGTTTCACCATGTTGGCCAGGAGGTCTCGATCTCCTGACCTCGTGATCCGCCTGCCTTGGCCTCCCAAAGTGCCAGGATTACAGGCGTGAGCCACCATGCCCGGCCCACACATTTTTAATTCTTCACAATTCAGTCCAACTTTTATTGTCTAGGTACTACACTGCCTTTGAGATACCAATATAGGAATAAGCTATATAGGCTATTCCCATTCTTCATTAATTCCTCAGAAAATAACAGTCCCAGGTCTAATGTGAACAGAAGCATTATTCACTTTTCTCCACTCAGATTTACAGTCATGCACTGTATACATTTCAATGACCACATGATCCCATTAAATTATAATATCATATTTTTACCATACCTTTCCTATGTGTAGACACACAAACACCACGTGTTACAACTGCCTATGATATTCAGTGCAGTTAACATGCTGTACAGAGTTGTAGCCTAGGAGCAACACAGCCTAGGTGTGTGGTTAAGCAACACCATCTAGGTTTGTTTAAGTACAGTACACTCTATGATGTTTGCAGAACAAAACCACCCAAGGTGCATTTCTCAGAACGTATCCCCATCATTAAGTGACGCATGACTCTACTTGCCATCCCAATCCTCCAAAATGCAGTTAACTCTTCATAAGTATTTCATCATCCATACACTATTTAACACTTTATTCTACTTTTATATGTCCTAAACATCTATACATAGTGTTTGCCAGCTTCTGAAATTCTAGATGTCTGGGGAATAGACGTTATATAGTTGTCTGTTTAGCACTATACTCATTAGATCAAATTTTAAAATTCACCCTAGGCATAACATGCAAATAAGGTATAAGTTCCTGGGAAACAGTCTAAACATTTGCTCATCAATTCAAATATTTATTGAGCACCTTTACATGCAAAGGCACTGTGCAACAGCTGAGATCAATGATTGCAGTTGGAAACACAATGGATCTCAAAACCATGCTTCCAAGACTGCTTTCCTACTTAATATCTTTTCTACCAGCAGAGTTTACAACAATAGAAATTAGTAGAGTTTAGATTTGTCTCAAAATTTCCAACTCATCCCATAGTCTTCCCATCCTCTTAATGCACCACCATCACTATTCAACACTTATGTGTAGAACAGCTCAGTCATGTCTAACATTAGCTACACCTCAAACAAAAAGTTGTACTTATCAAATTATTTCCCTCTATTCCAAAAAATGCGTTATAACTGATTTTTTTCCTCCAACTGGCAGTGAGTCTGAATATCTCAGCTTTAATTTTCCCTGCACCTAGATATTTGTGTCCATGTAAAATTTCATTAGTAGGCCGGGCGCAGTGGCTCACGCCTGTAATCCCAGCACTTTGGGAGGCCGAGGCGGGCGGATCACAAGGTCAGGAGATTGAGACCATCCTGGCTAACATGGTGAAACCCTGTCTCTACAAAAAAATACAAAAAAATTAGCCGGGCACAGTGTCGGGCGCCTGTAGTCCCAGCTACTCCGGAGGCTGAGGCAGGACAATGGCGTAAACCCGGGAGGCAGAGCTTGCAGTGAGCCAAGACGGCACCACTGCACTCCAGCCTGGGCGACAGAGTGAGACTCTGCCTCAAAAAAAATAAAAATAAAAATTTCATTAGTGATAATACAGTGACATGAAGTACTGATGCCTTTACAGCACCTTCTTCAAAACCAACAGTTTTGTGCAAGAAATGTATTCTGATTCTTGGTTATCAGTCATTCTCTATAAAAGTACCTGGAAAATGTGCTGTGTATGGTTTGTTGTTGTTTAATTCTGGAGTGAGGGACAAGGGCTGTCACTATTTTCTAGACCCGTTTTTAAAGTGCATCACCCTATTTGATTTCAAATATCTCAACCAGTATAGTTAGAAAAAAAATTATCTAAACCACTAAACCAAAAATAACATATGGATTGTCTGCCTTTCTTGTGTGTTCAAAACATTTTCAAACTTGTTATAGAAGAGCCTAGCATCAGGTATTTCATCTGTAATTCCACGAAAAAACTATTGTATGTACTATAAAATCACACAAAGTGAACAATTTGTATGAAGCTTATATAACTGGACTTGATCTGTTAGTGACCTTAATAGATAGGAGTAGTTGGATGTCTAAAGGATTCCTTTAAACGTTTTTGTTAACTGTCAAACTCTTTAACATATCTTCCCTTAAGAACACCTACTGTCCTTTACCACTAAAAGACTGTGTTTGTGTACCTTTACTCCCCAAGGTTAACAGGTGAACTGCCTTGCTCATACTGACACCAGAATGATTTTAGAATGACTTCTAAAACAAATACTTGCCATCAGGTTGCACACAATTTTGAAGCCTCCATGTAAAACATGCTACAAGGATTAGAACATCGAAAACCTCCCCCAAATGGCATATCAGAAACTTAGAGAAAAGGAAAGGATTCCTATGATAAAACCACTTCAGTGGCACCTCTCTCAAATATGTCTTAGGGAATTAGAATTCTCCACTCCAAGTTGGCACAAACCTCCCAACACCAAGTTCTGCTTTAATTGTTTTAACTGCTTTATTTCAGGTTTATATATTCTACCTTTCAATCACCAAACTTCTGTTCTTAGATTTCTAAAAAAATAGTCACTTTTCGAAAGCAGAAAAGGAAAGATATATATATTTAATATATAAAAGAAAATGCTAAATCTGACATAATTATATTCTTAAAAACATTCCATTTATTTACAGATGTATAAAAAGGTGAATTATTGGTCTATTGAGATCATGCTTCTTATAGTGTTAGGGTGAGAGCTCACTGTCTTCCACGTTCCTCAACTCCTCTCACTCAACTTCACCTTTCATAATCACACATGTAATATTCATAGATCAGTTCCCCCTAGGGTAAGGTTAAAGGGTAGGAGTTTTTGGAGATTTTAGATTTCTGTCAAGACTGCAGGATTGTTCTGAAGACTAAGCCCTCCTCAAATTATCCCTGACAACACCTAGTTCTAAGAGGTCTTGAGAACACAGTATCTTGGGGGTTAGAATGGTATCTGCAGCCTTCCCCCTAAAACGCCTGGAATCATCCCTCATTTCCATCTTCGTACAACTCTCATCAAGAGTCAAATGGTATCTCCAATCAAGAATCATTACCTGTTTACCTATATTCTTCTTAAAAAAAAAAAAAAAAAAAAGGAAGTGTTAAGCTAAAATGGTCCTTCTTTTCCTGAGGATTGTTCACTCACTTGCCTGCTCCTTGGCTGACCCTCAAAAGCCACAAAGAGAGTCTTGGGAAATCAGGAGGAAATGTAGGGGAACGACAAGCAAGAAAATAACGGGAAACTGCTATACCTGGATTAAAGTACTAGCATCTCTAAGGACAATTATTAGCAGGGGAGACAGGTGCTGGACTCCTTGGCTAAGGCATTGAATGAAATCTGCTGGGTAAAGAGTGGAAGGATAAGAAGCTGAGGAGCACTCTTTACCTACTTCAGGCTTCTTTAGTAACCTTTAGAGGAGGGAAGGTTAAGTGCTGATGAGCAGATCTAGAAAGGCAAGCAGCACAAAACCAACAAGAATTTGCTCCCACTGCAATTTTCAGAAGTTCTTCCACCGTTTTCAATCTGTTGATTACCAGAGTTAACAGAAAGGGAACCAACCATGGAAATAATAATTCACTGGCTAGATCCAATCCAAAGTTGGTCTTACAACCTAGGTCTGAAGATATGCTGAGTGGGATTTGGGATAAAGAAGACAGGAGATATAGAAGAAATAGCATCACCTAGGCACGGCCCAGGCACTGGAAGCTCTTGTGTTAGTGTTTTAACAACACAAGCAAATCCTGTCAATGAAGACAGAACAGGGGTTACATTCCAAAATATAATTATTTAAGAAAGGCAAAATGCAGCAGCTAAATCCCAGTCTATACAGTTTCAGAATAGTGATTCTTGACCCCCTAGGAGTTTCCAAGAGACCCCTCAAGTGCACCATGATTATTTACAAACTAGATAGGAAACATCATTTCTATACTCAATACAAATCTCATCTTCTAGGTTGAAAACTTCAGCCTTTGAGAAATCTATGAAAACAACTATACAAAAATATAAATATCTTTACAGACTGTCAGTCCTTCATATCCTGACAGTTAATGAGTGAAAAAGCTCTACAGATCATTGGATCCATGGTTGCAGATAAAAAATATATCTTGTGATTCAAATACTGCCTTATTTCCCTGGTAAAGAGTGCCTACTGTGACTTTTCTTTACATCCTGTGCAGGTAATAGTGAATGAAACCTTCAAGCACCAGGAGGCTGGTTTGATTTGGGAAATTTCCAGCCCCATGATTTTTTATTTTGGCCACTGTCTCTGGTCTGGGGAGATAATGCATTTTATTTTAGCTGTCTCTTGAGTAACGTAATTTGTGGAAGGGGTAGGGCTCCCTCTATGCCTACCTCCAAAATATATACTCCCAGTAAAAATCTCTGGTACTGTGAAATGAGCTTTTCAATGCCCACAAAAATAATAAGGGAGAACTACTATTTTTTTAAGATCTCAAAATAATTAATAATAAAAGTTAAAAGCATCCCTACTTTACTGAAGGCTTGAATTTGTTAATTCTGATTGAAAAGGTGAGGGAATGGGAGCTACTTAGGATATGAAAAAAGAAAATTTTACTGAATGACACAAAGTCCTTCACTTTGGTATTCCATGGTACCCATCCTCTCTCTCCCTATTCTTGAAACATCAACTAAAAAGTGTCTCTTCTGGATCCCTTTGCACAAGTCCATCGCATTCCTTAGATTTTGGACTTAATTCAACAGCTACAAGCTACAGTTCAGTCTACAGCAACTCCAAAGTTGCAAACAGCTCTTTCGCTTGTGGGGGAAGAACTAGAAACCACTGTGGAGCCAGAGTCATGTTATAAATTCCTTGGGTAAGAGGGGCACCTCATGTTCAGTAATGGATCACATCTTCTTAGAGAGGATGAGGGGACCCAGCACCACAAGTGAGGTAACACATTTTAACATGATCAGAATTTCAGAGTACTTCTTATACCAGGGTCAGCACCCTACCCCCTTTCTCCCATCATTATCCACTGCATCATTGAAGTCAAGGATCCAAGTTCTAAGACACAAACAAACAGATGCCTGCAGAGAAAGGAGGTGAGATCTATTTCCCCTCACAGCCTGGCTTCTGCTTAAGGACAAGTAAGTTCATTTCCCTGCAGAACTTGGTGAGGCCCCCGAGTTGCCCAATTTAGCCACAACAGGTGCCAATGTAGGCATCACCTTGCTTTCCCGGCCTTCCTGGTCATTCCCTGTTAAGTTCATTTTGTGTCCAACTGACCCAACTTTGGCAGCTATAGGTGCCAAACAAGGCATCACCTTGAGACTCTGACCATCTGCATCACTGGAAGGATTAGCTACTTTTAAACCTAGAGGGGCCAACTTTGGCATAGGCCTCCACAAAGTGTCTGTGCTGTTGCTGTTCTCCAAGCCAGTCTTCATGTGTAGGGTGGGGGGTGAGGACACACTTTCGGGCTCTGCAGGGAGGCCAGAAGTATTCTTCCCTCCATCAATAGCTTTCTTGTTGGAAAGGAGGGAATCCTTTATTTCAGAGTCAATAACAATCTTAAGGACATCTGGCTCAGAGGCTGGTTCTGCAAGTTGTTTTTCATTCTCAGAAAAGTCATCGTCTTCCAAGTGCAAGAGGAGGGGACTGATAGAGTCACTCTCCCCTTGAACATCAGGCAACTCTTTCAAACCAGTTCCCAAGTGCTCAACCTGGAAAGTTGCTCTGCTTCCAGGAGGAACCTTACTAATAAAAGCCCGCCGAGCATCCCCTGGGAACTCTGTATCCATAGAGCTGGGTAGTTCAGCCAGGCCAACAGAGTCATCATTTAGTTGTTGATTAAGAAAGGCAATTTCATTGAGCAGTGAAGTCAGTGTCTCATCAGTATCATCCTCATCTTCCATGTTAGTCAGCAGTTCACTGGAATCAAGAGCTGCTTCCTCTATAGCTGATGTTACTTTCCTCAGTTCCATCTCTATGCTTGAGTCCTTGAGATCTTTCATCTTTAATTTATGAAATGAAGAATCCTTTGACTTCACTCTCTCCCCTCTTGATTCACTCTCTTTCCATTTATACTGAATCCCTCTCATATCACCAGAAATCTTTTTAGGTAAGAACTCTTGTGCTTTCTGCATATTGGAAACGTCAACTATTTGTGGATAACCAGAATCTTTGTTTGCCAGAAAAACCTGCGTTGGACCCAACGTCACTCTGCCATCTCTGTTTCCTCTGGAAGAGATTCTACCCTTATCCTCTAAGGAATTATCTTCATTCCTGACGGTGTCTTTCAGATGGTCAGATGGCTTGCTATCAGGAACTTCATGAGGATATTTGCTGCCACCCATATCTACCAAACCTCCCTCTGTGGCCAATGATGTCACATTAACAATTCGTGGCATCATAAATAAGTCGTCATTTTCTGAAAAACAAAAATTAAAAAAAGAAAAATTCATTTAGATCTAGTGTTAACACCTCTCTTTCTCTCTGTCATATCATATAACCATCTTAGGGATTTGTAGTCTAAATTCAGCACTCTACTTTTATCAAAAAGATGAAAGAAATATCAGTTCTTCAAATTATTGACCTAACCCAACAAGAAAAATCTCAACTAAAATCCAACCAAAAGGCTCTTTCCACCATTTTTTAAAGTTCCATTTAATTATTTTATAGAAATGCTCCCCAAGTTAATTCTTCTCCTAAGGCAGAAATGCATCTTGATTCTGTTCACCTAATTAACTGCTACTTAGCGCAGAAAATGAAGCCCTAAAGGCAGCATGGGAACCAGGAAAGATGAGTCCTCCAGAGTGAGTTTGGCAACAGGTAGAGACAAGGAATTTTGGCTGGCAATGGCAATAAAGTAACCAGGATCCTAATATTACTAAAGAGACCCTTTCATCTTAATAGAAATTTAGTTGCCTGGAACCTAATCACCCAAGTGAGGCTTCTCTTTCAACTTTACCCTTTGCCCCAAAACAGAGTAGTGCTCAAAGTGAATGGGGCTAATAATGCAGGACTGTTATCATCTCTGAGTACCACAAAAAGTGACAAATATTTATCAACACCAAGACCTAAGACCATGATCATTTAACATCTTCCTTTCCCTCTGATATCTTTTTTATTCTTCCTCTTAGAAATTACTAGTGTTCACAAAATGGTTCCCAATACCAGGTGTAAAACACACCAAACAGTACCACAGCTCAAGCCAAATGTGTTCTAAAAATAGGGCCACCTCTTACCAAGGCAAATGCCAACAGAATAGCTCTTTATCATTACAGAACACATCCAAAGCCTTCCTTGGTCACCGTGAGATGTTAGGGATAACTTTATCACTTCCCATAGAGGACAACACTTACAACATACCTGGTAGAGCCACAGCACTACCGGCAACTTGAGGCTTAAGATCAGATTCTAAGAGATCAGGAGAAACAGCTACCACTGGTCCTGAGAATAGGGGACCTTTTAGGGTGAGCAATTGCCCTTGCGGAGTCATCACAAGGTTGGCAGAGGTGTGTGGAGTGTTCAAGGGTGAGGTATTTTCTGTAAGAAAGATCAGAAATTAGTTATAGATAAAAGGCATTCAGCTGGGTGTGGTGGCTCATGCCTGTAATCCCAGCACTTTGGGAGGCTGAGGCAGGCAGATCACTTGAGCCCAGGAGTTCAAGACCAGCCTGGGAAACATGGTGAGACCCCATCTCCATCTCTACAAGAAAAATTTTTTTAAATTAGGCGGGTGTGGTGGTGTGCACCTGTGGTCCCAGCTACTAGGAAGGCTGAGGTGGGAGAATTGCTTAAGCCCAGGAGGTCAAGGCTGCAAGCGAGACACTGCACTCCAGCCTGAGCTACAGAGTGAGGCCCTTCTCAAAACAAAACAGCCAAGTGCGGTGGCTGACGCCTGTAATCCCAGCACTTTGGGAAGCCGAGGCAGGTGGATCACGAGGTCAGGAGATCAAGACCATCCTGGCTAACACGGTGAAACCCCATCTCTACTAAAAATACAAAAAATTAGCCAGGCGTGGTGGCGGGCGCCTGTAGTCCCAGCTACACGGCAGGCTGAGGCAGAAGAATGGCGTGAACCTGGGAGGCGGAGCTGGCAGTGAGCCTAGATTGCGCCACCGCACTCTACCCTGGGCAACAGAGCGAGACTCCGTCTCAAAAAAAAAAAAAAAAAAATACCCACACCAGATTTTTTTTGGCTCATACACTGGGCTATCCAAACATTTAAAGAGTAAAAAAGAATATACCATTTTTTTTTTTAATTTTTTTTGAGATGGAGTCTCACTCTGTCACACAGGCTAGAGCACAGTGGTGTGATTTCAGCTCACTGCAGCCTCCGCCACCCGGGTTCAAGTGATTCTCCTGCCTCAGCCTCCCAAGTAGCTGGGACTACAGGTGTGCACCACCACATCCGGCTAATTTTGGTATTTTTAGTAGAGACAGGGTTTCACCATGTTGCCCAAGGCTGGTCTCAAATTCCTGAGTGCAAGCAATCCTCCTGCCTCTGCCTCCCTAAGGGGTGGGATTACAGGCATGAGCCACTGCGCCCAGCCAGATATACCATTCTCTAAGAATATAAGTAACACATAAAATCAATATAACTTTACTTCCAAAATCAAGATGGTAATAAGAAGTTAAGACTAATTTACTTTGGGGTTTTTGTTTTGTTTTGTTTTGTTTTGTTTCAGACAGAGTTTCGTGCTTGTTGCCCAGGCTGGAATGCAATGGTGTGATCTCAGCTCACCACAACTTCCACCTTCCGGGTTAAAGTGATTCTCCTGCCTCAGCCTCCTAAATAGCTGAGATTACAGGCATGAGCCACCACACCTGGCTAATTTTGTATTTTTAGTAGAGACAGGGTTTCTCCATGTTAGTCAGGCTAGTCTCAAACTCCCAACCTCAGGTGATCTGCCCGCCTCAGCCTCCCAAAGTTCTGGGATTACAGGCGTGAGCCACCGCATCCGGCCTACTGTTTCTTAATAGTAATGTATTAATAAGTAAGTGATCTGATGAAAAATAGAGCCTGATGGCCAGGCGCAGTGGCTCACGCCTGTAATCCCAGCACTTTGGGAGGCCGAGGTGGGCGGATCACGAGGTCAGGAGATCGAGACCATCCTGGCTAACACGGTGAAACCCCGTCTCTACTAAAAATACAAAAAAAATTAGCCGGGTGTAGTGGCAGGCGCCTATAGTCCTAGCTACTGGGGAGGCTGAGGCAGGAGAATGGCATGAACCCAGGAGGTGGAGCTTGCAGTGAGCCAAGATCGCGCCACTGCACTCCAGCCCGGGCAACAGAGCAAGACTCTGTCTCAAAAAAAAAAAAAAAAAAAAAAAAAGGAAGAAAGAAAAATAGAGCCTGATTTGACAAAATTAAATTTTACAAAAAATTTCCCATTTATTGGTCTCAGCTAGACCCAACTTCTTAAACCCATCAGTAGAACTGCAGGGAAATCACGAAGTCAAGTATAAGTCTGAAAAGATAAGTTTAAAAAACTACTCATTAAAAATACATGACTATAGACTAATATGCTACCAGGACTGGTAACTTCTCAGGATTTGCATGAGTGTGTATTACAACCAGAAACCAAAATCGAATGTAGTTAATATTCTACTTTTTATACAACCCATCTTTAATTCATTTAATTAAAACTAAAACTGTGGGCTGGGTGTGGTTGCTCACACCTGTAATCCCAGCACTTTGGGAGGCCAAGGCGGGTGGATCACTTGAGGTCAAGAGTTTGAGACTAGCCTGGCCAACAGGGCAAAATCCCATCTCTACTAAAAAATTAAAAAAACAAATTGGGCATGGTGGTGCTCGCTGTAGTCCCAGCTACTCAGGAGGCTGAAGCAGATAATCGCTTGAACCTGGGAGGTGGAGGTTGCAATGAGCTGAGATCACATCACTGCAACTGCAGCCTGGGCGACAGAGCTGTCTCCAAAAAAAAAAAAAAAAAAAAAAAAAAAAAACCACACAAAACTAAAAATGTGGACAAGAGAAGGTGGTCAGTCCACTAAAGTCAACTGATGTATATCTACATTAAGGAAAGCGAAGAATGTCCCTCCTACCTGTGGCCTGGTCTTTTTTTCTGGAAAGAATCAAAGGTTTCCCCCTCCTGTTATTTATAAACATCTGTCCAAGATCTACAGATGATGCAGAAGATCCTTCCTGCTGTTTGCTAATTCTGGGAGATATGTCAAACTCATCTGATCCCATCTTCTTTTTTCTTTTTTGTGCCTCTAGTGCTTGCTGTTTTGCATAAATATACTCTAGCTTCTTCAGGACCACTTCTTCTGTCTTACCTGTAAGTTAACAGAATACATTAGCACTTTCAGCATTACGCCACATAATGAGAAACAGAGTCAACAGAAATCTAGTTGCTTTAACTATATTCCCAAAAACTATGGAAAGTAAGGTGATTACAATTCACAAGAAACAACCCACCACCCAGTCAAAGGATAACTGTGCTGTAAACTGTGGGAGCCAAGCTTTCAATTAAGTATCTGAAAGATCTACTGAGGATTTCTTCTTGATAAAGCTATAATTATGCTCTTTACCAGAGATTATTTACTTATCTCACCTGAAAGAGACGATACTTTCCGTATCAGAATATTCCGTTTTCGAGTCAGGAGATTTTTCTGTCCTATCAATTTGTCTGCCTGATCTGTTAGTCCCTGAATTTCACTGAAGGCCTAGAATACAAATAGT